>NC_000011.10:58767498-59070528 GCF_000001405.40 Homo sapiens | reverse complement strand
GGAGGCAAATGCAGTCTTTAGGTATGGCCATGCAAAAAGTGCATGGCTGGGCGTGGGAAAGAAAGCTAAATTGGAAAACATTTTCCTCCTGGTGTGGTGAGACTCCCATAAGACATTGATAAAGTGCCCAGCAGACTGTCGCATTTGGCATACAAAAGTCCCAATAGCTTATTATCTTGACCATTCAGTTTCCAGGGGGATGTAACTCTGGGGACCCCTGATGGAGACGTGACTACATCTGTGCAGATATTTTGTCTGGGGAGGGAGATTCCAGTGCTGGAGGTTTGTCCTTTGAGGAATTCAGGGAGTGTGGAGGAAGCAAGGGTTTCTGGTCAAAGGGGCAAGACAGTGCAGACACACTCCAGAAACCCAGAGGTAATAGTAGAAAGTCTGCTAGGAGGAGCCACTCACAGTTTACTGGACAATCTTCAAGCTGCATGATGCCAGGATCACTAACCTTCTCTGTCACTCGTGCCTTGTCCTTCCGGTCTTTCTAATTCTTGCCTTGTCTGCTGGCCTTGGAGAGAGTTGTGCACCAGTCCCATTGCCCCTTCAGCCCCCCCACTGCCCAATCTGCCTTCATCCGCCAGGTTTGCCTATTCTCCCAGGTGCCTCGAAGCAAAAGAAATTAAACAAGACCAAAATAAATGGAGAAATATACCTTGTTTAAGATTGGAAGACTCAGCAATGATAAGACGCTAATCATCCACTATTGAGATAACTTGTTTATACAATTAACACACAGTTTACACAAACACACAAACTTTGATCCAGGTATTGCACCATACAAAAAAATAAAAATAAGACTTAATTGCAGACTTAAACCTAAAACTATACAACTTCTGGAAGAAAACTTAGAAATGATTTTTGTGATCTTACATTTAGCAGAATTCTCTGATGTAAAAAACAAAAGCATGATTCACAAAGAGAAATATGGAGAAAGTGAACTTCATCAAATTTGAAAACTTTTCCCTCCCAAAACAGGACTAAGGGGATGAAAGGACAAGCTATACAGAGATAAAATATCAGCAATTATCACAAATGTTATGAGAAAAGCAATATGACAAAGGACTTGTTTCTAAAATATGTAAAGCCCTCTCAAAACTCAGCAATAAGTAACCAGTATAAAAATGGGCAAAATATTTTAATAGACACTTCCCAAAGAAGATATGTGGATGATATAGACACATGAAAAGATGCTCAAATCATGAGTCATTAGTGAAATGCAGATTAATACCACAAAAGGATGTCATTACATACCTATGATAATAAATGAATCAGAAAAACTTTGTGTTGAAAAGTATATGAAACAACTGGAACTCTTACACATTGGTATCGAGGATGTGAAATTACACAGCCATCTTGAAATCAATTTGACAATTTCTTATAAAGTTAAACATACACTTTCCATGACAGCAATTCCACTGCTAGGTGAACCCAAGAGAAATGAAAACTAATCTTCATACAAAAACCTGTATGCAAATGTTCACAACAGCTTTATTTACAAACTCCCCAAACGGGAAACAACTCAAATATTCTTCAGTGAGTGAATGGATAAACAGATTTTTGATACATTCACACAGTGGGAATGCTACTCAGCAATAAAAAGAGAAAAACTGTCAATGCATGCAACAGCACCCATGAATCTTAAGTGGAATGTTCTAAGTGAAAGAAGCCAGACTCAAAGTGTATGATTCAGTGTATGTTCAACTTATATGATGTTCTGGAAAAGGTAACACTAGAGTAAGGAAGAGATTAGTTGTTGCGAGGGACTAGGGTGAATAGGGGATGAGTGGGGAGAACGCGGAATTATTTATTGTGATGGAACCACAAAAGGAGTTATTTAGTGTGATGAAACTGCTTTGCTTCTTGATTTTGGTCATGGTTACATGACTGTAGGCATGGTTACATGAACTATATACCAAAAAGACTGAATTTTACTGTATATGAAATAAATGAATTTAAAAGAAACAAGAAAAGTTAAAGTCTTTCGAATAATCTGTAAGACAATTAATTGGGTGTAGCGTGTTTTGCGTTTATTTCTATCATCTTTTTTTGTATCACCTACTTTTTCCACTTTTTCACAATTTATAAACCTTTGCTTTGTTGCCTCCTTTATTTTGATTTTTTCCTCTCATTCTATTTTCTAGACAAATAGTTTGGCAGTTTTACACTGTAGTTCTATTCTATAATTGGATGCCCTAAACAAGTATTGCCCAATAAAATGTCTGCAGTGATGGAAATGTTCTACATCGGTACTGCCTAATACTACCGTCACAGGTGGTTCTTAAGTACTTGACGTGTGATTAGTGCAACTGAGATTTTGTATTATTCACCTTTTTCATTATTTGATATTAGTTAAGTTGAATTTAAATTTGAATATAAATAATCACATGTGGGCCGGGCACGGTGGCTCACGCCTGTAATCCCAGCACTTTGGGAGGCCGAAGTGGGTGGATCACGAGTTCAGGAGATCGAGACCATCCTGGCTAACACGGTGAAACCCCGTCTCTCCTAAAAAATAGAAAAAATTAGCTGGGCATGGTGGCGGATCCCTGTAGTCCCAGCTACTCAGGAGGCTGAGGCAGGAGAATGGCGTGAACCCAGAAGGCAGAGCTTTCAGTAAGCCGAGATCGTGGGGCTGCACTACAGCCTGGGCAACACAGCGAGACTCCGTCTCAAAAAAAAAAAAAAAAAATCACGTGATTAGTGGCAACTGTCTTGAACAAAATAGCCCTGGGCATTTTAACATTAATATTTAACTTAACAAAGTCTAAAGTGAATTAAATAACTCCTCCTAAGCGATACAGAGATAAAGTCGGCAAACGCGTCTCCTCTATTTACAGAAGAAAATCCAAAAACCTACACATGGATTTCAAAGAAGTAGGAGATACTGCAGCTATTTTCCAGAAAGCTATTCTACCTCTCTCACACTTTTTAGGAGCCATACATGTATGGAAATGAATTCATGACAGCTTAAGAATATCTATATGTGCCCTCGGAGTCACAAGGTTTTGTGCTGAAATGGGTGAGCTACTTAAGTTGGGACAATAAGATGGCAAAGAGAAGTTTCCTCAGGAAACCAGGGTAGACTCATTATCGGGAGAGTAACACATCCGATATTACTGCAGCTGTATTTGTCACTATGCAGAAAGCCAGCCAGGGGATAACATGAAAAGCAGAACATAGAGACTGAACACACAAACAAGTCCTCAAAGAAACTGTATACTACTGAATTAAGAGCTCTGCTGAATTCTGGAATGTCCACTCAGGTGAACCAATGAATCCATTTTATTGTTTCACAAGTAGAAAATATTTTTACTGTCAATATGAAAAGCTCTTATTGATATAAAGCCTACTGTGATCTTGGCACCACACTACCTTACCAGTATAGAAAGCATTATTTGCCTACCACATTCTTGAATTCTCCTTACATAGCATCAAATGCAGCTATCCTGTTCCCCAAATATGTTTTCCTGTGTACATGACTTTACTCAGGCCATTCCTTCATCCTTGATACACTAGTGAAATGTTATTCATTCTTTTTAAAAAATAAATTAGTTTTAGACATACCAAATGCATAATTAATGTACATAATTAGTGTATACAACTTGATGAATGTGAAGATACATGATCACCACATTCTATGACATCGACCTATCTATCACCTCCCAAAGTCTCTTCCTGCCCTCTTATTTATTATTTTTGTAATAAGAACACAACATAAAATCTATCATTTTAGCAAGAATTTGAGTGCACAATAGTGTTAACTATTGGCACTCATGCTGTTCAGATCCCTACAACTTATTCACCTTGTGTAAGGAAACTTTGTATCCCTTGACTAACACTTCCATTTTTCTCTCTTCCCAGCCCAGCAACCACTTCTACATCTATGAGTTTGACAATTTTAGATTTATTTTTCATTAATAAATCATTTCTCATATGATGCTGCTGTAGTTTCCTTAGTCTGAATTAAGTATTCTTCTCTCTGTACTCTAAAATCACTTGTTTATATCTCAATTTAGTATTATCATTTTGCATATTTTGAGCAAAATAGTGTGGGTCAAAAACCAGTCTCTGTAGTCTGACTGCCTAGGTTAAGATCCTTGCTTTGAAGTCCGTTACTTCTGCAACTATAAGCAAGTTGAGCTTCAGTTTCTTCTTTTGTAAAATAAGTATGATAATAACTACTGCACAGTTCTATTAACTGTTAAATGGGATAATCCATATGATGGGACACAATTCCAGGCACACAGTGTTTCCTCAGAAAACATTAGCTAATTATTTTTGCCTGTCTATACTTTCCATGATTTTAAGTGTCTATATTATTTGTTAGTCATCTTGTTGTCTTAAGACACGTTTAGCATTATTAACTCATACTCTATCATTATGCTTTCCACAAGCACTTATGTGTATGAGCTACCCAAATATATTTTAAACTACCTAAGAGAAAGGCTTATAACGACCATTGTTTAAGAACTTATCTCCAAGAACCTCATATGGCACTATGGTTAGACTATCACTCCTCTGAGGAGTTGTAAAAAAGTAGATATACCTTTGAAACTTCAGGTCTAGTCCTCGGGTCATCTTTTGTGGCACTAAGTGACTTGTTTTCTTCAGTCTTCATGGAATTCATGATGAATTCGAAGAGAATATAACTAATATTTACTAGTGGATAAGATGGAGAAACAAGGATTGAGTTCATTCTGCCACATGAAATGTCTAAAAAAAACCCAAAAAGGAAAGATCTGTGAAATAACAACTCTCAATCATTGGACATCAGGCTGTGTGGGACCTCATCTCTGATATCTGAGAAGAAAATCATATGAGGTAAGCCCTGTGGCTATTTAGGTTACTGTATGGAGTTTCCAAGGCATATCTTAGGCAAGAGAACAGGCAGAGTCTAGCAGTTTCCCTGAGTTGAGAAGACAAGCTTGGAGTTTTGGGAGGCCAGGCTGACTGGAGCTTGTATGGCAGAGTACTAGGGAGAAGAGAGCCACAGGAGCACATAGTATCAGAGATCTGCAGTGGGTATCCCTTGAGATTTCAGCTTGGTCAATGCATGAGTGGAATAAAGCTGTTGAAAAGGAACAGGAAAAAGAAGTACCCAAAAGGAGCAGATGTAACAATTTCTGAGGCTCATACAGGACAGGGAATAGATTCAGTTCACAAAAATCTGACTAGAAAATTTCACAATTCATGAAATATCAGAGAGACTACTCTGAAAGGTATTTCTTCCACAGTGGGACAAAATTAGCCCTAGTTCTGCTCCCACCTAACAAATAAAAGCAAACTTTGAAATTATAAAATGGTTTCCATGTAAAATATCAAGGTACTAAAATAAAGTTCAAGAATATTGATGGGAAGGTAAAAATTTCTGGCACCCAAAGTTGTGAAATTAACAAAGCTTGATATCTAATAAAACAATCAGCAAGCATTTAAGAAGTGGATAAATATGACCCATAATGACTAGGAACATCAGTGAATAGAGACAGATCCAGAAGTGAGAGAGATGATGGAACTAGTAGTCAGAAATATTAAAAGTCATTACCTTGAATTTCTGGCCAAAATGGAAGAACAGGGACTGGATTTCCCCCTAGTCTGAAAGCAAAACAAAACAAAAATGGGCAAAATATATGAAACAACGCTTTGCGAGGAACTGGACATCATGCAATTAAGGATAGTGACAACTGAGATGCATCCTACAATCCACGCTAGCAGACTAACTTGAAGGATTCCAGGCCAGTGTCGCAAGGAAGGGCAGCAAGACAAAGCCAGTTGGAATTCTAGATTTGAGGAGACAAAGCGGAGAGACCAGGGTGGCAAGAGGTCACGGGCCACAGACCCTGGTGGGAGACCTGCACAGAGAGGGAACTCCGGATATATGAAGAGGGTTCCCCTAAAGCATTCAGCTGCGTACTGATCAGAGCAGCAGCTGAGAAAACTTCCCAAGGCCAGGAAAGAACCACCCTAAAACTGTCATAGTCTAACTTTCCTCCAACCCTCTCCCTGTAACCCTTTTGGGGATCCCCGTTTTCTCATTTCTAGATTAAGGTCTTTGGCTCAGATGAAACTTTTATTGTTCGTGTGAATTGGTTCCTCTGAGCTTTTTAAAAAGGATTCCAGATCCCACCCTCACAGACTCTGATTCAGTATGTCGGGGTGTGGCTATGGAATCTGCATTTTTACCTGCCTCACTCCACAACCCCTGCCTCAAACTCGCACCAAGTTCTTTGAACAGCTGCCTCTGTCACCGCAGGATGACCTCAATGCTTTCCTAAAGCCCCAGAACCAATTAAGGTAACCTGTGCTTGAAGCTGTGCTTGCTTACAGAAACAGAGACTGGATGTCAGTAACCACCGTGCTACAAGATGGGAAACGAACTTAGAAGCGCTACCCTAACCTGAATCCTCAATTGCTAATTACCATACCTCAATCTGTGCCTACGGGAGAAATGCAGCTTGCTAGGCACATGTAGTGTTGGGCGGCAACAGCAAATAGGAGACTGCCACACTCAGCTGGTTCTGGAAAGCCCCATCTCTTTCCAGGAATCCTTGCTTTCCAACTACGTGCCCTAAAAGACCTTAAGGAGCACCCCCACACTACACCCCAGGCACTTTGAGCAGGAGCTCTCCTACTCCATTCCTTGATCAGTGAATAGTTTCTGCTCTGCTTAACCGAACCTGGTCTCCTTCTACGGGCGAGAAAGGCACCGGGTAGGGAAAGGACCCACCAGGGTCAAACGACCCTCTTGAGATTCAGGAACACCCAGATGATCTCCAAGTATCTTTTCAGGAGTACAACTCTTGGCCTTTGAAGCTGAGACGGGAAGGGAATTACAACGGGCGGCTGCCCAGCTCCCCATCCAAAACCTCCTTGACTTTGGGCTGAGGTCCTTCTGCCTACTGCCCTTGTCAGCCATCCTCTTAAGAACTCCAGGTCCGACCCGGGAAAAGAAAAACCACTCATAGAACTGGAGAGTCTGTCCACACGGTGCACGTGCCCGTCAGTGCCCACCGCTCTGGATTCACAGGTGCTGGAAAGTCTGCTCTCTTATATCTCTCAGCTGAACTTTTCCCGCCTAGAAGGGCTCGCCCGCGTGCGGCAGGAGCCTGGGAATTGACACTCTCACTGGCCAATGGACGAAGAGTCTCTGGAGGCTGTTTTTCCCTCATTGGATGTAAATGACTCATCTCTCATCCACTTTGGAAGCCAATTATCATCACTCCAGACAGTGAAGGGAAGGGAAGGATGAGAGCACACGCCTGCGCGCGCGCGGGTGGGTCTGAAGGCCGGGCGGAGGGCACTGCGCGCCCACCCGCACCCCTCCTTATTTGTCTGGATGACCCTTCCCGGTCTCAGTGATCCCCTCTCCGCGCCACTCAGTCCACGGGGACAGCTCCCGCGTCCCAGGATAAACTAAGCAATCACTGCCCTGCTCCTTCCTTCTCATGGGAGTCCCCTGTCTCCCAGTGGAAGCCAGGGAGGAGCTGCGCGGCAGCTGGGCGGAGTGCGAGGCACGTGGCGCTTTCGCGCTTTCCCAGACTTTTGATTGCCAGCTTGGGCAGCGCGCTGGCGGGAGCTGCAGGGCGAATAGCCAGCCAAGTTGCTTAGGTGTGTGGCAGTTGCTGCCATTCTGCAGCTGCGGGGTGGGCGACGGTGGCGGGATGAGCATCCAGGCGGGATCCTTTGGCAGCAGCAGAGAGAGCTCCACCCGGATGATGCAGAGGCTCAGGCTCCAGCGGACTTCAAGTCCCAGAGCAGGCTGCACCCGCGTCTGCGTGAAGTCTCCAGGGATTTGGCCTGATCCGCAAATGAGCTAACTTCGCGGAGGGGCTGGCGAACACAGACAATGCCAGCCTGGACGAGGAAGCGGCCAAAACTGCTTAGGCTTGGTTCCCAGGACGCGCATTACTGAGTGCGGTACTTTACTCTTCGGATGAAGACTCCAGAGTTCGGCCTCCCCAAACTGATATCAAAGAAGTGCTTTCCATGGGACTTGAGAAAACGTCTTACTGTTTAAGGAAAGAACGTCTTACTGTCTGAGACCCTGAATAGAAGGAGATGCCTTTAGTATTGGGTGTTATTTTTCAGAAGTTGGTCAAAGAAGGATACAAGATGGTTGATTAAGTGGGGATGGTGACAATTATTTTGCAACTCATAGAAGGACAGATGTTTATGTAACAGTTGATAGTTTTGGTGGAATAATCATGAGCATGTTTCTGAAATTAATATAAAATATACAGAGACCCCTAAAATCACTGCTTAAATTACATAGGTCTTGTGGTGTTTGGAAAGAGCAAACTTTGGAAGTATAATTGTAAAAATAATGTCATACAGTCAAGGAGAAGAGAAAACTTAAGGACAGCTTTCTCAAATCGCTGTTATTCTTGAATCATCTGAAAGCAGTACACGTGCCTGGCACCAATATACATCAGAGAGTAAATCATTGCACAAGGAGACTTGATCTTCTTTTTTTGTAGAATCTGGAGGAAAAATATCTATGAAAACCAAGAGGTAGTAGAGAATGGTGTTGTCGGAATTGCCTGACATCATTGGAGATAGAAAATTTGCCCTGGTAAAAGGTGCTCCTCAGGGAGGAGCATCTGCACATTCCATTAGCATAAAGCCCCTGGTGGGCCATATGAAGAAGTCTGGATTTGGCTATAAATGTGAAATTTATTTTAAATGGAGGATTTGAAGTAAGGGAGAAATATACCCTGACATATTTTTTAAAACCACCCTAGCAGCGTTTGTGCGCGGTACAAACTCTGGGAGGACAAGAAGAGATGTGGAAGGGAGAAGGCAGCTAAGAGTCTATCCCAGGATTGCAAAGATGTTGGAGCCCGACCTCAGATGGTAATGGTGGAAGTGTTAGAAATGGCTGGATTCCACATTTATTTTGAAGGGCCAGCCCATGGAATTTGCTTATGGATGGTCCATAAATAAGAGAAACAGAGGGCTCAATGATGATTCCTGGGCTTTTGACTTGAGCAACTAGAAGGATGGGGAAGTCTGAGGACAGAGATGCTGTGTGTGCCAGGATTGCGGTGCTTATGTGTGTTTGTGTAATTCTACTTGTGACATGTTGAATTGGTGATGCTAATCCACTCCAACTGAAAAATAAGGAGGGAAGTGGACATTCAACACATGATGACAGGAAGACAGGGAAGCTGGGACTTATGATGGTAACAATGTTGGCCATTAGCTGAGAAGTTTTGTATTTCAATGTTGGCCATTAGCTGAGAAGTTTTGTATTTTTTTTTTTTTTTTTGGACACAGAGTCTTGCTCTATTGCTCAGGCTTTAGTGCAGTGGCATGATGTCGATTCACTGCAACCTCCACCTCCTGTGTTCAAACCATTCTCATACCTCAGCCTCCTGAGCAGCTGGGATGACAGGTGCTTGCCACCATGCCCAACTGAGTTTTGTTTTTCTAATAGAGATGGGGTTTCACCATGTTGGCCAAGCTGGGTCGAACTCCTGGCCTCAGTTGCTTTGCCTGCCTCAGCGTCTCAAAGTACTGCGATTAGAGATGTAAGCCACCACGTCAGGCCTAAGAATTATAATTAAAGTACAGGGAAAATTAAAAGGGAGAAGAAAGTTCACAGAGAGATATCATGGCAAATGATAAATAAAAAAGCCTGCCTTGTTTCCCATACCCCCTGTGTCTTCGATTCCCTGAATTTTACCTCCCAGTGGACCGTGCTTGTTCCTTCGTAATGGCGCTCCAAGCAGCACTGCTGCACACCAATTCCTGAGCTTCCCTGCTTCTTGAGCTTAGGAATAGTTGTGCTTCTACTTCCTGTTTATTTGCTCATCACTGGCGTAGCAACTGAACCACACAATTGGGATAAGTAACCTGATGCCGTTTTGGGGAGCAATCTTCCATTTCTTCCTTACGTATAAAACTGACCCTCACAGAGAAACTAACTGTCTAGAGCGATAGGTCCAGAGTAGAGCTCTAGCTTTGCTTTTCCCTTTGCAGCTTTGCCCTGAGAGGTTTGATGCAATCCCACTGCAATGGGAATCCGTGAAAGAGTAGGGATGCTCAGGGAATCTGTTGGGCCACTAGGAAAAACTCATTTCTAGCTAATGCTTATACGGGGCTATGGAAGTTGTCTAACATCCCTGGGGACAGAGTGTTTGCCCTGAAAAGGAACATTCCCTTGGCACAAAGCATCTTGTTGGCTGGATTTTATAATAAACGTGACAAGAATGCTTTTGGCCAGTAACTGGTGGTTAGGTCATATTGTGGTTTGCAAACCCATAAAGAGGAAAAGGCCTCTCATGTGGTTGGGAGAGGTGGGAATGGATCATGCACTAAGGTCAGGTCTGGTGAAGTTAGGGAATAAGGCCAGTGTTTACGAAGAGTGATTCCTTCATGAACCCATAAAAGATGCTCTTGAACCCTAATAGTAGGATGATGTCTGTATTTAGAGTTGCAGACAACATGTTCTGGGAATACAGAGGAAGGCACCACTGCCTCTACCCTGAGAGTATATCACAGAGAAAGATTAATATTTGGACTAGATGGCTGAGAGATGAGTAGGAGTTTGATAGAAGAGAACAGGGGAAGTGTCTGGATGTACAATGGCAGAAGTGGCAGGAAAGGCTGAGGAGAACTGGCCTCTGGGGGTGGGTTATAGATATGGGCCTGGGCACCACATTCTGGAGCTTGCAATGGGTTATGTAAAAGCTTAGATGGGACGGTCTTTTCCTCTCCTCCTGTGGGTTCGTAGTGGGCCCACCTCACTCACTGCTGCAAACAAGCTGCCCCCATTTGAGAGAGAGCTGGAGTGGGGTCTCTAAGCCTCCAGCAACCACTTAGGAGCCATCCTTGATGCCCTGGCAGCTAACTCTTCACATGGAGACCCCGTAGTCCATCCTATCTTGGGAAGACAATGCACACAGGGGGAAGGTAACATCCCCCTCCAGATTCCAGAGGCTCCAAGGAGCCTCTCTCTCTCTTCAAGAAAAGAAATAGTCACTGAGCCACGGGTGGAGGTGAACATGGTTTGGGACCAACAGGCGGCTGGATGGTTTCACCTCCACGGTCATACAATGGTACTGGGAGATGAATGGGGGTAGGGCGATCTAGAATCATTTCAACCTCAACTTACAATGGGGTGGTGCTTGGTAGTTGACTCATTGTGGCCCCATTTAATATTTGCAGTCACCAGTTGGGGTAGGTGTGACTGTTGCTCCCATTTCACAGATTAGGACAGGATAGTTTGCTAGAGGTCACAGGACTAGTTGGGGAAAGGAAAGGGTGTCAGGTAGGATTTTAACCTTAGAGCCTCACGCTTTCTTAGGCTCTTTCAGGGAGACCTTGGGCAAATTCCTTTCTCTCTTGGTGGGGGGGTCTCCATTTCTTATTTGTAAATTAAGGAGTTCTTCCAGTTTGTGATTCTCTGTACTTTAACTTGGATAGGTTTTTTAAAATGGGGATTATGGGAACCCCACTATATTTAAGTAGAGTAGGTCTGGGGTGAGGCCCAGTAATCTGCAGCTTTGAACAAACCCCGGCATCAACAAAACTGGTTGAGATACTCAGGAAAGTTTATGGTGCATGAAAATCTTATTGCGAGCATCCAAAACACATAACACTGAGCTCCATCTGCAGAGATCCTGTTTTGATACCCTTGGTTGGACTGTGGCTGGGTAATTTGCATTTGTCAGAAGTGAGGCCAGTCAGCTGGTCAACCAGTCCTCCTGTCACTCTGTGACCCTCCCCCGGTGTCCGCGGTGCTTCTTTACTTGCATCTTGTGGGAATGACATCTGCGCAGGCAGCCCCTTTTAGCACCGCCCCTGGCACAGGAGCTGAGCTCTTAAAAACCAAGCCCAGCCCTGAGTTTGCAGATACTCAGGGAAGGGGAAGGTGCCTTTCCGCATTTGGTGTAGTCCCGCATTCTGCCATATGATGGCGCCAGAGAACGCGCCTACCGGGATAGGGAGGGGCAAGGAGGCGAGGAAGGAAAAAAAAGAGACAAGTGAAGATTGACATCCATTAAGGCCAATGGTAGCTCAATCTTCTGTTCTCTGACTCCCAAGCTTCCCATTCTCTTAGGAGGCTGCATTTGTGGCGCTAAAAAAAGGGATGGGCGTGGGAGATTCCAGGACTTGTGCTCGCTGAAGATACAACTGTTAGTCCAAGGTAACTCCCGCTCGTAGTGGCTCAACCCTCTTTGTCAATTCACCTTCCTCTAAGTTAACTATGGCTGCTCCACCTGTCTTTAGGGAAACCTACTCCCCATCGCGCTGGGTGTTTTGGAGTTTTTAAAAGCGTCGCGGGGTAAAGTCAGTGTTGTGCTTTTCCTTTTCTCAGCAGGTAAGTATTCCTGGAGCTGACAGCGGGGAGTTGCCGGGCGGGAGTAGGGGTGAAGAGAGAATAGGGAGAGAGATAACAGGTGTGAAGCGTCCCTCAATGCCAGGCATCCTGCTTTGGCACCTTCCAGAAATTTGTCTCAATCATCTTTCTATTGAATTCATTTTCTGTTTCACAGATTAGGAAACCTCAACTAAGTGGCCCAAGGAGAGTCCTTGGATAATTTTAACTTGTGTCAGAAACCAAAGCCCAAGGTCTTTTATTTTGCAGAGGCTGCTTTGGCAGGATTTCAATGCATGCAGGTCCTGCGAATCACTGCTCCTCACTCAATGATCCATCCCGCTGTCCACACATTCATTCACCCATTCATTTCTTAGGGGCTTATCTGCAAGGCGTGGGGCTGGATGATACTAAAAATACAAAAGGGACTCTGATGTAAAGTAGAAGAGACTTTTTAAAAAGATTTACACAGAATTCCGGTGCTCAGCATGGTTTCGATTTTTTTCCCCAACATACTATTGATACCTATTATGTTCCACATAATATGATGGATTCTGAAGATACAGAGATGGGTGAGACCTATCCTTGCCTTTCAGAAGCTCGTTGTCATAGGCAAGAGTAATCTCTGAGGTTTAATTTTAGATATCTATTTTTTAACAAATTGAGCATCAACTCTATATATTCTACTGTAATTAATGTACTAAATAATTAAATATTACACACACTTAATTTCTTATTTTTTAGATGAAGATGAATCTAAGTGGTGGTTCAAGTATGTCCTTTGTCCATCCTAGTGGACCATTTTGGGTGCTTCAGACTGCAACTCTACCCTCCTGTTATGTGCTTGGCTCTATTCCTTCTTTCTGCAGCTCTCTGTCAAATGACAGGCTTTGAGGGAAACCAGTCCTGACCCCTTCCTGTTTTCTCTCCTTTTTACCTGCTCCTATCTGAGGCCTCTTTTCCTATTTATTTGTTGTTCTTTCTCCCTCCATCATCTTCTGTCGTCAAATCATGTGTTGTTTTCATATACTACATCTGAGTTTATAGGGAATATGTTCACAGTTGTTTTAATTTTTGGTTTAGCTTCTGCCTCCCTGCTCCAGAATGTAAGCTTCAAGAAGGGCGGCGAGGAGTTCTTGACACCTGTCACTGCCTGAGAAACGGTTGGGGATGGAGGGAGACAGTTTTGCCCAGTGCATCCTGAAATCCCCTGAGGTGGGGGTGGGAGTGGAGGGAAGATCAGGGAATGTCCATTCATTTTATGAAGTTGAAGTTGGGTTAAATCCTATTATATCCTGTGATGTTGTTTGTTAATCTCAACCTGAAGACCTCATCGCTAGTCATCCACTTTTTGCTAGCTTTGTGACCTTGAATGAAAGTTCAAGGCTACCTTGTTTCTTTGTACCTCAGTTTCCTTATGTATAAAGTGGAAAATTATATTTGGTCATCCTAAAATGTGATGTCATAGGGAATCAGTCACTTGAGGGTAAAAGACAAACATTTGTCAATGTATAAGGCTGCAGAAATTATATTCTTGTGAGGGTCAAAGAAAGATATTTGTGGATTTGAGAGTCTTCAGATATTATATCGGTAGCATATGTACATGCAGGAAATACTGAAGAAGCAATTTAATCAAATAGGAAAAGAGATTTCAGATAGGAGCAGAAAATAAGGAGAGGAAACAGTGGTGAGTAAAAAAAAATTGACAAATTTTATGTAGAGAGTTAACTCTAAATGGACAATGATAGGCTCTCTGGGAATGTGTAAGAAAAGTTTTAAAGAAGGATTCTTTAAATTGATGAGACACACTGCAAGGGAAATTCTGTGACACCTGGAACTAAAACACGTGGAACTAAAACATCGGGCTCAGGGGGTTGAACGGTAGAGGAATAAAAGCATTTTGTATCACTTAGCACACTCATCTGGATCTGAGGAGGGAGCAAAACAGGGAAATAAATCTATTGGAAGATGTCAACTTATTGAGGTAAAGGAGGAAACGGTGAATAGCTGTTACTTTATTTTATATAATAGTAAACAAATTTGTGTTCAATTATGAGCACTAGAAACAAATACCAGTGATTGAATAAAAAGTTAATAAGGGAATATGATGTATAAGTGAGTTAATAAGAGAACTTGATGGATAAGTGAATTAATAAGAGTCCACAGTGGAGGCAATTTCCCCTTTTGAAAAACATTATCTTTTGAATATACGCAGGATATACTTTTCAAAAGAAAAAAAGGTGTATATTGGGGAAACAATTTTCACTCATTCTCGAGACACTCAATACTTTTCCCTAGATAATCTATGGCTATACAAGCATAATAATGCCTTTTCAATATATTTTCCCAGCAACTAAGAAGTTCAGTGTTTATAATTGTAATAAGAAGCGTGCTGATCTGGCCTGAAATATAGTTTTACTTTAGATATATGTCTCATAAATAGAATTTAAGAAGTCAGGGAATATGCTTAGAAAGGGATTACCAAGGCCCTATAACACATGAGTTTGGGGGCACAGGGTGATTAAGATTTAGAATAAAGTTAGGTGAAATCTAGGGCCAAAGGATAGCAGGAGGGTGTGTGTGTGTGTATGTGTGTGTGTATGTTGGGTGGGGCAGGTGGGAACCTTTGGAGAATGCCTGTAGGCTGCTAGTGAGGTGCTATGATCTCTAGACCTTGGTAGGTCCTTGCAAAGAGACAGGGTTCTGAAAGGCTGGCACCATTATAGGTTTTTAAAATATTTTTGTTATCCATAGGGGTGACCCTGGAGATCATTACCAAAATTTAAAAATTTCACCACTGGGCACACATGTTACCCTTCTCGTGATGGCATGGCAAAGCTTGATTTGCAAGAGTTTCTTTTGGATTGTCCCCAATGATTCCCTTTAAAAATAGGAGCTCCTTCAAGGTAAGAAAGGAAGGAGAAAATATCCCTTCTAACCTATTTTCTCTTTTGCATTCCAAGGACTCTGGAAAGGCACAGCAGGTTTGTTTTTGAAATCTGTAGAATTTTAGTGCTCTCCATTCTCCCAAGTAGATGACTTTAGTGAAGGTAAAAGGAAAGACTGTTTGCTGTGTCAAGGGAAGATTCATATGCAAATCCCAAGACTCAGATGTTATTTCAGAAGCTTTGGTGTCCATAGTAAAGTAGAACTAGCCCGGGTTCATCTGCCTACAAGGGCAATTGTATGAGGCAAATATGAGGAAACTGGCAGAACAGGAGGGGTGGAATCTTCCTGGGAGAAACAGTAAAGAGAGTTCTAGGTGGAGAGGGGATCAATGTGTTGAGCAAACACATGGCTGTCTTCTTAGTTCCTATATGAAATCATGGAAAAGACTTTTGAACAAAGAATAAATATGTCATAGCAGGAAAACAAAAAGCAGTCTTTTGGCCAGAAATAGAAACTGTTAAAAAGAAAAGCAAACCAACAACAATAAAAAACACCTTTAAGTTTGAAAATGACAGAAGTTAAGAAGTGGAAAGTTGCCTGGGATATGCTTTTATTGCGGCCTCTCTAATAAACCCGTCCCCACTCCATCTTCATGTCCTTGCTTATCCTAAGCAGCATGGTGGCAGCTGTGGCATTCTTCAGACTAAAGTGGTCATTTTTGGCACTTGGGCTTGAGATGGCAGTGAAGCGGCATCGTTTGTCTGGGGAAATGCCAGAGGTTTGCTGTCTCACAGTATGGAAATTGAGATGTGGACACCAAAGGAGTGGGTTCAAGAGCAAAAGTTTAATAGGCAAAAGAATGAAGAGAGAGTTTCCTCATGCATTGGAAAGGTGCCTGAGCAGGTTTCCGGGTTTGGGGCGAGTTGTGGTTGGTTTTATAGAGGAGCTTGAGGAGGCAGTGTCTGATTTACATAGGGCTCAGAGGGTTGGTTGGAGCAGGTGTGCCATTTATGTGATGCATGAAGAGCCTGGCCATCCCACATGAATCTTTAGTATGCAAACGGGGCCTCTACCTGGCCTGTGCCATGTCGCCTGCACACGTGAATACAAAGAAAAGGGAATAGGAGGCCACGCGTGGTAGCTGATGCCTGTAATCCTAGCACATTCGGAGGCCAAGGACGATGGATCACGAGAGGTCAGGAGTTCAAGACCAGCCTGGCCAAGATGCTGAAACACCGCCTCTACTAAAAAAAAAAAAACACGAAAAAAAAATTAGCCATGCGTGGTGGTGGGCACCTGTAATCTCAGCTACTCAGGAGGCTGAGGGAGATAATTGCTTGAACCCAGGAGGTGGAGGGTGTAGTGAGCTGAGAATGCACCACTGCACTCCAGCCTGAGTGACAGAGCGGGATTCCATCTGAAAAAACAAACAAACAAACAAAAAAAAATAGGAAGAGGAAACCTCTATGTTGAGGATGCCTGGCTTCCAAGTATCCCTTTTCTATTTGCATAGGTGCCAGCATTTAGCTATGCAAGTTTTTAGTTTGCTTATGTATGCTTGTGGCTTGATTTTTTAGGCTGATTTTTGCTAGAAAAGAAATTATATGGGGGCTGCTTTTTATTAAAAGAAAAACCTTACCGAGGACTCTCTTACCTACACTAACTGCTTAATAATTTCTTTTTAGCTCCTGTATCAGCAGTGCTTGCACCTCATAGGTGATGATCATGAGGGGGACAAGGAGCCTCTAGACTTAAGAGACAAGTTGCCAGCATTCTCCAGATGGAGTGTTTCCCTCCGCAGCACCCCCTGCTGGTCAGTTTGACAAGCAGGTGAACAGAAGTTCTCAAATACACAGTAAGCAGATAACCCCAACATCACCAGAAATATCAAGTTGTGATGGCATTTTGGCAAATTGTCTTTATTTTTTGTCTGCATCATCTGTTGCTTTCTGAGGGAAGTTTTTTGAGTTCTCCCACTGAGACTGTGGATTTGCATTTTTCTTTTGTATGTCCGTCAGCTTTTGCCATGTATAGTTTGTAGTTGTGTTGTGTTGAGGCAGATTCATGATCTATGTTGTGGGAGAATTTCTGTATTTAGCAGATGTTCAACTTACGTTCTATTTTGCCAAGTGTTGATGGTATTACTTTGCTTTTCAGTTTCACATTCATTTAGTATATCTTTTTCCTTTCCGTGAACACTTGTGTGTTATTTCAGATATGCTTTCTTATGTACTGACAGTGACCCCCAAATTCATATGTTGAAGACCCAACTCCCAATGGACTTGGAGGTGGGCCTTTGAGAAGTAATTGGGTTTAGATTAAGTCATAAGGGTGGAGCCCCTATGATGGTATTAAGTCCTTCTAAGAAAAGGAAGAGAGTCTGAGCTCTCCTCTGTCTCTACCATGTGAGGGCACAGAGATGTATGCTTTTTGGACTTTGTTTTTAACTCAGTATGAAAAACATATATTTTAATAAGAAAATTACCCCATTCATTTTTAGTGCGTTTATTGATAATGTTGGACTTACTTGTGCCATATTTAAGGAATCCTCTTTCCTCTTTCCCATGCTTTCTTGTTGTTTTTTCAATCCAAGTGCATGATAAGGTTTAGGAATCACTTTTTTAACAGGGCCAAGAAGGGCTAGATAAGGGAAGCTGGCTTGTGTTCAGGGAAGCGGCAGAGGAGGGAAGCTGGCAGCTGGGCTGTGCTAAGATGACCTTAGCCCCAGACCCTGGATGAACATCCTCTTCTGGATACAGGACCTGCCCGAGGCACCATTTTGAATAGGCAAATCTTATTTTCTTTGTGTTCTTTCATCATCTGTATTAGCTTTTGCCTCTTGAGTGCCAAAATATAGCTGTTTTTATATGACTCCAAGTTCCTGAGTTTATTTTTTAGGTAAGAATTTTCCACCCTTTGAAATCCCAAATGACATGTTTACTCTCTCTCTCAGACCATGCTTTCATTTCAGTCAATGTAACAAATCAGCCAGGTCTCAGGAGTTTAGAAATCTGATTGGATTGATTTATACTAAGATGTAACAGATCTACCATAGCCTTCTAAGATGAATTGGAGTTTCTTAAAAACTCCATGACCTACACTATTCTTTAGGTGCTGGAATTGCACACTTTCAAATCGCATCAAGTATAAACATTCAATTTTGTGGAGGTTTATTTTTTATGGAGAGATGAGGTGTTGTTTAATACTGGTAGACTTTACTCCAAAAGACAATTCTATTAAGATTTCTTTTGTTTTTTTAAAATCTAGACTATCAGAAGGAGTAAAAATGCCATTTTTTTTTCTTTTTGCTGTGGCTACAATGTTCACAGTAATCCAAGCTCCAATGACAGGGTGGGAGAGCAGAGCCAAATGAGGCCACGTTTTTTTCATGAAGAGTATTTTTCTTTTTTTTTTTTTGAGATCAGGGATTCAGATTGTAATATAAGTGTTCAATTATAAAGTTATTATGATAGTGCATGGCACGTGCCCTTTCCATCATCTGGATTTTTCCACTTTTACTGTATGGCTCACTCTTACTCACTCTCCAGTCTTCACCTTAGTGGTCTCTTCTCCCTGGAATGCCCTTGACCCCTTAAGATAGCAGTGCTGCAAACATCAAAAGCTGAATTTATAACCAGACTCACAGGCAACACCTTGTCCTGTGCCATGCTTCACTAATGATGAGGAAGTGAGAAAGAGTAGGGGAAAGGAGGCACAACAAATGTCATTTCCATAGCAGAGGCCGCAAGACCAGCCCACTTGATTCTCTGGAGATCCTTTTCTGCATAACAATGATGAAAGGTAGCCTAGGAAAGCCATTTGTCTGAGGCTTCACCTTTGATACCTTGCTAGTCACTAAACTAAGAGACTGATTCCATTCTTTAGTATAGCCATTGCCTCATAAATCTATACATAGCAGGGGTATTTCTTTCCAATAAAGTATCCATATAGATTAGGTATATTCTATTGACAATTTTATTAAAGTTCTTCAATTATCTTCCAGATAGTAGATTCTATCAATCAAGTTTCATAAAGAGTTCTGATTCCCAGAGGTAAGAACTGAGCCTGGCTTTCTAGTTACATGTTTATTGGTAACTCTGTCCTTCCCTACAACACTTAAGCATATTTAAAGACTATACCCTCCCCTGCCTCCAGCTTGGATTGTAAGCTCCTCAAGAGCATGGCTGTGTCCTTTAACATCAGGTCTCCATGTGAGAAGGAGTTCCTGCCATATCATAAATGCCCAATCAACATTTGTAAGTGAAGAAAGCTATTCTGTGGTGTCTGCTTTAATATTAAGAGATGGCTTGCCCAAGATTGCTAAGCAGCTTCATTGTCTACAACGGAACAAGATTCTGTGGGTAGCAGGTCCATTGGTGCCACTGACAGGAGGCCTCAAGGAAACCTAGTGCCTTATTCATTCTGATGGCGCCTTGATTTTCTTCCAGCACAGAGCCGTAAAATGGAATATTCTTCTGACACAGATACTTCATGTATCGCACCATCATCCGTGTCGCGTTGCCTCTCCTTCGGTATTTTTCCACACTGTAGCCCATTCCTATTTCACAAGAAGGGTCCATGGTTACCCATGAGACCGGGACCCCCTCTGGGCCCAGCATACAGACTGCTGGCAGGGCTCCTAGGCAGCGCTTGATGTAATGCAGGCTCCTCTTATTCATCCCTAGCTTCCAGTTGTCATTTACCAGCCCAGAATAAGACACATTCAGCTGGGCATACTTAAAATTGGGAGTCTCGCTGTAGAAAACAAAAAGAAAGACAACAACTTTCATCCCCACTCCTGTAATTTCTAGGTGCCCTTCCATTCTAGAGATCCCAGGCCCTCTTCTTGTTAAAAGACCCACCATTGCAAAGTGGCGTATTTTGACCATTGACAACCTTTATTCATCCCAAGGAATGAATTCATCGTCTCTTCATTCCAAAACTGATTTATGTGAATTACAAAAATGTACAAGGAATAGCAATTATAAATGATCAGCACATGTTTTTTGTACCTCTCCAATTCGTCATCTGGGTGGCCTGTCTCAGCCCAGCTTCCAAGCTTGCTTTTATTGGTGGCATAGAGCTTCAGGATATCTTCCGTAACAAAGAGGAGTGCTCTCGAATGCTCTACCTTCACTGAATTTGAAAATGCAGCTGCTTTTATCCCCTCACCTAAACTTTCTTGAAAACCTGAGAGAAAGCCAAGAAAGCAATATTGTCAGACATGCAGTTCTCTACTTACATTGCTCCCACCTGATTAATACCTCAGTGCTTAGTAGTTTTCAAAGTTGAGTTTACACCACAATCAGCTATAGTCCTTGGCACACCACAGATTGCTCCACCTCTCCCAGCTCAGAGAGTTTCTATGAATTTACATTTCTAATGAGCTCTCAGGTGATGCTAATGCTGTTAGTTGAAGACACAATTTGAGAAGCACAGCTGCTTGCCCATTTCTTCAGACTTGTTACCTTGGATTTGGAGTTTCTGTTTCCAGTTTATGATCTCAGAATTTTTCAAAACTTCTTGTGATTTTTGAGGGTCTTTGGAGAATATACGATATACATTAGTGTATGAATCCATGTCATCAGTCATCTCCTGTGTAGGATGGTGAAAGGTCAGGTCATTCCCTTGAACTTTTTCTTCTCCTCTCACTGATTGCAATTATTAGAAAAATGACAATTGAAAGGAAAATTTTAACACCAGCCCACGATGGCTGCAGTTGGGCACATGGATAATAGAACCAAGGCCTATAAGCTACTGCTGACCTCTTACCTGTTTAACTGGAGTTTGTTAAATATTGAACACTGACAGGTACTGGTTATAAACCTGCTTATCAGATGCATAACAAAGACAGGATGAAATCAGTCACCTTCCACCAGGCCTTAAGATGCCTCACCTTTCTCCCTACCCACTCAACCGCACACTTACCTTATTTTATATATAGCATCACAGAGCGCCCAGCAGAAGCAAAGGAATGCAACAATTGCTTCTCTCCCTGCTTCTCTCACCTCCTGGACCACACATATCCCCCTGTTATATATACTGTGCCCCACATAACCCCCTGTGGGACATATTCTGCGTTGTACTGAGTCCGTGTTGATAGGGTTAAGTTCTTAAACTTGGCACAAGATGAATTTAACTGTGATTTCTCTAAGTTTTAGTGCCTACTGTTTCACCAGACACCTACAATCTATACTGTTTTAGAATCTGCAGTGTCCAGGGTTTGAGCAAGATACTTTAGTGAATAGAAACATTAAGGAGACATTGCCTTTTCCCAAGGCTACAGGATATCAGCCTCTTTGAAGAGTGACATGGCCTTTACAGCCAGAAGCCCACAAAATAGAATGAAGTAACTGAATTTTCGGTAGCACTCTGCACAATTTATGTGGTGTTGGACTCATGGGTTTTAAAGAAAGAGACTTGTGATCCCATTCTGACAAGCCACAAACTTCATGGGACGATGTGTATCTGTTTATCAGGGGAAATATAAACAATAAGTGTGAGAGTTTTAGCAGTGAATGTATTAATATCATGTTGAAAATTTTATCGTTAAGGAGTAAAAGAGAAAATAGTGTAACTAATTTTAAGGAAACCTTCAAAAATTTGGGGGTGCTTTTATAAATGCAAGTTCCTGAATATGGCCAAAACACAACACCTCAGTGAATTTAAAAGAGTAGAAGTTTTAAAAGACCCGATTTTAAAAGAATGTCTTAAAATAGCCAAGTAAATATTCAAAGAATTATAAAGAGAATATCAAAGTAAACCAGAAAATAACTAATGGAACAATTTGTAAAAATAAAAGCCATAAATACTGAAATGTAGAAAGTTCATTATTAAATGGGAAAAAGAGAAAGAGCAGAAGAGAGAGATAAACTTCTGGTAAGGCATTTAAAGGAAATAGAAGAGAAAGAGAAAAGAGAAAAAAAGGCATAGAGTATGAGCCATGAGAACGGAAACAGAAAAGAAAAAAGACTTATAATAGAAGATTATATACTCCAAGGCAACATATTCACTGATAAAGAAATGGATGTTATCCCTCAAGAATAAACTATCAAAATTGACTTTCAAAAAATAGAAAACTTCAGTGAACTAATAGAAATATCAGAAATGAAATTAAACATCTACCATTTGAAAAGTGGACAAGAATTATGGCCTCCAGCTCCATCCGTGTTGCTACAAAGGACAATATTTTATTCTTTTCTACTGCTGTGTAGTATTCCATATGAATGTATGTAGCAAGTTTTTTTTTTATCCAATGCACCTTTGATGGGGATCTGTGTTGATTCCATGTCTTTGCTATTGTGAACAGTGCAGCAATGAACATCCTAGTGCATGTGTCATTTTGGTAGGATGATTCATTTTCTTTTGGGTATTTACCTAGTAATGGCATTGCTGGGTCTAATGGCAACTCCGTTTTAAGTTCTCTAAGAAATTTCCAGACTACTTTCCACAGTGTAATAATCCTAAGCAAATTAATGCTGTAACAGAAAATCAAATATCACGTTTTCACTCATAACTGGGAGCTAAGCATTGACCATACATGGACATAAATGTGGGAACAATAGACACTATGGACTCTAGAGGGTGGAGGGAAAGGGGCTGGGTTAGAAAACTACCTATCGGGTACTATGCTCACTACCAGGGTGATGGGATCTGTCCGTACTCCAAGACTCAGCATCATGCAATATTTGCATGTAACAAATATGCACATGTACCCCCTTTATCTAAAAGGAAAGTTGAAATTACAAACTAAAAAGTAGCCAAAATTAGATTATTTTACATTTCAATTCTACATAAGACAAAACCAAACACATAATTTTAATTGTATTGTTTGGTAAAAGATGAAAAGATCCTAATGCCAAATCTGGTAAAGAAATAACAAAAAGAGAGTTACTGACCATATTGGCTTATGAATACAGATGCAAAAATTCTGAATAAAATATTCAGTAGCATATGAAAAGAATGTGAACATGAACAGTTTGTTTTAGAAAGGCCAGAATGAGTTTGATCAGAAGATCTTTTAGGGTAATAAATTAAAGGAGGAAAAAATTACATGAGTATATAAATTTCCATAAAAAGACAAAAATGAAATAACATAAAATTTACCGTTCATTCTAAATATAATTTCTATGAAAGTGGGAAAACAGGAAAGTGCTCTAAGCCTGTAAAGACAGAATTAAATGTAATTTTAAAGGTAAGTGTTTATAGCTATTTCATTAGAATCAGGAATGAGACAAGAATAGAACTATTATTATGGTTATTTGATATTGTTTTCTTAGGTTGTACATTATACAATAAGGCAAGAAACTAAAAACCCATACAAATATTGGCAAAGAAGCAGCAAATTACTTTGTTTATAGATTACAGTATTACACATTTAGAAAATATAAGAGACTTCGACAGAAAACAATGTAGTTTACCTCAGGAAAACACTAATATTTTACCAGATGGCATAGAACAGAAACTGAAAAAAGTGAGAGAAAGACCATATTTCTTGATAAAAATATTTAGTATCACAAAAATATTAATGCTTCCACAATTGTCTAAAAAACTCCTCCAATACAAATCACAATTGCAATACTTAGTTGGGGGAATTGGGGAACTGAAAAATTAGTTTTTGTTCATATAGCTCTTAAGTTTATAAGAAATAGGAAATCAAGAAAAACATTAGTGAAGGGTGATTTGCTTTATTAGATATTAATATTTACCACAAAACATTGAAATAGCATGAGAAAAGACTAAAACAAATACAGAAATAGCTACAAAAATATATAAAAATGTTACATGACAAAATAGACATTTATGTTTCAGTAGCAGAGTGACTTATTTAATAAATAGCACTAATGTAATTAGCCAGCCATAAGGTGAATAAATATAAAAGAATGTTAATGCATGCTATTCAAAAATATATTGCAAATAGAATGAAGTTTGAAATGTCAAAAGTAAAAACTCACTGTAAGACAAAATGAAAAAAACAACTTGTATGATCTTGGATTAGGAAAAATCTTCCTAATTATTAACAAAAAAACCCCCAAAGCCTCAGGAATCATAGTGAAAAAGATAATATATTTGATTACATGAAAATTAAAAATTGCTTCATGTGAAAATCTATCAATAAAATAGAAAATAATTCTCAATTGGGCAACAAATTTGTAGCATACACCTTGTGTTAGTATCCCTCATATCCAAAACACATAGAGAATTTTAAGAATGACACAAAATCCCAGTGTAAAAATGGTCAAACAATATAAACAGTTCAGAAGTAAACCCAAAATGACTGATAATCATATGAAAATATATGTTGAATATCACTAGTCAGGGAAATGCAAATTAAATCTACAATAAGATGCCACTTTTCACCCACCAGTTTGGCAGAAATTAGAAGAAGGATAACATTCAGTGCTGGTGAGAATGTGGGAAACAATTCTTCCACAAATTGCTAATGGAAATAATACTGTGGAATCCTTTGGGAAGGTAGTCTGGCAGTGCCTACTTAGGATAAGAGAAGCTCTTACTTGGACGTATCCCTTTTGGAAACCAATTGCATTGAGAAAAGTTTCCAGGATGTAAAGACATGTATACAAGGATGTTTACTGAAGCATTGTTTGTAATGGCAAAGAAGTATGAACAATTTGAACCCAACAGGAGGAGAATGACTGACTAGCATTGCATTGACTCTATGGAACACCACAGTTACTAAAACGAAAACGTTAGTGCTGTATTGATTCACTCAAAGCAATGTCCATATGTCAAAGGCAAATTAAAAAGTGATGACAGTTTGTGTGTTAATATGGGCAAGGACACTGATTACCCCAAAGGGTAGGAATGGAGGAGAGGAGGGCAAAGGAGGTGAGAGGTTATTAACTTCTTAAAATCATATTGGATTTTTCCACTTGTATAATCAGCATATATTATCTTTCTGATTAAAAACCAAGAAAGAAAAAATTAATTTTTTTCTAGAGAAATTCTCCTGCATCTCACCTTAAAAAGGTCTTCTTCAAAATTGCATCGATTTTCAATACTGAAAGAAACGTGGTATACTATGGAATCAGACTAGGTGAATGTATTTCCAAGTAAATTGCAGCATATTTCATTCTTTCCATTTTTTTGGTCATGTATGTGTGGCATGGAACTTTTATATTTTAATATTTTTGTTTACTGACTCACTTTATAAAAACTAGCCTTGTTCAAAGCAATGCATATATGAAGTTACAGCTTGATGGTGCAGTTACATTGTTAAAATACACATAGTAACTACAAAGTTACTGAAGTAAAAAGAACTATTTGACCTCATACAGTTATTTAGCATATCACACTTTGAAGAAATTGGACCATGGATCAAATAAACTAAGCATTAATCTTCCATCTGAAATTGTCAGGAAACCTTGAGATCAAAAGAACATCCCTGGGAAGGTGTTAGGCTCAGCTTATTATTATGTGGGGGCTCAGCGTCTATACCCACCTGAAGCTGGGCTGTCCATGAGGCTTCAGTTCACTAACCAGATGTGCATGAAACAGATACAAAAAGGGGAAGCCTTTAGGGCCAAAAAATAGACCTAGGTTTGTATTACTATTTCAGCTTAATCGTGTATACCTTGTGTTTCCTCGGCCAACAATGGCTAATTATGGTAAATACTATTTAGAATTATGTGCTATGTACTAAGTGTTTGACATATGGTATCTCATTTAAACCTTCTGTGATCCTCTGAAGAGTGTCCTCCAATTTTTCCCATTTTAACAGATGATAAAACTCACAGAAGGGCCTATGGTTATATAGCTAGTAAAAGTGGCAGAGTCCGTTGAACTTGAATTCAGATTGGGGAATGCTTTAACAGTTGGTATCCAGCAGCTACAGGACTTAATATTTCTCAGTGTTGTTTCCTCATCTCTAAATTGAAGATATTAAAGCTCACTTTGTAAAATTGTTCTGATGATGACAGTCACTAATGAGTGAGGTGCTTCCAAACAGTTGACACACAGTAATTGTGTGCCCCTTCCCTGGTTCCTGAGAAGCAACTTTTATTTTTTTATGACAGGGTCTCACTCTGTTGGCCAGGCTAGAGTAGAGTGGTGTGATCTTGGCTCACTGCAGCCTCAACCTTCTGGGGCTCAAGCCATCCTCCCATCTCCATCTCCTGAGCATCTAGGAGTATAGGCATGTACCACCATGCACTGCTAATTTTGTTTATTTTTTTGTAGAGATGAGGTCTCACTATGTTGCACAGGCAGGTCCCAAACTCCTGGCCTCAAGCGATCCTCCTGCCTTGGCCTCCCAAAATGCTGGGATTACAGGTAAAAGACACCATGCCTGGCCATGAGAGGTAATTTTGCTGGTAGACTACTGCCTTGGTTTTTGTTTCTAAATCACTGTTCTGATATCTCAGACACACAACTTTCCCTGTAAATTGGCCTCCATTCAGCCCCTGCAGGTGACCCCTGCCACCTCAAAGGGCCCTTAATCTGTGAGTGTCAGCCTTGTCCTTTTCCTCCCCTTCCCCCTTGAACCCCTTTCCCAAATTAGTCTTATGCTTACGGGAAGAGTGTTAACATGTGGCATTCATGCAAGCTGCTCATTAACGAAGGAGTGTTTTAAAATACTCACATTTCCTTTCACCCTATGAAAGCAGCCATGGTGTCTGAATTGGACAGTTCCTCAGGCCCTTTGGACCTGCCTGGCTCCACCAGTCCCTGTCTGTGTGCCTACCTGTTTTTGAGGTCGGATAATAACCATCTGATACCCGGGCCAGGAGTCCACCAACACCTCCATGTTGAAGGGGTTCCCGTGATTGATGTGAAACAGAGAGCCATACACCTGAAGGAGGGATGAAAGGGAATAGGAGAGGTTGAGATCCCCAGAGATGGGGGTCTGTATGTGAAGAGGAAGAGAAAAATGGAAGTCAGGAGACAGCACTGGGACCAAGTTGGTGATAGTGTGATGAGCAGCATCTCCAGGACCATACTGATGGACGTGAAGTCACCAGCAAACAGGCAGAACTCCCAGGGAGGTGTCCTTGTGATACCACAGAGCTACTGTGCAGTAGCTGGGCACTTGACAATGCACTTAGCACTTATATTGTATGGATTCATTCAGTGTCCACAACAACTTTAATAGGTGGCTACTAATATTATTCCCATTTTATTAATGAAAAGACCAAAGATAAAGGCATAGAAAGCTAAAGACACAGGCACAATGATATCTGACTAAAAAATGGCAGCCTTGCAATGCATATTTATTGAATCTGGCCCCAAACCGATGTTCGTAGCCACCATTCTTCACCACCTCTCCAAATGAGTGATAAAATCTGCAGAGTCGGCCTAGTTGCCTGTTGCCGAGGAGAAGCAGCAGCTCTTAACATGCCTCCTTTGTCCCCAACCCCATCCTGTTTCCCAGCTCCAACCCTCTGCACAAAGTCAGGAAGGACGAGATTCTTGGGCCTGTTATTTTCTCATCCTCAACACCCCTACTCCCATACCCCAACCTCCCACTGTTCCTTCACCTTCAGGGACTCAGGAATGCTCCTTGCTAAAGATTTGAATAGGGCCAGCAGCTGCTCAGAATTATTCAATAGAATCATTTTGTGGGATGCTTCAGTCCTCGAGCCCTTCAAGAAAAAACTCTGAAGAGAAGTGAAGGGAAAATGTTAAAGGACCAGATGAAATTAAAATGCACTTTACACATCTCCATTCAAGTAACACTCATGATGTAGGTACTGTTAGTATCGTCTTCATTTTGAATACGCCAAAGCTTAGAGAGACTAAATAAATTTCTCAAGTTCTTACAGGGATAAATGACAGAGTCCTATCCAAAACCCATGCATTTCCTCTCTGGTGGAATGAATTAAAAGTGAATATTAAGAGTTCTGTGAGCCTCCCACATGCCTGTAGCAGAACACTCCACCACCACCATCATAATGTTTCTTTTATTTTGGTCATCAGATGCCTGAAGAGTCTTCTTTCTTCTGGAATAGGAAATATCTAAGAACAGTTGTGACTGGAAACCTCAGAGCAGGAGTTGGCAAAGATTTTCTTTAGTTTCTTAGGGCCAAATATTTCAGATCTATAACCATTTTGAAATTTTTCCCAGTTTCATTACAAAAATAAGAAAAAAGCATAGAAAATTTGGAAACATATCTGTAAATTTCCTTTGAAATAACACTTGGAATTCTTTTTTTTTTTTTTTTTTTTTTTTTTTTTGAGACGGAGTCTCGCTCTGTCGCCCAGGTCGGACTGCGGACTGCAGTGGCGCAATCTCGGCTCACTGCAAGCTCCGCTTCCCGGGTTCACGCCATTCTCCTGCCTCAGCCTCCCGAGTAGCTGGGACTACAGGCGCCCGCCACCGCGCCCGGCTAATTTTTTGTATTTTTAGTAGAGACGGGGTTTCACCTTGTTAGCCAGGATGGTCTCGATCTCCTGACCTCATGATCCACCCGCCTCGGCCTCCCAAAGTGCTGGGATTACAGGCGTGAGCCACCGCGCCCGGCCTAACACTTGGAATTCTTACAAATGTGCCAAAGAGTATAACAGTTGACATTCTATAGTGCCAAACCGGTTCTTAGCCAAAAGGGACTTTACTGAGAGCCCTCATTTTTAAATGTAGTTCAATGCATTGTTTTTCATTTGGAATGTTCCACTCTAAGTTATCTTTAGTAAGATTTTGCCATTTGTGTAAGACTTCTCTGCCTTCCAGTCCTAATGTATAAGCCAGAAAGAACTCAGTTTTTCAGAAATTAAGGATTCCAGTTTTACATAAAATACTGACTTTACTCTCAGGTTCTTTTGATTAACTTAACCAATGAATTTTCCTATCTAGGTACACAAGAAAAATGAAACAAATGGGTAGAACACAAAAATCCCTGTGAATTTCCCAAAGCCGAATTTTATGACTGCTGCGACATTACTGCTTACTACCACTTCCTTTATGACCCAGTCAGCTGTTAGTGGCCTCTACTGTTAGTGGCCTCTAAGTGGATCCAAGCCAGTTAATTCCCAGATCAAATTCATTCCTAGACCCAGTCCATTTTCTGTTGCAACTCCAAAACCAGTTTGGATCACAAATTTGCACAAGGAAACTCAGAGAGCTCAAAACACAAATGTGTGAAGCTCCAAAATGCAAGAGGGAGCTTACCTTTGATCCTCAGCTGCTCTGAGAGATCAGTGGACACAAGTGGATCCCGCAGGTACCTTCTGTGTTTACTCAGTGCTCCTGGGGATACTAGAAGCTCCACTTCAGATTCTGCTTCTGACACAATCTGATAAAATAAAAACTTCAGCTGACTTAAATTTAAAGGAGATTAGTTGAGCAATGAACAATTCATCGATCCAGCAGCCTTCAGAATCACAGCAGATTCACAGAGTTTCCAGGGGTGCCTTGTGGTCAAAACAAATTTATAGGGAAAAAAAGTTAAAGTGACATCCAGGAACCGGAAATGAGTTACAGAAACAGTGAGATTTCTGTCACCTGGGCGTTTGCCTTATTTAAACACAGTTTGAGCATTCAGCAGTCTATGAGTGGTGATGTAAGGCTGCTGGGACTGGCCAGCATTCAAATATTGTTACAGGTGCAGACTCCTAAATTAGGTTTTCAATTTTGTCTATTAAGCTAGGTTACTCTACACCCACAAGGGCTCAAATGAAGCACAGAGTCCTTCTCAGACCATATTTAGTTTGCTTTAACACTCTGTAGCAAAATTCATTGAAAGGATTGTCTACAAATGCTATTTCCAATCCTCCCCCTAATCTTATCTAACTGGGTTTTTGCTGCTACCATTTTACTGAAACATTTTTTAAATCCATCAGTGATCTCTATGTTATTAAATCCAGTGGTCAATTATTGCTTCTGTTCTTAATAGATCATTCTTTAAGACTTTCTTCACTTGGTTTCCGAGAAAACACACTCTCTTCTTTTCCTTTAACTTCACTGGTTATTTCTCAGTCTCCTCTGTGGACCCTTCTTTTCTCCCCAACTTCTTAATTTTGCATCACTTTAGAGTTCAATCATTGGCCTTCATTTGTATCCACACTTACTCCCTAGTAATCACATCTGTTCCCATGGCTTTAAAATCAATCTGCTTGCCAATGACTAATACATTTATATTACTATTAAAACTCTTTTCCAAACTCAAGACATATGTATCCAATAGCCTGTTTGATATCTCTTGGATTCCACCCAATAGCCATCTCAAACTCATTATGTCTCAGATCAAACTCCTTATCCACCCTCTCCACCCAGCCTACTTCACCTGTAGTCTTTCTCAATTAAGTTGATGGCAACTCCACCTTTTCACCTATTCAAATAAAAACTCTTGGAATTATTCTTAAGTATCTTTTCCCCTCCCACTTTACATCCAATCCATTATGACATTCTGCTCATTCTGGTTGGGAGAAAAGTCTTCATGGCCTCTCACATTTCTGCATGTCTTAGGAGCAGAGACATTGACAGCCTTTGCTCCTATCCTTTCAAGGATGTTTGTAAAGAGTACAGCTTGGAAGCTGGAGATACTGCTTTCTTCTGAAGCAGAAGGCAGTTTTGCTGCAACACACATCTATTGAATTTGTGACATTAATCTGCCTTCCTGTATTTCCTCTGTAGGACTTGTGGAGCAAAGATGACTGACACAAACATATAAATCATTCTGCCTGTTGAAGGCATATAAAATCCTGCCTTTACCTGGAAGCTTGTGTCATCTGCCAGCATTTCTGCATCTGTGCCCCTGTAAACTTTTAGATGCTTCAGAGTTCTTGGCAGTCTTTTCTGGATGGAGAATGTCTTTAGTCTTTTCTCTATGTAAAACCAGAACACTCCTTTTAAAACAAAAGCCACATTTTGTTATTCGTTGTGCAAGTCCTGCTGTCACTCCCAATCTCATTCAGAGAAAGATATATAAAAGTCTTATAACAGCCCTCTAAGTTCTCCATGACTTAGAATCCAGTCACCTCCCTGACATCCCTCCAGTCATGTCCCTGACTTCAATCTCTTTGCCTTCTCTGCTTCAGGCACTTTGCTGTCCTTTTTCTTCTGCTTGCATTCTGTTTTCTCATTATACCTATAGAAAACCTTATTACCCTCTTTAAATCTTCACCTTAAAGCCACTTGCTCAATGAGGCCTCCTCTGACCATCGTATTAACAATTACAACTGTTCCCCTAGTTTCTCTGCAATGCTCCTGTGCCCCATTGTCATTCTCTGCCTCTTATCTTTTTCTTTTTTGACAGGGTCTCACTCTGTCACCCAGGCTGGAGTGCAGTGGCTGGATCATGAGTCACTGCAACCTTGACCTTTCAGGCTCAAGCATCCTCTCACCTCAGTCTCCTGACTAGCTGCAGGCATGAATCAATGTGCCTGGCTAATTGTCTTATTTTTATGTTATAGAGATGGTGGGGCGGGGGGGGGTCTTCATTTTTCAGACTGGTCTCAAACTACTGGTTATAGTTTTATAACTTTCTGTGCCACACTCTGATGCCCCAAAATATCTAGCAGAGACAAACATAAAACCCCGAAAAAATGTATGCTGACAATTCTGAAGACATTTCTATTTTTATCTTACAATAATTTTAATGCTAGCTTCTTAAAAATTTACTTAAGTAACGTGAATGTAAAAAATACTTTGGACTTATTTACTTAATCTAGGAGTGTTCTTTTATGTATAAGCCAATTTGGTAGTCACAACATATAATGTAATACATGTGCATACACATAAACACATCTAGATGTATATACACACAAAGATCCAAAAGCTTTTACCTTGGAACTCTAGCCATGAGATAGTAATACAGTCTCAACTGTCTGCAAACATGTCCACATGGCTGAACTTTGTTAGCCTTGATAGGTAATCCAGGGAAGGCTGTGAAACAAATTTTAAATAAAATGAGTTTCTGTGGCAGTTTGATTTTTAAAGGCCAAAACTCCCTATACTCCCAAAACACTGGGGTCAAAAACGGCACCGCATGAGATCATCACATATTAACCTGGCCCGACCCTGCTTAAAACAGCAGCACAAAATCCCACTTTCCCATTCAACAGCAAACTCCAGATTCCAAACTATACTGGAGCCAAACAGTGTCACAAAAGAGTACCAGTTTATCAAATTCGAATTTCCCATGACTGTATCAGACACATGCAAACAATTACTAAAACACAATCCAACTGCTGCAGCATCAAACAAGCCCCAAAAGTCTACGATGTGAAAGAGTTGTGGTGCTTCCTCTCTCCATTGGTTGGGCTCAATCGACCTGAAATAAAAATTCCTTCAGAATTTCTCAGATGGAGAGGAGCAGATCCCACTGTCTGGTTCCCACAAATGACACTCACTTGCCTGGATACACACACAATGACAAACAAGCTCCTAAGAGTGTCCGTACTGAAATAGTCAGGGTACTTCCCTCTCTTCATCAATTGGGCTTGTTCAACCTGCAAGTGGAAATTCCTTTAAAAATTTCCCAAACTGTGAGGAGGAGATCTTTCTGTCTGGGCCCACAGAGGAGAGTCACCTATCTGGATGCAAATATCAAATTTCAAAGGCAGTTCTCCCAAGGCAATCAGGAACATGGTTGGGGCCAGCTGTGGCTGGCCCTAGAGAGAGGGTACTCATCTCTAGCCAAAATTGGGTAAGCAGCTGCTTAGGAGGACTTTGAGATTCCCCGCCCATGGTAGCTGAGCCAAAGTGTTCCTGGTTGGGGAATCAAAATCTGTTAGTGAAACACCAGGGGTGTGGTCTAGCTCCAGCTGCTCACTGCACAGAAAACCAATTCATATCAACAATTCTTGCCAAGGGAGAAGGCTGAATCAGATGCTGTAGGAGAGGAGATGGTAGTTCAGTGTCAAATCCATCTCCCTGACCAGCTAAAATTATGAGTTTACATAGCAGGGAGGAAAAGTAACCATGTGTAGAAAAACAGGAACTCAGGAGACCTAAGGAAGCAATCATAATGTATGAGGGGTCTGGTGTGCCATCATCTGGATGGAATCATCTGGTGAATTTCAGTTCTTTTATACTTTTTGAGGGACCTAGGGGTCCTTTACCAAGGATGAAACTCATAGAAAACAAATAAAAGTTTCAAGCTTTAAGACCAGAATGGTCAATTTCTATGTTTATACAAAAAACTATCCATGGGACTACAGGGGAGGTTTCATTTCGAGTGCCAGTGCTAGCTGCAGTCGGCCTCAAGTCTGCCTAGGCTTCTGTCAAACTGTCTCAGGACCTTGGCCAGGAGAATAGCTTCCTCTCCCATCTGTGGGCTCCTCTCCCATCTGTAGGGCTGCTGAGATAGCCAAGTTCTTAGAATACCTCAGTTCCAGAGCAGACTCCTTTGTATCAGCCTTTCAGACCAGCTCTGGACTCTCTCTAGATCTCAGCCCATGCTTATGGTGTGCAGGGGTATAAGGCGGAACTAGACCCCTATGACTTCCTCCCAGAAACACATGCTATCTGACAGAGTGGTTACTCTGCAAGACTCCAGCAGGGGATTCTCCAAGTCCACTTCTCTGATGTAGCTAATCTATGGATCAAAACTGAAAGGTTTAGCCTTCTGTGTCACTGCTTCTGGGCCCTCTGGGCCTAGCTCAGCTCTGATATCAGTCCCATCATACTCAGTATTAGTCATAAGTGACTTCCCGAAACACTCATTGCAGCTTGGATTCTGGCACAAACATGGGATCTCTGAATGGAAGCAATGAATTCTGGTTTTACTGGTGCTGAGGTTATGCTAATCAGTTTTGGGGTTTTCAGTCTGTGTGAGAGATCTCTGATTCTAGGTCTCTCCAACTGCTTAGCCCTGAATCTTCTTCCAACCTTTGGGAAACCACAGGTCCTTCAGGGGGTCATGGTGGAGTAGACACCTAGGATACAATTTAGGCATGGCCCCACTTTCAAAAAGGGTCCCAAATATGAGATTCCAGCTGTATCACCAATGATATCACCCATTGAAACTCAGGCAGAATGAAGAGAACACATTCACCATCAGTTACATGCTGGCAGAAGTCAACCCTGAATCAATGCTTTATAATTCCTGTACTGATCTTGTGAGTAGAACAACAGTATTGCATGGCATTTTTGTGGTTGTAAGCATACATTTATAAAATACACAGATTTTAAAGCCATTATATTATCAATGTTTTGATCTATCTTTATTTTTTGGTATACTTCATACTACAAAGAGTGGCAATAAGCTGGCCATCTTTGAACCCCTGTGAAGCCTTGAAACTGTTGCTCATGGCAGGGAATGGGGACTGCATGGCTGAGTGTCTGTGGGAGGCTGGTGGAGATGCTCCCTCTGTGTATTCTCACAATGTGTCAAGGATCTCTGGGATGCTTCGTTCATATTAATGTCCTTAATTAGGCCCATTCCACAACCTAGCCAGCCCTTGTAGACACAGGTTCAATGCCCACATCAGAGCCATGTCAGCCCCTGTAGACATGGGCTTCATTCCAGCCCCTACTGGTACAGGCTGTATGCCTGCCCTGATAGACATAGGCTTTATGTTCATCCCCACATACCCAATGAAAATATCCAGCCAGTGGATATAGGATTCAGGCCCAACTCTACAGACCCAGGAACCAAGCCTACCACCTGCTGACACAGACACCAGGCCAGCCTGCCTGAAGACTTCAGCAACAAGTTCACCTGCACACCACAACAGACACCCTACCAAGAATTGCTGGATGACTGGGGAAAGGTTTTTCCAGACAAAGCCAGTATGCAAAGACTGGAATAACTTTCTTGTTTTTCAAATGTGCAGACACCAATGCACAGCCTAAAAATCAAGAAATATAAGAGAAAAATGATACCACCAGAGGAAAAAAAAGAATACCCAATAGCTGACCCCCAAAAATAAAGATTTATGAACTTTCTGACAGTGAATTTAAAATAATGGTCTTTAAAATGCTCAGTGAGCTTCAAGAGAACACAGATAGATGACTAAAAAGAATCAGAGAAATAATACATGAACAAAATAGAAAGTTCAACAAACAGAAAGAAATCATTAAAAAAGAGACATTCTGGACATAAAGGACACAACGGTTGAACTGAAAATTTCATAGACTTCTTTGAAAGCAGATTTGATCAAGTAGAATAAAGAATCAATAAACTCAAAGACACATCATTTGAATTTACTGTCAGAGACACAAAAGGAAAAAAATGAGAAAAAATAAAGACATCCTATGGCAATTATAGAACATCAGTATGAGAACCAATGCACACATCATGTGTGTCCCAGAAAGAGAAGAGAAACACATAGGGAAAGAAATCTTATATGATGAAATAATAACAGAATACTTTCCAAGTCTGGGGAAAGAGAAATATACAGGTATAGGAATATTGAAGATGTTTGATATGATTCAGTCCCATCAAGAGTACAAGAAATATTTTAATTAAACTGTCAAAAATCAAAGAAAAGGAAGATTCTGGAAATAAATGAGAAAACAAGCAAATAATATATAAGGGAGTTCCAAGAAGGCTAATAGCAGATTTTTGAGGAGAAACTTATAGGCTGAGAGCATGGAATGATATATTCAATGTTCTATAGAAAAAAAAAGTGTCAACCAAAAATACGATTCTCGGGAAAATCTGTTTTTTGCAAGTAATGGAAAGATTAAAATCTTTGCCAGAAAAACAAAAATTAAGGGAGTTTATTACCATCAGAGCTGTCTTACAGGAAATGCTAGAGAACAAATATTAGGACACAAGGCATGTCATAATAAATTTAAGAAGACTGAAATCATACCATTTATCATTCCAGATCACAATGACATGAAACTAGAAATTAATAACAGGAAAATTTTTTAGAAAACTCACAAATACATGAAAATTAAACAGCATGCTTCTGAACAACAGATGGATTAAAGAGGAAATTAAAATGGAAATTTAAAAATATGTTGAGAACAGCAAAAATGGAAACTCAAAATACCAAAACTTGTTAGATGCCTCAAAACTTTCACACTGAAAAAGAAGAAAGATCTTAAACAACTTAATGTTACACTTCAAGGAGGTATAAAAAGAATAAACTAAGTCCAAAGGTAATAGAATGAAGGAATAAATAAAGGTTGGGGCAGGTAAATTAAATAGAAACTATGAAAACAATGAAAAAAAAAAACCCTGAAATTTGATCTTTCCAAAAGTTAAATAAGATTCACAAACCTTTATCCAGACTAAGGGGGAAAAAAAAAGTTAATCATAAACAAAAAGGAGACATCACAACTTACATCACAAAAAAATCAGAAGAGACTATTATGACAAATTATATGCCAACAAATTGGATAATCTACAATAAATGGGTAAATTCCTAGATACATAAACCCCACCAAGATGAAGAAATTGAAAATCTAAACAGACCAATAATGAGTAAGGTGGTTAAATTAGTAATAAAAAATATTCCATTAAAGGAAAGCCCAGGACCTTATGGCTTCACTGCTGAATTTCACCAAATATTTAAAGAAGAACTCATGTCAATCCAATCTAAAAGCCTTCCAAAAAATTGAAGAAGAGGGAATACTTCCAAAGTTATTTTACAAGGCAAGCATAATCCTGATACCAAAGATAGGGACACTTCAACAAATGAAAATATTAGGCAATAGCACTAATGAACATAGGTGCATCAATAAATATTAATACTAACAAACTAATCCCAACAGCATGTCAAAAAGTTCATTCATCATGATACAGTGGGCTTTAACGTAGGGTTGCAAAGATAATTCAACATACAGATCTATAAATGTGAAATACCACATCAACAGAATAAACAACAAAATCCATATGATACTTGATAGAAGCAGAAAAAGCATTTGATAGAGTTCACCATGATTTCCTGATTATGAACTCTCAACAAATGAGGTATAGAAGGAATGTAGCTCATACAATAAAGACCATTTATGATAAATCCACCGCTAACATTACACTTAATGGTGAAATGTGAAAAACATATTTCTAAGATTAAGAACAAGACAAGGATGCTCACTCTCACTACTTCTATTCAGTGCATTAATGGAAGTTCTACTCAGAGCAATTAGGCAAGAGAAAAAAATAAAAAGCATCCAAATTGGAAAGGAAGTAGCTAAATATGTCCCTGTTTGCATATAGCATGGTCTTATATGTAAAAAATCCTAAAGACTGCAGCAAACTAGGTTAAAACTACTAAACAAATTCCGTAATGTGGCAAGATACAAAATGAACATACACAAATCAGTAGTGTTTCCATACACTAGCAATGAAAGACCTGACAAAGAAAAAAATCCTGTTTGCATAAGCTACAAAAAATAAATACTTAAGAGTAAATGTAAATAACGTGGTAAAAGACTTATATAGTGAAAATTATGAAACATATATGAAAAAAGTGAAGAAAACACAAATAAATAGAAAGCTATTTATTATTTATAGATTGCAAAAATTAATACTGTCAAAATGACAACAATGCCCCAAGCGATTTACAGATTCAATGCAATTCCTATGTAAATACCAATGACATTCTTCAAAGAAATATAACACACCAAAAAATGTATATGTTATCACAAAAGATCCTTAAGAGCAAAATCGATCATGAGCAACAAGAATAAAGCTGGAGATATCACACTACCTAATTTCAAAATGTACTATGTAGCAATAGTAATGAAAACAGGATTGTACTACCATCAAAACAGAAACATGAAACAATGGAACAGAATAGAACGTCCAGAAATAAATCCATGCATTTAAGATGATTGATTTTGACAAAGTTGTCAAGAACACGTGAATGGGGAATAGACAGTCTCTTTAATAAATGCTGTTGAAAAAAACTGCATATCCACATGCAGAAAATTGAAATTAGACTTTATCTCACACCACATACAAAACTCAACCCCAGATGGTTTAAAGACCTAAATGTAAGACCTGAGACTGCAAAACCACTAGGACAAAACATGGGAGAAAAGCTTTGTGATATTAGTTGTGGCAATGATTTTTGGATAGAATCCCTAAAGCACAGATAATGAAGGGCAAAATAGACAAATGGGATTACATCAAACTAAAACAGTCTTATACAGCAAAGAAACAATCAACAGGATGAAGAGGCAACCTATGGAATGGAAGAAAATATTTGCAAACCATACATCTGATAAGGGGTTAATTTTTAAAATAATAATAAACTTAATAGCAAGAAAACAAATAATCCAAATTAAAAATGGGCAAAGACCCTGAACAGATCTTTCTTTCTTTCTCTCTTTCTCTCTCTTTGAGTTGCTTTTCCTCTTTACTAGTTTGTAGTAATCTTAAAAACTCTATCACATCCATAAACCACCACAGGTGAGAGGATGATAGAGAATGAATGCTACAGTATGTGGACAGAGTGGGGCAATCCAGGTATTCCCTAGGGTAGTGTGGAAAGGGGGCAGGGAGTGTGAATAGGAGGCTGTCGCTTGGTTCCTTATTGCTGGATGGGTGTTGGCTAGCAGAGGAGAGAGGGACTCAAACTAAACTAGGAAATAGGGAACATCTCACACCAAAGGCAATGACAGTAGGGGGCCAGGGGGATTAAGTACATTTTCTACACAGACTACAGGGGTGAGTGAGAGCTTCAGAGACTTGCACCCTTTCATAGGAAGAAATGGGTTTGAGGCTGTTTGACTGAAAGCTCCCAAATTGGTATCTGGTCCAATTTCCTAAAATGGCAGCTCATCATTCAGGGAGAGGTACTGAGAAGAAAAGTATAGCACGAGTATGTGGTTTGGAGATGAAGTAAGGGATAAGGGGAGACAGTGGTACTCTCTAAATCTGACTCAGATAAGCAAGAATTGGAAGAGGGCCTTGGGTGAAATGGTGGCCAACACTTTGGGAGAAGACATTGCACCATAAGCTGTAGGTACTCCTGAGGGCTCAGGGACACGGAAGTTCACATTAGGTAGGAAAACAACTGAGAACAATAAATTAGGACTTCATGTTACTGACATCTGGCATAATATAAGCCAGCTAATTTTTTTTCCTTTTTAAATATAAGGTAACATGTCAACACATAATTTAAAAACTGGTCTTCAGTTGCATTGCTTCTGATCACTAGAGAATTCCTGGCTAAAGAGCAGTGAATAGTAAACAAAACTCAACATCTTAAGAACCATCAGCTCACATTCCCGAGAGACAAGTGGAAGGGGAAGGGCTTATTTGAGCCAATAATTTTTTTTAAAGCCCAATTCTGCATCTTTAAGAGAAGAAGGGTGTAAAAATTCATAACAAAGCATAATCTAAGTGTAAAGTTACAGAAAATATTTAAATTTCTAGTTAACTCATTGCCACTTGAGAATGAGACATAATGGGCATGGAGTGGATAAAGGGGTGCCCTAAGAATAAATATGGGGTAAGAGGGGCTGTTTCCAAAGTAGGCTCATCTCCAGTTGTTAAAACCATGCTCATTAGGTAAAGGAATCACTCAAGAACATTAAAGCTTTCTGGAGTTTCTTTTTCCCCCCACTTTCTTCTTTAAACTGAGGGGCTGCACTAGAAGGTACTTGTGGAGCCACTCACACACAATGCTACTCAAATGCACACTACATTCAGACACATGACATTAAAATTTATACTGTAGAGCAATATTCTTAGCCAGTGTAGAGAAAACAAGTGCATTTTAACTTTTTTCTTTTTGTGTGTGTTTTTAATCCCAGACTCCAATGTGATCCATCATTCCCTACCTACCTAATTCCTTGAGTAAGCTATTTTTTGTTTGTAGTTTTGTTTTGCTTTTTTTATTTTATTTTTTATTTATTTATTTTCTTGAGGAGGGGGAAGAGTAGGGAATACGGCAGCAGGTATGTCAGGAGAGAGGCAACAGTGAGAAAGGGATCTTGGTTATGGGGAATGGTCACTATGCTTATCTAGATTTGGAAAGGCAAGTCTGGAGTCAGGATGTCAATACAAAAACAGATTTCAGTGCAATGAAAAAATTTTGAAGGAAATTAAAAGTACTAGTCCAGTGTAAACAGGAATGATAAGTAGAAAAATGGTCTTATTACAGTTTTGGAGAAACAGCAATAAGACATCAACACAACCTAGGGTAGTGGCTCACACGTGAGCCCTGGAAAGGAGGTGAAGTTCACTCTGCAGCACTTGTCCTGCAGGTTCGGGCTCTGGGCTGTGCAAGCATGGGGCAGCTCAGCCCACTTGCCCTGCCACAAGGGGATGGGTGAGAAGGATGAGAAGGGGCTTCTCCAGGTCTAGGCAGTGGGAGGAGGAGGAGGCTATTCCGGGTGCCAGAATCATCCAGCACACTACTCTCTGGTGTGCAGACACCCCCTCCCCAGCCGGCTGCAGCTAGCTTCCCACCGCCATCCTGAATAGACATTTCGCAAAAGAAGACATATAAATAACTAAGGGTTTTTTTTTTCCTAATGCTCAACAGTACTCATTATCAAGAAAAGGCAAATTAAAACCAAAATACCACCTCGTACTCGATAGAATTGCTATTATCAAGAAGATGAAAGATCACAACTGTTGGGGAGAATGTGAGGAAATGGGAACCCTTGTGTACTGTTGGTGGGAACGTAAGCTATTGCAGCCTTATGCAAAACAGTACAGAGATTCCTTAAAAAGCTAAAAATAGAGCTAACATATGATCCAGCAATCCCTACTGCATATATGTTTAAAGGAAATGAAATCAGTACAGGCACACCTCATTTTATTGCACTTCACTTTATCATACTTCAGAGGTACTATAAAGGTTCTATTTACAAATAGAAGTTTTGTGTCAACCTTGCATGAAGCAAGTCTACTGGCACCATTTTTCCAACAAATGTGCTCCCTTCCTGTCTGTGTTACATTTTGGTCATTCCCAGAATATTCACACTTTTTCCTTGTTATTGTGTCTGTTAAGGTGATCTGTGATCAGTGAGTTTTGATGGTGCTATTTTAGCTGTTCTGGAGCACCACCAATTGCACCCATATAAGACAGCAAACTTAATTGATAACTGTTGTGAGTGTTCTCACTGCATCACCGGCTGACCGTTCCCAGACTCTCTCCCTCTCTTCCAGCCTCCCTATTCCCTGAGACACAAGAACATTTAAATCACATCAATTATTAACCATACAATGATCTATAAGTATTCAAGTGAATGGAAGGGTCACGAGTCTTTTATTTTAAACAAACAGCTAAAAATGATTAAGCATAGTGAGGAAGGCAGGTCAAAATCTCAGACAGTCCAATAACTAGATCTTTTGCACCAAACAGTTAGCCAAGTTGTGAGTGCAAGGAAAAATCTTTGAAGGAAATTAATAGTGCTAAACCAGTGTACACATAAATGATAAGAAAGCAAAATAGCCTTATTGCTGTTTTGGAGCCAGTTTTAGTGCTCTGGATAGAAAATTAAACTAGCCACAACATTCATAAACCAAAGCTTAATCCCGAGCAAGACTCTAACTCTTTTCAGTTATTTGATGGCTAAGAGATGTGAGGAAGCTGCAGAAAAAAAGTTGGAAGCTAGCAGAGGTTAGTTCATGAGGTTTAAGGAAAGAAGCCATTTTCTCTTTCTTTTCTTTCTTTCTTTCTTTCTTTCTTTCTTTCTTTCTTTCTTTCTTTCTTTCTTTTCTTTTCTTTTAGACAGAGTTTCACTCTGTTGCTCAGGCTGGAATGCAGTGGTGAGGCGATCAGGGCTCACTGCAACCTCTGCTCCTGGGCTCAAGTGATTCTCCTCCCTCAGCCTCCAAAGTAGCTGGAATTACAGGCTCCCACTACCACAGCTGGCTGACTTTTTTTTTGTATTTATAGTAGAGACGGGGTTTCACCACATTGTTCAGGCTGGTTTCAAGCTCATGACCTCAGGTGATCCACCAACCTCAGTCTCCTAAAATGCTGGGATTGCAGGCATGAGCCACCGTGCCTGGCCCATTTTCATAACATAAAAGTGCAAAAGGGAAGCAGCAAGTGCTGATGTAGAAACGGTAGCAGGTTATCCAGAATATCTAGCTAAGATAATTGATGGAGGTGGCTACACCAAACAACAAATTTCCCATTTAGATGACACAGGTTTCTATCGGAAGGAGATGCCATCAAGGACTGTCACAGCTAGAAAGGGGAAGTCAATTCCAACCGTCAAAGCTGCAAAGGACAGGCTGGCTTTCTTATTAGCAGTTTATGCAGCTGCTGACTTTAAGTTGATGCCAATGCTCTCTTACCATTCCAAAAATCCTGGGGCCCTTAAGGATTATGGTAAATAGACTTCACCTATGCTCTATAAATGGAAGAACGAAGCCTAGATTACAGCACCATCTATTTACAGCATGGTTTACTGAATATTTTAAGGCTACTATTGAGACCTCTACTCAGGAAAAAAATATTCTTATGAAAATATTACTGCTCATTGACAATGCACCTATTCATTCAAGAGCTCTGATGGAGATGTAAAAGGATATTTTTTTCATGCCTGCTAACATACATTCATTCTGCAGCTCATAGATCAAGGAGTAATTTCAACTTTCCAATTCTTATTATTTAAGAAATACATTCTGTAAGGCTATAGCTGCAATACATTGTGATTTTTCTGATGGATTAGGGCAAAGTAAATTGGAAACCTCTTGGAAGGATTTTCGATTCCATATGCCATTAAAAACATTCATGATTCATGGGAGGAGATCAAGCTATCAACATCAACAGGAATTTGGAAGAAGGTGATTCCAATCCTTGCAGATAACTTTGAAGCACTCAAGATTTAAATGGAGGAAGTAACTGCAGATGTGGTGGAAATAACAAGAGAACTAAAATTAGAGGTAGAGTGTGAAGATCTGACTGAATTGCTTCAATCTCAAGATAAAACCTGAATGGATAAGAAATTGCTTCTTATGGATGAGCAAAGAAAATGACCTCTTGAGATAGAAGCTACTCCTGGTGAAGATTCTGTGAACATTGCTGAAATGGTAACAAAGGATTTCTAATGTTACATCAACCTAGTTGATAAAGCAGTAGCAGGGGTTAAAATGATTGATTCCAAATTTCAGTGAAATTTTATTGTGGGTAAAATGCTACCAAACAGCATTACATACTACAGAAAAATCTTTTGTGAAAAGAAGTGTTAATCAATGCAGCAAACTTGTTTGTTGTCTTATTTTAAGAAATTACCTTAGCTACCTTAACCTTCAGCAAGTCCCACCCTGGTCAGCAGCCATCAACATTGAAACAAGACCTTGCACCAGCAAAAAGATTACAACTCTTTGAAAGCTCAGATTATCCTAGGCATTATTTAACAATAAAGTATTTGAAATTAAGATAGGTACTTTTTAAAAACATAATGCAATTGGAAACCTAATAGACTACAGTACAGTGTGAACATGACTTTTATATGCACGGGGAAACCATAAACTTTGTGTGACTTGCTTTAATGAAATATTCACTTTATTGCAGTCGTCTGGAACTGAATCCTCAAAATCACTGAGATAGGCCTGTATGTTAAACAGATATCTGCACTTCTATGTACATTGTAGAATTATTCACAATATCCAAGTCATATAATCAACCTAAGTTTCTATCAACAGATTTATGAACATTAAAAATGTGGTGTATACGCATAATAGAATACGATTCAGCTTTTAAAAGGAAGGAAATTCAGTCATATGAAACCACATAGATGAACTTGGAGTACATTGTGTTAAGTAAAATAAACCAGGCACAGAAAGACGAATACCACATTATGTAACTTACGTGTGAAATTGGAAAAAGTTAAATTCATGGAAGCAGAGAGTATAATAGTGGTTAATAGAGGTTGCAGGAGGTGGTAGGGATTGGGGAGATGGTCACAGGACACAAAATTTCAGTTAGATGGTAGGAGCAGTCCAATAAATCTAATGTATCGCATGGTGACTATGTTTAAAAATACTTTTATGAAAATTGTTATGAGAATACATTCTAAGTGTTCTCATCCAAACATTAAAAGTTTATAAGATATTGCATATATTAATTAGCTCTACTGTGTCACTTAACAATGTACACATATTTTAAAACATCATGTTGTACTCAATAAATATATACAATTTTCATTTGTAAAGAAATAGTTAATGATTAAAAAACATATTCACTATGAAAAAAAGAAGGAATTAGCTTTGTTTCACAGTCACAGTTTTGAAAACCAAAAATTAAATATTCATTTTTTTTTCTCCTGGCCATCTTTTTTTAAAAAGGTGTCAGAGCCCACCCAAACATATGATACTGCCAGTTAATACTACAATCATCCCACCGTATCCTGGAGGAATTGGTTCCAGGATCCCCAATGATACTAAAATCCACTCATACTCAGGTCCTGCAGTTGGCTCTGTGGAACCTGCCATTAGGAAAATCAGCTTTCTGTGTACACAGGTTTTGAATCCTGCAAATACTGTATTTTCAATCTGCATGGGGTTGCAGATGTGGAACCTACCAATATGGACTATTGACTGTATTTATTGCAAAAAATCCAACCATAAGTGGACCCATGCAGTTCACACCTGTGTTGTTCAGGGGTCAACTGTATTTGTCAGGATATTTAATAATTATATAGATTCATATAACCCCAAATCCTTCAAACAATCTTGGGGTCAGTATAATTGTCTATACTTTATAGTTAAGGGAACTGTTACTTAGATGAATTTCTCTAAAGTCACACAGGTGGTTAAATGGCAGTGGTAAAACTATGTTTGAATAAATGACTAAATGATTCTTGATTACATGTACAAATGAAAGGAACATCAAATAAATGATTTCATCAAATAAAGGATACCAAATATATTGCTATCATATATAGATACTTTACTCATTAGCATTGTTGGTTAAAAGCACTTCTCTGGCTGACTTAGGCAAAAAAAGAATTCATTATTGAGGAAAGATCTTAGCACTCAGCTTGGGAACAGAGAGCAACTTTTAAGGACTATACTGTGTTCCCTCAAAACTCACAGGTTGAAGACTTAACCCTCAATGTAACCGTATTTGGAGACAGAGCCTCTGGGGAAGTAGTTAATGATTAAAGAGGCTTCTAGATCAACAAGGAAACTGGCAGATAATATGGTCTCAAATAGCTGATGGCAATTAGAAAAGGAATCTTTGTTTGTATATCTCACGTGAGAGCTCTTGGCACAAGTTCTGTGGCCTTAAACCTGAGTCGGCTATTTTCATCTTGTGTAATTTTGAGCAATCTATTTGTGCTATCTCTATGTCAATTTCCTGCTCTATAAAATGTGGATAATAGTAATGATTACCGCATAGAATTGTTGTGAGGACCAAATGTAACAGTATACTTAGAAGTTAGAAGGTACCTGGCGTATTGTTAATCTCTCAATAAGTGTAGGTCATTGTTATTCAAAACCTATAGTCAGGCAACTTGAAGACATCATTGAATTTCTTAGTTACATTCTCAGTGTCCTTTAGCTGAATGTCCATAGCAGCTTTAAAAGACTTCCCTGGTAAATAGCAAACTGTTCTTCCTGAAGCATGAGTGAAAAGTGGAGATGGGGTTGGGCACCTAATAGCCCCTACTGCAGAATTTGTTATTGAGAAACATATGATCTCATGCGAAGAGAGTTAAGGGAACTGAGTTTAGAAGGAGTGAGCCTATGAAAATTCTGTCAAAAGTAAGCACATTCATAAATATGGAGAGTCATTTGGTTTTACAATCATGAAAATATTATATTAAAGACTTCAAGCAAAATGTCAACTACCAATTTGCATATGATTTCCTTTGAAAGAATTAAGATTATTGTTGCTTCTAGAGGATCAATCCAGAAACTTAGATGTCAATGTTCTCACTCTTTCTCAATCAATGATCAAATTCTGTCAACTCTACCTTTGAATTATCTCAAATCTATGTATCTCTTCTCATCTCAATAGGCTATTATGCTAGCTCAGATGTCCATCATCCCTTTTGTGCATCCCAATAAGAGACATCCTCCTCTCCACCATGTTTTTCCAGTTCTAACTTTCCAGTGGCTTGACATCTCCCCTGTGATGATTTAGAAACTCCTTAACATAACTTACAAATCTTTTCCCACCTGTCACCCACTTATTTCTATAGTTCTACAGAAGTGAAGATGGTACGTCCAGGAACCATACAATAGTAATTGTGTCCTTCACATGTATGGAGTTTGTGGCAGTGTCCAAATATTATGTCATACAATTCTTTGGAAGTTGGCCAACTGAATTGTCTATCTTTTTTTGGTCCTTTAAAAATTCTTTTTAATAATTTTTGTGGGTGCAGAGTAGGTGTATATATTGATGCAAAAATCCTCAACAAAACACTAGCAAACCAAATTCAACAATACATTAGAAAGATTATTCATCATGACTGAGTGGGATGTATCCTTGGGATGCAAGCATAGTTCAAAATATGCAAAACAATCAATGCGATACACTATATCAACAGAATGAAAGAGAAAAACCGTATAATCATCACAATGGATGGCAAAAAAGCATTTGATAAGATTCAACTTTCCTTCATAATAAAACCTCTGAACAAACTGGGAATAAAAGAAACGTACCTCAACAGAATAAAAGACATATATGAGAGACCCACAGCTACTATCACACTGAATGGGGAAAAGCTGAAAGCCTTTTTTCCAAGATCTGGAACACAACAAGGGTGTCCACTTTCACTAGGGTTTGCTAATATTTTTATGAGGATTTTTGCATCAATATTCATCAGAGATATTGGACTATCGTTTTCTGTGTTTTGATATGTCTTTGGTTTTAGTACCAGGATAACACTTGCCTCATAGAATGAGTTTGGAAGTATTCCCTTCTCTATTTTTTTTTTTACATTTTCCCATTTTTCTATTGGAATTGTTTATCTTTTTTTATATACTTTAAGTTCTGCGATACATGTGCTCAATGCGCAGGTTTGTTACATAGGTATAAATGAGCCATGGTGGTTTGCTGCACCCATCAACCTGCCATCTACATTAGGTATTTCTCCTAACACTGTCCCTCCCCTAGGCCTTCACCTGCTGACAGGCCCCGGTGTATGAATTTCCCCTCACTGTATCCATGTGTTCTCATTATTCAACTCCCATTTATGAGTGAGAACATGCGGTGTTTGGTTTTCTGTTCCTGTGTTAGCTTGCTGCCTTCTCCTCTATTTTTCAGAAGAGTTTGAGTAGGATTGATATTCTTTTTAAAATATTTGGTAGAATTCAGCAGTGAAGCTATCAGGTCCTGAGCTTTTCTTTACTGAGAGATTTTGGTATAGCTTCGATCTCATTACTTGCTCTTGGTCGGTTAGGGTTTTAGATTTCTTCCTGGTTCAATCCTAGTAGGTTATATGTGTCTAGGAATTTGTCCATTTGTTTTAGATTTTCCATTTTATTGGTACGTAGGCTGGGCACGGTGGCTCATGCCTGTTATCTTAGCACTTTAGGAGGCCAAGGCAGGTGGATTGACTGAGCTCAGGAATTCGAGACGAGCCTGGGCAACACAGTGAAACCTCGTCTTTACTAAAATACGGAAAGAAGAAAAAAATTATCCAGATGTGGCAGCGTGTGCCGGTAGTCCCAGCTACATGGGAGGCTGAGGCAGGAGAATTCCTGTACCCCAAGAGGTGGAGGTTGCAGTGATCCGAGATCATGTCACTGCACACCAACTTGGGTGACAGAGTGAGACTCTGTCTCAAAAAAAAAATCCACTTTATTGGTATATAATTGCTCATGGTAGCCACTAATGATCCTTTGAATTTCTGCAGTATCAGTTGTAATGTCTCCTTTTTTATTTCTAATTTTATTTTTTTGGATCTTCTCTCTTTTTCTTAGTCTGGCTCAAAGTTTGTCAGTTTTATTTAATTTTTCAAAGGACCCTGTTTTTATTTCATTAGTCTTTCATACTTTTTTTCCATTTCAATTTCATTTATTTCTGCTCTGATCTTTATTATGTCTTTTGCTCTACAAATTTTCGGTTTGGTTTGGTCTTCCTTTTCTAATTCTTTATGATGCACTGTTAGATTGTTTATTTGAAGTTTTTCTTCTTTCTTGATGTAGGCACTTATAGCTATAAACTTTCCTCTTAGTACTACTTTTGCTGTGTCTCATAGGTTTTCATATGTTGTATTTCAATTATCATTTGTTTCAAGAAAAATTTCAATTTACTTCTTAATTCCTGCATTAACCCACTGGTCCTTCAGGAACATATTGTTTAATTTTTATTTATTCATACAGTATATAGTTTACAAAATTTCTCATTATTAATTTCTTTTATTTGTTTATTTATTTACTTTTTTGAGATGGAGTCTTGTTGTGTCACTCAGGCTAGAGTGCAGCGGTATGATCTCGCCTTTACTGCAACCTCCGCCTCCCAGATTCAAGCGATTCTCATGCCTCAGCTTCCCAAGTAGCTGTGATTACAGGTGCGTGACACCAGCATGGCTATTTTTTTTTTCGTATTTTTAGTAGAGACAGGGTCTCACCATGTTGGCAAGGCTGCTCTCTAACTCCTGACCTCAAGTGGTCTGCCCACCTCAGCCTCCCAAAGTGCTGGGAATACAGGTGTGAGGACAGTGCCCAACCCTTATTAATTTCTAGTATGTTTCCATTGTGATCAGAGAAGATTCTCAATATTATTTCAATTTCTTGAATATCTTAAGACTTGTTCTGTGACCTAACATATGGTCTATCATTGAGAATGATCCATGTTCTGATGATACAACTGTGTATTCTGAAGCTCTTGGGTAAAATGTTCTGTAGATATCTATTAGATTTATTTGGTCTATAGCGCAGATTAAGTCTGATGTTTCTTCATTGATTTTCTGTCTGGAAGGTCTGTCCAATGCTGAAAGTGGGGTCTTGAAATCTCCAGCTATTATTCTATTTGGGTCTATCTTTCTCTTTCTCTTTAACAATATTTCCTTTATATATCTGGGTGCTCCACTTGGGGGTGCATATACATTTAAAATTGTTATATTCTCTTGCTGAATTGACCCCATTACCATTATATAGTAAGCTTATTTGTGTCTTTTTACAGTTTTTCTCATGAAATGTATTTTTCTTTTTTTTATTATTATACTTTAAGTTTTAGGGTACATGTGCACAATGTGCAGGTTAGTTACATATGTATACATGTACCATGCTGTTGTGCTGCACCCATTAACTCGTCATTTAGCATTAAGTATATCTCCTAATGCTATCCCTCCCCCCAACCCCACCCCACAACAGTCCCCAGAGTGTGATGTTCCCCTTCCAGTGTCCATGTGTTCTTACTATTCAATTCCCACCTATGAGTGAGAACATGCACTGTTTGGTTTTTTGTCCTTGCGATAGTTTACTGAGAATGATGATTTCCAATTTCATCCATGTCCCTACAAAGGACATGAACTCATCATTTTTTATGGCTGCATAGTATTCCATGGTGTATATGTGCCACATTTTCTTAATTCAGTCTATCATTATTGGACATTTTGGTTGGTTCCAAGTCTTTGCTATTGTGAATAGTGCCACAATAAACATACGTGTGCATGTCTTTATAGCAGCATGATTTACAGTCCTTTGGGTATATACCCAGTAATGGGATGGCTGGGTCAAATGGTATTTCTAGTTCTAGATCCCTGAGGAATCGCCACACTGACTTCCACAATGGTTGAACTAGTTTACAGTCCTACCAACAGTGTAAAAGTGTTCCTATTTCTCCACATCCTCTCCAGCACCTGTTGTTTCCTGACTTTTTAATGATTGCCATTCTAACTGGTGTGAGATGCTATCTCATTGTGGTTTTGATTTGCATTTCTCTGATGGCCAGTGATGATGAGCATTTTTTCATGTGTCTTTTGGCTGCATAAATGTCTTCTTTTAAGAAGTGTCTGTTCATATCCTTCGCCCACTTTTTGATGGGGTTGTTTGTTTTTTTCTTGTAAATTTGTTTGAGTTCATTGTAGATTCTGGATATTAGCCCTTTGTCAGATGAGTAGGTTGTGAAAATTTTCTCCCATTTTGTAGGTTGCCTGTTAACTCTGATGGTAGTTTCTTTTGCTGTGCAGAAGCTCTTTAGTTTAATTAGATCCCATTTGTCAATTTTGGCTTTTGTTGCCATTGCTTTTGGTGTTTTAGACATGAAATCCTTGCCCATGCCTATGTCCTGAATGGTAATGCTTAGGTTTTCTTCTAGGGTTTTTATGGTTTTAGGTCTAACGTTTAAATCTTTAATTCATCTTGAATTAATTTTTGTATAAGGTGTAAGGAAGGGATCCAGTTTCAGCTTTCTACATCTGGCTAGCCAGTTTCCCCAGCACCATTTATTAAATAGGGAATCCTTTCCCCATTGCTTGTTTTTCTCAGATTTGTCAAAGATCAGATAGTTGTAGATATGCGGAGTTATTTCTGAGGGCTCTGTTCTGTTCCATTGATCTATATCTCTGTTTTGGTACCAGTACCATGCTGTTTTGGTGACTGTAGCCTTGTAGTATAGTTTGAAGTCAGCTAGTGTGATGCCTCCAGCTTTGTTCTTTTGGCTTAGGATTGACTTGGCGTTGCGGGCTCTTTTTTGGTTCCATATGAACTTTCAAGTAGTTTTTTCCAATTCTGTGAAGAAAGTCATTGGTAGCTTGATGGGGATAGCATTGAATCTATAAATTACCTTGGGCAGTATGGCCATTTTCACAATATTGATTCTTCCTACCCATGAGCATGGAATGTTCTTCCATTTCTTTGTATCCTCTTTTATTTTCTTGAGCAGTGGTTTGTAGTTCTCCTTGAAGAGGTCCTTCACGTCCCTTGTAAGTTGGATTTCTAGTTATTTTATTCTCTTTGAAGCAATTGTGTATGGGAGTTCACTCATGATTTGGCTCTCGGTTTGTCTGTTATTGGTGTATAAGAATGCTTGTGATTTTTGTACATAGATTTTGTATCCTGAGACTTTGCAGAAGTTGCTTATCAGCTTAAGGAGATTTTGGGTTGAGACAATGGGGTTTTCTAGATATACAATCATGTCATCTGCAAACAGGGACAATTTGACTTCTTTTTTTCCTAATTGAATACCCTTCTCCTGCCTAATTGCCCTGGCCACAACTTCCAACACTATGTTGAATAGGAGTGGTGAGAGAGGGCATCCCTGTCTTGTGCCAGTTTTCAAAGGGAATGCTTCCAGTTTTTGCCCATTCAGTATGATATTGGCTGTGGGTTTGTCATAGATACCCCTTATTATTTTGAGATACGTCCCATCAAAACCTAATTTATCGAGAGTTTTTAGCATGCAGGGTTGTTGAATTTTGTCAAAGGCCTTTTCTGCATGTGTTGAGATAATCATGTGGTTTTTGTCTTTGATTCTGTTTATATGGTGGATTACATTTATTGATTTGCTTATATTGAACCAGCCTTGCATCCCAGGGATGAAGCCCACTTGATCATGGTGGATAAGCTTTTTGATGTGCTACTGGATTTGGTTTGCCAGTATTTTATTGAGGATTTTTGCATCAATGTTCATCAAGGATATTGGTCTAAAATTCTGTTTTTTTGTTGTGTCTCTGCCAGGCTTTGGTATCAGGACGATGCTGGCCTCATAAAATGAGTTAGGGAGGATTCCCTCTTTTTCTGTTGATTGGAGTAGTTTCAGAAGGAATGGAACCAGTTCCTCCTTGTCCCTCTGGTAGAATTTGGCTGTGAATCCATCTGGACCTGGACTCTTTTTGGTTGGTAAGCTATTGATTATTGCCACAATTTCAGAGCCTGTTATTGGTCTATTCAGAGATTCAACTTCTTCCTGGTTTAGTCTTGGGAGGGTGTATGTGTCAAGGAATTTATCCATTTCTTCTAGATTTTCTAGTTTATTTGTGTAGAGGTGTTTGTAGTATTCTCTGATGGTAGTTTGTATTTCTGTGGGATCGGTGGTGATATCCCCTTTATCATTTTTTATTGCATCTATTTGATTCTTCTCTCTTTTCTTCTTTATTAGTCTTGCTAGTGGTCTATCAATTCTGTTGATCCTTTCAAAAAACCAGCTCCTGGATTCATTAATTTTTTGAAGAGTTTTTTGTGTCTCTATTTCCTTCAGTTCTGCTCTGATTTTAGTTATTTCTTGCCTTCTGCTAGCTTTTGAATGTGTTTGATCTTGCTTTTCTAGTTCTTTTAATTGTGATGTTAGGGTATCAATTTTGGATCTTTCCTGCTTTCTCTTGTGGGCATTTAGTGCTATAAATTTCTCTCTACACACTGCTTTGAATGTGTCCCAGAGATTCTGGTATGTTGTGTCTTTGTTCTCGTTGGTTTCAAAGAAAATCTTTATTTCTGCCTTCATTTTGTTATGTACCCAGTAGTCATTCAGGAACAGGTTGTTCAGTTTCCATGTTGTTGAGCGGTTTTGAATGAGTTTCTTAATCCTGAGTTCTAGTTTGACTGCACTGTGGTCTGAGAGACAGTTTGTTATAATTTCTGTTCTTTTACATTTGCTGAGGAGAGCTTTACTTCCAAGTATGTGGTCAGTTTTGGAATAGGTGTAGTGTGGTGCTGAAAAAAATGTATAGTCTGTTGATTTGGGGTGGAGAGTTCTCTGGATGTCTATTAGGTCCACTTGGTGCAGAGCTGAGTTCAATTCCTGGGTATCGTTGTTAACTTTCTGTCTCACTGATCTGTCTAATGTTGACAGTGGGGTGTTAAAGTCTCCCATTATTATTGTGTGGGAGTCTAAGTCTCTTTGTAGGTCACTCAGGACTTGCTTTATGAATCTGGGTGCTCCTGCATTGGGTGCATATATATTTAGGATAGTTAGTTCTTCTTGTTGAATTGATCCCTTTACCATTATGTAATGGCCTTCTTTGTCTCTTTTGATCTTTGTTGGTTTAAAGTCTGTTTTATCAGAGACTAGGATTGCAAACCCTGCCTTTTTTTGTTTTCCGTTTACTTGGTAGATTTTCCTCCATCCTTTTATTTTGAGCCTATGTGTGTCTCTGCACGTGATATGGGTTTCCTGAATACAGCACACTGATGGGTCTTGACTCTTTATCCAATTTGCCAGTCTGTGTCTTTTAATTGGAGCATTTAGTCCATTTACATTTAAAGTTAATATTGTTATGTGTGAATTTGATTCTGTCATTATGATGTTAGCTGGTTATTTTACTCGTTAGTTGATGCAGTTTCTTCCTAGCCTCAATGGTCTTTACAATTTTGTATGATTCTGCAGTGACTGGTACTGGTTGTTGCTTTCCATGTTTAGTGCTTCCTTCAGAAGCTTTTTTAGGGCAGGCCTGGTGGTAACAAAATCTCTCAGCATTTGCTTGTCTGTAAAGTATTTTATTTCTCCTTCACTTATGAAGCTTAGTTCGGCTGGATATGAAATTCTGGGTTGAAAATTCTTTTCTTTAACAATGTTGAATATTGACCCCCACTGTCTTCTGGCTTGTAGAGTTTCTGCCGAGAGATCCGCTGTTAGTCTGATGGACTTCCTTTTGTGGGTAACCCGACCTTTCTCTCTGGCTGCCCTTAACATTTTTTCCTTCATTTCAACTTTGGTGAATCTGACAATTATGTGTCTTGGAGTTGCTCTTCTCGAGGAGTATCTTTGTGGTGTTCTCTGTATTTCCTGAATCTGAACGTTGGCCTGCCTTGCTAGATTGGGGAAGTTCTCCTGGATAATATCCTGCAGAGTGTTTTCCAACTTGGTTCTATTCTTCCCGTCACTTTCAGGTACACCAGTCAGATATAGATTTGGTGTTTTCACATAGTTCCATACTTCTTGGAGGCTTTGTTCATTTCTTTTTATTCTTTTTTCTCTAAACTTCCCTTCTCACTTCATTTCATTCATTTCATCTTCCATCACTGATACCCTTTCTTCCAGTTGATCACATCAGCTCCTGAGTCTTCTGCATTCTTCATGTAGTTCTCAAGCCTTGGCTTTTAGCTCCATCAGCTCCTTTAAGCACTTCTCTGTATTGGTTATTCTAGTTATACATTCGTCTAAATTTTTTTCAAAGTTTTTAACTTCTTTGCCTTTGGTTTGAATTTCCTCCTGTATCTCGGAGTAGTTTGATCATCTGAAGCCTTCTTCTCTCAACTTGTCAAAGTCATTCTCCATCCAGCTTTGTTCTGTTGCTGTGAGGAACTGTGTTCCTTTGGAGGAGGAGAGGTGCTCCGCTTTTTCGAGTTTCCAGTTTTTCTGCTCTTTTTTCCTCATCTTTGTGGTTTTATCTACTTTTGGTCTTTGATGATGGTGATGTACAGATGGGTTTTTGGTGTGGATGTCCTTTCTGTTTGTTAGTTTTCCTTCTAACAGACAGGACCCTCAGCTGCAGGTCTGTTGGAGTTTGCTAGAGGTCCACTCCAGACCCTGTTTGCCTGGGTATCAGCAGCGGTGGCTGCAGAACAGTGGATTTTCGTGAACCGTGAATGCTGCTGTCTGATCGTTCCTCTGGAAGTTTTGTCTCAGAGGAGTACCCAGCCGTGTGAGATGTCAGTCTGCCCCTACTGGGGGGTGCCTTCCAGTTAGGCTGCTCGGGGGTCAGGGGTCAGGGACCCACTTGAGGAGGCAGTCTGCCTATTCTCAGATCTCCAGCTGCATGCTGGGAGAACCACTGCTCTCTTCAAATCTGTCAGACAGGGACATTTAAGTCTGCAGAGGTTACTGCTGTCTTTTTGTTTGTCTGTGCCCTGCCCCCAGAGGTGGAGCCTACAGAGGCAGGCAAGCCTCCTTGAGCTGTGGTGGGCTCCACCCAGTTCGAGATTCACAGCTGCTTTGTTTACCTAAGCGAGCCTGGGCAATGGTGGGTGCCCCTCCCCCAGCCTTGCTGCCGCCTTGCAGTTTGATCTCAGACTGCTGTGCTAGCAATCAGTGAGTCTCCATGGGTGTAGGACCCTCTGAGCCACGTGCGGGATATAATCTCCTGGTGCACCGTTTTTTAAGCCTGTTGGAAAAGTGCCGTATTAGGGTGGGAGTCACCCAATTTTCCAGGTGCCATCTGTCACCCCTTTCTTTGACTGGGAAAGGGAACTCCCTGACCCCTTGCTCTTCCTGAGTGAGGCAATGCCTCGCCCTGCTTCGGCTCGTGCATGGTGCGCTGCATCCACTGTCCTGCACCCACTGTCTGGCACTCCCCAGTGAGATGAACACTGTACCTCAGATGGAAATGCAGAAATCACCTGTCTTCTGCATCGCTCACACTGGAAGCTGTAGACCAGAGCTGTTCCTATTTGGCCATCTTGGCTGCCAGACCTGTGAAATCAATTTTTCTTACAAAAGTATAGTGACTCCTACTCTTCTTAGTTTCTATTGTCACAAAATAACTTTCTCCTTCCCTTTATTTTCAGTCTATGTGGATCTGTATAGGTGAAGTGTGTTTCTTATAGGCAATAGAGCAATGGGTCTTGTTTTTAAATCCATTCAGCCACTCTATGTCTTTTGATTGGAGAGTTTAGTCCATTTACCTTCAATGTTATTATTAATAAGTAAGGACTTAGTCCTGCCATTTTGGTATTTGTTTGCTGGTTGTGAACTCCTCTACCTTGTTTTTCTCCTTCCGGCCTTCCTTTAGCGAAAGTGATTTTCTCTGGTGATAAAATTTTGTTTCTTTCTTTTAATTTTTTGTGTGTCCATTGTATGTTTTTGGGTTTGAGGTTACCATGACGTTTGCAAATACCATCTTATAACCCATTATTTAAATCTGATAACAAAACTATTTGCATAAACAAACAAGCACAAAGTATACTGATAAAAACCCAATGCTTTAATTTTGTCTTCCCACTTTTTAACTTTTTGTTATTTCTATTTATATCTTACTGTACTGTTTCTTGAAAAGTTGTTGTAGTTATTATTTTTGATTGGTTCATCATTTGGTGTTACTACTTAGGGTAAAAGTAGTTTATACACCAGAGCTACAGTGTTATAATATTCTGTCTTTTTCTGCGTACTGATTATTATCAGTGTGTTTTTAAACATCTGATGATTATTTATTGCTCACTAATGTTCTTTTCTTACTGAATGTTCTGTTCTTTCTAATGTTCTTCTCTTTATATACAATTTCTTGTGAGACAGGTCTAATATTAATGAAATCCCTCAGCTCTTGTCAGGGAAAGTATTCTTCCTTCATGTTTGAAGAATATTTTTGCCAGATATAATATTCTACTGTAAAAGGTTTTTCTCCTTCAGTACTTTAAATATGTCATGCCACTGTCTGCGAGGTTTTCACTGAAAGAATCTGCTGTCAGATGTATTGGATCTTCATTGTATGTTATTTATTTCTTTTCTCTTGCTGCTTTTACATTTCTTTCTCCTTGACCTTTGGTAGTTTGATTTTAAATGCCTTGAGATACTCTTTGGGTTAAATCTGCTTGGTGTTCTACAACTTTCCTGTACTCAGATACTGACATCATTCTCTGGTATGGGGAAGTTCTCTCTTACTATTCCTTTAAATAAATTTTCTACCCCTGTCTCTTTCCCTACCTTCTCTTTAAGGCCAACAATTCTTAGATTTGCCCTTTCAAGGCTATTTTCTATATTCGGTAGATGCGCTTTGTTGTTTTTATTATTTTTCTTTTGTATCTTTTGACAGTGTCTTTTTAAATAGCCTGTCTTCAGGCTGACTAATTCTTTTTTCTGCTTGGTCAATTCTGCTATTAAAGGACTCTGATGCATTCTTCATTATGACAATTGCATTTTTCAGCTGCAGAATTTCTGATTCTTTTTAACTATTTCAATCTCTTTGTTAAATTTATCTGATATAATTCTGAATTCCTTCTCTGTGTTATCTCTGTGTTATCAAAGTTTCTTTAAGTTTCCTCATTGCAGCTATTTTGAACTCTCTTTCTGAAAGGTCACATATCCCCATTTCTTCAGGATTGGTCCCTGGTGACTTATTTAGTTCATTCGCTGAGGTCATGTTTTTCTCAATGGTGTTGATGCTAGTAGATGTTCTTCGGTGTCTGAGCACTGAAGAGTTAGGTGTTTGTTGTAGTCTTCACTGTCTGGGCTTATTTGTAGCCATCCTTTTTGGGAACGCTCTGCAGATATTTGAAAGGACATAGGTATCGTGATTTAAACTCTCTACTTTAGGGAGCATCCCAAGCCCAGTAATACTGTGGTTTTTGAAGACTCATAAAAGTACTGCCTCAATGGCCTTGGACATGATTCAGGAGAATTCTCTGGATTGCCAGGCAGAGACTGCTCTGTTTTCTTCCCTTAATTTCTTGAAAAAAAAAAAAAAATTTCTCTCTCTTGTCTGTGCCACCTAAAACTGGGGGTGGAGTGACATAAGCACTTCTGTGGCCACCACCATTATGACTGCACTACATCAGGCCTGAGGCCCACAGAGCACTGCATCTTGCCCAATGCCTGCTGTAATCACTTCTTGGCTACTGCCTATGTTTGCTCAAGGCCCTGGAGATCTGCAATCAGCAGGCAGCAAAGCCGGCCAGGCCTGTGTCCTTCCCATCAGGGCAGTGAGATCCCCCAGGCCCTGGGTGGATACAGAGGTGCTGTCCAGAAGTCAGGGACTAGAGTCAAAAACATTAGACGAGTACCTGGTGTTCTATTATATTGCAGTCGAGCTGACGTTCAAACCACAAGATGAAGTCCTTCCCACTTTTCTCTTCTCTTTCCAAAGGCAGAGGAGCCACACCCCATAGTGACCCCTACCCACTGGTTGCTAGACTACCAACCAGTGTTCTCTTAAAGCCAAAGGGCTCTTAAATCAGCTTGTAGTAAAGGCTGCCTTGCCTGGGACTCACCCTTCAGGGCAGTGGGCTCCCTTGTGGCCCATGGTAGGTCCAGAAATGCTGTTCAAGAGCTAAGTCCTGCAATTGGGTATGCCAAGAGCCCACTTGCTGCTCTACCATGCTGTGGCTGTGCTGGCACCTAAGGTGCAAAACAAAGTCTCTTTACTCTCCTTCCATTTTTCTGAAGAAGAAAGAATCTTGCCTCATAGCTGCCTCAGCTGAAATGTGCTGAGTCTCACCTGAAACCTGCTAGTCTCAGATGCTCATCCAAAGCCCTCAGTGTATTAATAGTACCTGGGTATTGCTTAGGTTATTCAGGGCTCAAGGTATCTTCAATTAACAGGTGGTGAATGCTCTGAGGAATGAATTCTTTCCTTCAATGCAGAGGTTTCCCTTCTGGCCCAGCCTATGTCTAGAAATGTTGTCTAGGAGCAGTGGCCTGGAACGGGGGCCTCACAACTCTGTTTGGTGCCTTATCCTCTTGTGGCTCAGCTGATATGCAAAGACAAAGTCTTCCTTACTGTTTCTTTCCATTCCTCCAGCAGAAGGAAGGAGTCTCTTTGGGAGCTGCGAGATATGCAACCTGGAGTTGGGGGAGGGGTGATAACAGCACTCCTTTGGCTGACCCAGCTGGTGTCTCAGTATGTCAAATATCCCCCTAGTCCACAATTTCTGGGACTTATTCAGCACTGGACTCACCTAAGAGTTGCAGTCCTTATGGCTTAGACTGCCTTTCAAGTTTACTTGGAAACACAGAGAACTGTAGGCCCCCTGTGGTGAGGTTTTCAGGCACTGAAGTTCTTACTGCTGGGATTGCTGATTCCTCTCAGGTTAGGACTGGCTTAAATGCTCCCTCTGCCTCCAGGGGCAGGTGTCAGCTGAGTTTGATCTAGTTTTCCTTTGTGTCTAACATAACAACAATGAGTTCAGTGCCTCATAATTGCTGTGTTCTTCCTTCCCCCCCGTGCCCAGAGATAGACTGTGCACCACATGACTGCTACTGAGGTTGGGAGGGAGGGGGGTTGGTGATTCAGGACTGTTTTTTTCCATCTCTTCAGTGCCTCTTTTAGGGATATGAAGTCCAAACCGGGTACTATGAGTGCTCACTTGATTTTTGGTTCTCATGAAGGTATTTTTTCTGTGTAGTTGTTAACTTGGGGCCTTGTGGGGTATGGGGAAATGATTAGTGGAGCCTTCTATTCTGCCATTTGCTTTGCTTCTCCTCCCCATTATAAACTATTTAAAAAATATTTAATAGCTTAAGAAATTACTTAAGTAATACTCAGTATAGAAATAAAATATGTGGTCTCTCAGCTATCCACAGTGTGCTGTCAATTATGGAATAAAAAATACGTATTGAGTAGTTTAAATGGACCATTTTTTTAAAAGGATGATTAGTTTACTGTAAACTCTATAAACTTTCATATAGATTTAACAAATTAATCATTTACAATTATAAATATGTAAAAATTCTTTGATTATGTGAACAACTTTTGGTTCAAAAAGTAGAGTAACTAAAAGTATAAAATTCAATGCCTTACACAGCAAGCATGTGCAGATAGTAGAAAATCCTAATTGATAATTTTTAATATGTCGTCTGGAGTAGATGATTTAGGTTTGTAAGAAGTTATAAACTGCCTAAGGGTAGGGAATCACTGTCTATGGAATCATGGTGTCATTAAAAGAATTCGATATTCGGCCTCATATTCCAGACATTGCCAATGGTTAGTTTTGTGACTTGAGGGAAGACATTTACTTTTTTGTCAGCAACAGCTTCCTTATTTGTGTAAAAATAACTCTTGTTTTTCTCATGTCATAAATGATTACAATTTGAAGTTGCTTTCACTTCCAGAAAGTGGGTAAAGACTTTTTTTTCTTTTTAATTAGAGAGAGTATCTCACCCTGTTGCCCAGGCTGAAGTGCAGTGGTGAAATACCTCACTGCGATCTCAAATTTCTGGGCTCAAGCAATCTTTTCATCTCAGTCTCCTGAGTAGTTGGTACTATAGACACATGCCCCTATATGTGGCTAATTAAAAACCAAAAATTTAAAGATGAGTTTTATTAGGTTGCCCAGGCTCATATCAAATTTCTGCCCTCAAGCAATCCTTCTGCCTCAGACTCCCAAGTAGCTGGTATTACCGGTGTAAGCCACTGCACCCAGGATAAAAATTTTATAACATATTTTCCCATTTTTTAATCTCAATGTTTTCAAAATATAATATAGATCAGACTCTTTTAGATAGCTTTTTATAAGATACAGATTGCCAGGCACTTTGGGAGCCTCTGATTTACCTGATCTGGAAAAGTTCTTGTATTGTTAACAAGCAAGCCCAATTGATCTTGAAGTAGATGGTGTGAGGAACACACATTGAAAACAATGTTTGTCTCTATTCCTCTACAAAGCTAATTCCAGTCCCCCTGAAACTTTTCTCCACTAATTGCTTTTTCTTCTTATACTTACAATACCCTTCCCTCTTGCTCCACTTTAGACAACCAGAGGACAAGGTATATGAAACCCAGTTCTCATTATTACAGTAACTTTCTTGAGGCATTCTTGTCTTTTTCCAACCCACAAATGGTTGAAAGTATTAGGCCAGGTATTTTGCCTTGAAACCAAACTTTCCAACTCTTTGTTTGCTCTGCTAACTTGTTTTAAATAAGGCTGCAGCTGTGCTATTTTTGCCAACTCTAGAAAATTGACTTAATATTGTTCTAGAATACTCTTTCAGCTATAACAAGTTATGTATAAATCAAAAGCTTCTTGTGTAAAACTTCTTATAATTGTAGAGGCTGCTCAATACAGAACATGGTCTCAGTCCTCCTCTGGTCCACAAAGCCTCTGACTTCCTGTCTACGGACAGAACATCTGGTTTAATCTACAGGAACCCATAACTTCCTGAAGCTTTATGCTAAACAGTGACAGCGTGAGTCAATTGAATTTTAGTGTGTCTGAGTCCATAGAGTGTTAGCTACAGAAACCTTTCCATTGCCATTCTGAGCAAGTGCAGCAGGCAGTGTGCCTACAGCTCTGCAAAGAAACTTCAGGTAAGCAGAATTGTTTAGAACAGCCTTTTTTTCTTGGCATTTCAATTAATTAGGATTCTTGTTCTCAATCATTTGTATTTGTTAATTTATTTCTTTTCCCCTGAAAACCCTTGGAATGAGCACTCACCAGGGTCTCAATGTTGAGAACAAATTCTTCAAAACCTTTTAGGTACCTGAAGCTGGAAAATACTTTAGAAAAAGCCAGTGTGTAGCCTTTTGAATTTGTAAAATGTCCAAATGCTTTCCTTGAATTATAAATTATCAATATGCTTAAACATTTCTCTAACAACCTCTAGATCTCCAGGGTAATATAGTTACCAAAAAGAAAAAAAATCAGTATTCTCCTTGCCTCCAATCCTGCTTCTAGAGTATTACTTATTTGCATAGAAAAATCTTCCTTCTTCCTTCTGTGTCATGTGGCTGGAATAAAACAATGCTTTTCTGTTGCCCTCTGCCAAATTTCTCTGCATTCGTTGAAATATTTGGCACCTGACATCCTAATTTTTCTCTTCAGCCAACTTCTGCTACATCCTGTTCATGTCTGTGATACCTGAAGCTCCCATTCCCTTCTTGGCTCCTACTCTATTGACTTGGAGTTGATGCCAACAGTCATACATGCCAAACTGATCTACTTCTGAATACCTCTGAAATCTCAACCTCTAATAGCCTAATATCTGACTCCAGTCTCCTATTTGTAAGTACATTTTCCCCTGTCTATTAACATTGCTATTCTTTGACTTCATCAAGTACTTTCGTCCCTTGCTTTTTCTATATTTTCTCACTTTATTGGTCTCCAACCTACTTTACTTTTTTCTTCTCTATCTTAGATGTGAGTTTCAATCCCTCATTACTATGTTCTCAAATGCTTTGTCCCTTATCTTTTTTGTTATCCAGCCCTGAAAAAGCCAATCTTGGTTTGTTTTAATTTGTCTTCTGTGCTTCTACTTTTAGGGTGCTGAGCTTAATATACTGTTGAGTAACACTTCCAGTGATGGTGTCCCTCTTTACATGATCCTAAGCATGCTTGCCAGTCCTTGCTAATTCTAGTCCACTGTTTCTCCCATTAACATCAAAAGCCATTTATACCCTAACCATTTCCCCTAACATCCTACTTCTTTTTCTGAACACTTTCTTGGCATACTCCCTCACCCACTCACTTCTAAAAAGTGATTTTGGGAATAGGAAGAAATTTTACCTCTTCCAGGAAATAGACATTCAAAAATAACTTGCCAACTCTATGCTCCTTTTTTCTAACCCTGTGTACTCCTGTATACAATTAGTCCTTACTTAACATTGTCAATAGGTTCTTGGAAACTGCAACATCAAATGAAACAACACATATCAAAATTATTTTTACCATAAGCTAATTAATATAAAGAAGAGTTAAGTTCCTACAGCATATTTCTGGTGACAAAAACATCACCAAACTTATAAAGAACTGAAGCACTTCTAATATAAAACAATGCAATAAATGTAAGCTGTATATACATTTAAGAAATATTGATACAAACAAGTAAGATAATTATTTACCTGATTTTTGTTGCGTTGATGTGTGATGGTGATCACAGTGGTGGTGAGTTAAATTGAGAAATAAATGTTTGCAAAGCAAAAGGTGTAAGAAGCAACTCTTGTATCTATGAATTTAAAAATCCATCACAAATATGATGGGCTCGCTGAGTCCTTTTGCACAGCATTGTTTATTGTCATGCATTTGTATCATTATCATAGACTTTATGAATTTTTGTTTTATTATGAATGTTTCATTCATTCATTTTTCAACTGCCTTATTGCAGTTCAGCGGAGCAAGTGGCTGAAGCCTATCCTGGTAGCTCAGAGCACAAGGCAGGAACCCACCCTGGACTGGAAACCCTTCCATCCTGGGGACACACGTGCACACACACACATACACACTCTCTCTCTCACACACACACAAACACACTCATCCTGTGAAAATTTAGACATGTCAATATACTAATGTACACATTTTTGAGATGTGAGAGGAAATGGGATTATCCAGAGAAAGTCCACACAGACATGAGGAGGACAGGCAAACTGCACATAGACAGTGGTCCAGCCAGGAACTGTTTTTTTTCTCTTCACCATTATAATGAAAAGATATTGAACAAAATGACATTATTTGATGACCTGCTGTATACCTACATACATACATTTGCATCTGCATCCATCCTAAATTTTTTTGACTTCTCACTGGAAGAAGTATTCTTCCTGTTCAAAACTTAATTTAACAAGTATGCTGATAATTATGGTTGATGATTACATGAATTAGTCAACATAAATAAGCTGAAATAGTGGCTGGCATTTTGTACATAAGGTCATTGAATTTCTGTCACCTTTCTATGTCCTGTTAGACACATTGGCCTATCAATGACTTACATCTTACCTCTTGTAGTTAGTATAGGTATGCTTAACTCTCATCTAATAAGAGAAATGCCTTTCTTTGAGCTCTTGTACCTCTCTTCTTCCCCTTGATACTCTCGTGTTCTTCTTTCTTTTCTGGTCAAGCTCTTTCAAAAAGTTACCTTCACTTCCTCACATTTCATTTAGTCTCCAATCCCCATAATCTGATTTCTTCTCCTGTCCATGTCTCTTACAAAGTCGGTAATCAACTCCTAACTTCAAAATGCACTGCCGCCTTTAGTACTCATCTCTTTTAGCTTCTCAGCAACCTTTGACTGCTTTGGTCACTCTTTCCTTGAAGGTTTCTCTTATTTTGACTTCCAAGGTCATTCTCTTATTTTTCACATTCTTTTTTTTTTTTTTTGCCATGTTTCCGATCTCTTCTACTGGCTCCTTTTCCTCTCGATTTTGTTAAAAAACACCTGATCCAATAGTCACTCTCTTATAATCCTCCATTATAATATATTGAAGAATATATTATATTATATTAGACTATTGCATCATGTTGACCCATAAACCTTCTACTGCCTTGGCACCTTGGAGTGAATTGAAACTAGGTGTCTCTCATTGGTGAGAGCAGAACCAGAGTCCAGCCATGGAGGGAAGCTAACGGTGAAATGGAAGCGGGTGGGAGAGCATATGCTATTGGTAGAGGCAACAGGCCATTTACAACCTTTTTTTAATCCACATTTTTGTGCACCCCCTATAGGTTACATATCCAATATTCATTGCAAAAAAACCTACTATAAAGCATTTTCTTCTGCTTTGAAAGTTTCTGTTAGCAGCCACGTGTTTTCTCAGAAACTTGGCTATGCCAGGAGCAAAGAGACTTAATGCTCAGTCTTTGAGGAAAAGCATTCTAAAAACCACATTTCTAACCTTCACTGACTCTATTTGTTCATTCACTGAACAAAAGCTTATTAATTTTTCCACTATGCTAAGTGCTGAGCTTGATGCTTGAGTCACAATAAAGAGCAAGACATAATATCACTTACCAAGGAGATTACTCTCCTCTGGGGAAATATGCTACCAAAGTCTGCAGAATGCGCAGATTTCTGTGCCATTTTGTTACTGCACCCATGATCTTAGACAGTGACAGAAACAGATGAGCTTGTTCTAGATCTGTGGTTTGCCTCAAAATGTCTATTTTGTGCCAATAGGTTTATTCAAGCAACTTACATATAGTCCATCTTTGAAGCTGCAGTTTTCTTCATTTATGTTTCTGTCCAGTGGAATGGTCACCTTCACTGGATTTAAAGGTTTTTAAAATTTCCTTCAGAACCTTGTATATACACAAATTACCACCATGCTAAACACTTCACACACCTTTTCTGGCAAGGAAATCCTCATGACAACCTACAATGTAGATATTACTATCCCCATTTTATAGATAATGCAACTGAGGCAGAGAGGCTCAAATAATTTGACCTACCTAAGGTGACCCAGATAGCCAGAAGAGGAGCCAGGGGTGGAATTTTGGTTTGTTTGATTCCAAAGCCCATGTTGTTAACCACTTTGCTTCCATTTGTATTGATTTTGGCTATATACTTATGAAGGAGGCCAGCCCCTCCACACCTGTGGGTATTTCTCATCAGGTAGGATAAGAGACTGAGAAAAGAAATAAGACACAGAGACAAAGTACAGAGAAAGAAAAGTGGGCCCGGGGGGCCGGTGCTCAGCATACTGAGGACCCGAACCAGCACCGGTCTCTGAGTTCCCTCAGTATTTATTGATTACTATTTTCACTATCTCAGCAAGGGGAATGTGGCAGGAGAACAGGGTGATAGTGGGGAGAAGGTCAGCAAGAAAACATGTTAGCAAAGAAATCTGTGTCACAAATAAGTTCAAGGGAAGGTACTATGCCTGGATGTGCACGTGGGCCACATGTATGCTTCTCTCCACCCAGACATCTCAGTGGAGTAAAGAGTAATAGAGCAGCATTGCTGCCAGCATGTCTCACCTCCCGACACAGGGGAGTTTTTCTCCTATCTCAGAATAGAACAAATGTACAATCGGGTTTTATACCGAGACATTCAGTTCCCAGGGGCAGGCAGGGGACAGAGGCCTTCCTCTTATCTCAACTGCAAGAGGCCTTCCTCTATGAATCCTTCTTCTGCACAGACTCTTCACGTATGTCGGGCTGGGGGATGGTCCAGTCTTTCCCATTCCACGAGGCCATATCTCAGGCTATCACGTGGGGAGAACCTTGGACAATACCCGGCTTTCCTGGGCAGAGGTCCCTGCGGCTTTCAGCAGTGCATTGTGCCCCTGCTTCCTAGAGAATGGAGAATGGTGATGACTTTTACCCAGCATACTGCCTGTAAACATATTGTTAACAAGGCACATCTTGTACAGCCCTGGATCCCTTAAACCTTGATTCCATACAACACATGTTTCTGTGAGCTCAAGGTTGGGGCTAAAGTTACAGACTAACAGCATCTCAAGGCAAAACAATTGTTCACGGTACAGGTCAAAATGGAGTTTCTTATGTCTTCCTTTTCTACAAAGATACAGTAACAGTCTGATATCTCTTTCTTTTCCCTACATATCCCCCTTTTCTTTTTGACAAAACTGCCATCGTCATTATGGCCCGTTCTCGCTGGTTGCTGCCTCTTTGGAGCTGTTGGATACACCTGTAGACTAACAAGAGACAGAACAGACATACAAGGATTAATATGAAATTTACAATAGTGGAACTTCTGATGGTTTTAACCTAAGTGACGGGGTTAAGCTTTGTGAGGCCATCAGCAGCTTTTACAATTGCCTCAGTTTTTGGCACCAAATTTAAATGGGCTTTTGTTGTCTTAAAAATTTGTTTTTGAAATTTTGAAATATTTAAAGTAAGATTATCTTCTCTTCCTTGTAGATGGCATCTAACTATGTCTCAGTGATGCTCAGACTCATTATAGGCTTGGGGTATAATGCAAAAATCTGATGTATTTTAGTCACACTGTAACTGAAAAAGATATTCCAAGCTCATGAGCCTATCTTCCTTTCAAATGACGGTTTGTCTAAGATCATTAATTTGGTTTGCCAATTTTTTATCTATTTGGGTCTGAGAATTTCACAATTTTGAGGAATTCTTTTGCCAATTATTTACGTATTCTGCAGTTTGAACAGAGGAGTGTAAAGAAATTCCAGCAGCTGCAGCAGTAGCTGTGACTGCAATGGGACCCACAATCACTGCAATCAAAGTAAAAATGAATCCTTTGGATCTAGTTAGAAATCGTTTTAATACTTCTGCTAAAAGATGGACAGATGGGGAAGCCTCCTGCAGTCAGTCCATGGACACAGGGATCTACACGCCCTCTCTTGCCCTCACCAGCAGAATACTGTGCTGCCAATCAAAAGTCGAATCAATGCAAGTAAGCAATCTACAGTTTTTACAGGTTACAATTTGGGAATCTGGTTTAATAAGTATGTTTCCTACAACTAGCATATAAAGGAGTTTTACACAACTTTGCAAAGGAATTGTCAGATTGGAATTTAGGTTAATAGTATAATATGGCCTACGATTTTTTGTTCCTATAGTTTGATTTGCAGACCAAATTCTAATGTGGTGCGAGGCCACAGTAAGCTTTCATCATTCTGGATGTTCAGGACCAGTAACAGGACTAATTAACTTTGGTCGAGGTGAGGAAATTCTCTTTTTACTCCATTTTAATGGATAGGGTGATTTTCACCTTTTATAAACCTGGTCCAGCTTTTTAAATTACTATCATAGGCCAGATTAATGGGCCAGATGGATGGGGCTTGTGAACATGAGTGAGTCTGGCCCATACAATTATAATATAATTGGCCTCGAGGGTCCCAGTCTGTAATAGTTACAAATTCATTGTTTTGTAATATCACCGCAGTATCAGCCACATATTCTTTCCAAACTAAGACTTTTAGGTCTTTTGATTCTTTGGGAATTTTTGGGGGGCAAGCCTTCCCCTTAGGCCTAAATTTTAATGATCTTTGATAAGAAGAATACTGTAAATTATTTATTTGTTGCCCGAGTGACATTCGACTTACCATGTGATAAGTATATCTACTGGTGGCACTGACAGTAGGTACTTCTACCAACCAATTTTGGGTTGTAGGCATTAAGCATCTGGGTGCCTTCCCTAGGCAAGTAGGAGGATAATGATATCCAATGGAAATATTTATCATCATTCCTTCTTTTTGTAGGTTTGGCAGGGCAACGATCATCTGTGGGGCCTGGTACCCATGCACTATTATTAACATATACTTTAGTAGGACTATCTATTCATGTGACTGCCCGAATTAAGGGCAGGAAAGGCACATGGTCCCAGTAAGTATAATAAGTTGCAGCTGCTCCTGAAGACATGGGGAGACTGACCACCATTGATACAGTCATCAAAGCTGCAAGCAGTATATTCTCTGGAGTTCACATTACCCTTGTTTTCTTCAGGCTTTTTCAGTATACTGTGTCAGCTTTTTGAACTGGGCCCAGGTCAGTGGCTCCACTTCCTTGCTGGATGGCAACTTCTTCTGTAAGTTGTAGGTATCTAAACTAGAAGCTGTTTTTTTCCTAGGGAAATACAAGCAATACCTCTCCCCCATGTTATCACCTTTCCTGTTGTTCATGTTTTATTTTTATTATTTTTTCACCAAATCAGTTTTCCTTTATGTGAACTGTCCTTTTTATCAGTAAAATGTTGTTCTGTAGAAGTACTTGTCGGATTTTTCTAAATGTTTAAAAAAATTAAAGTATAGAGTGCTAGATTAAGTTGCATCTGGGGAGTGTTATACTCTTACTGTCTTTTTCTTTTTTTTTGTTTCACCAAGTGTTATACTCTTACTGTCTTTTTCCTTTTTTTGTTTCACCAATTGAGCTTTGAGTGTTCTATTAGTTCTTTCAACTAGTGTCTGTCCTTGGGAATTATAAGGGATTCCTGTTGTATGTGTAATTTTTCACTGATTTAAGAATTTTTGAAATGTTTTACTACAGTATCCTGGCCCATTATCTGTTTTAATTTTTCCTGGAACTCCCATGACAGCAAAACAAGATAATAAACGTCTTTTAACATGGGAAGTACTTTTTCCTGTCTGGCAGGTTGCCCATACAAAATGTGAATAAGTATCAACTGTCACATGGACAAATGACAATTTTCCAAACGACAGTACATGTGTGACATCCATTTGCCATAATGCATTAGGACATAGAACTCTGGGATTAACTCCTACCTCCTGAGTGTGCAGGTTTAGGACTTGACATGGGTCCAGTGTTGTACAATATTTTTTGGCTGTTTTTATGGATATCAATTTTACTTTTTAATCCTGTTGCATTTACATGAGTCAAGGCATGAAGTTCTTATGCTTCTATGAATGCAGATGATACTAGCTAGTCAGCTTGTTCATTTGCTTCAGTTAAAGGCCCTGGTAAATTAATATGTGCTCAAATATGAGTAATATAAAATGGGAAATTTCTTTTTTTTACAGTGTTTTTGTAACAAATTAAACAGCTGGTTTAACTGATCATCAATACTATATTTGATTAGGGCTGTCTCACCATCCTTTGTAGCCTGTACTACATATGCAGAATCTGATACAATGTTAATAGGCTGATTAAAACCTTGTAACACTGAAATGACAGCAACCAACTCTGCTCTTTGAGCTGAGTAATATTGAGTTTCAATGACTCGTTCTTTTGGCCTGATGTAAGCTGCTTTTCCATGGCTGGAACCATCAGTAAACACCATCAGAGCATTCTGTAAATGTTTATGTCTGGTAATTTTAGGTAAAATCCAAGTAGCCAATTTTAAAAACTGGAAGATTTTTGTTTTTGGGTAATGATTGTCAATAATTTCCACAAAATTAGCAAGACCAATCTACCATGAAGCAGAATTGATAAAGGCTTTTCTAACCTGTTTCTTGATTAAAGAAAGAATGATTTTTTCTGGGTCACTTCCACACAATTTTAGTATTCGTAATCTCGCCTGACCAATTAATGTAGCTATTTGATCCCAGTACAATGTAAAAGTATTAATTGTACTGTGAGGAAGGAAGGACCACTCCACAAGACCTGCGTTTTGAACGATAACGGCTGTTGGAGAATGCACAGTAGCAAAAATCAAGCTGGAGTTGGGCCAAGGGATGTATTCTATTTACTTGTGCTCACTGAATTTTTTCTTCAACTAATCCAATTTCTTTAGTTGTCTCTGGAGTTAATGTTCTTTTACTATTCAATTCTGGATCCCCTCTCAAGACAGAGAACAAATTTGACATGGCATAAGTAGGGATGCCTAGAGTTGGCCAAATCCAATTAATATCTCCTAGCAATTTTTGAAAGTCATTTAATGTTTTTAATGTGTCTTTTCTTATTTCTATTTTTTGTGGTTTAATTTTCCTATCCTCTACCTGCACTCTGAAATAATGAAAAGGAGTAGAGGTCTCAATCTTATCAGATGCTATTGTCAGCCCTGTGTTTTAAACCTCTGTTTGCAGAAATGTGTAACAGCCAATTAATTTGTCTCTGGTTTTTGCAGCACACAAAATATCATCAACATAATGAATGATATAATAGTCTGAAAATTTGTCTCTAACTGGTTGAAGAGCTTGAGCTACAAAAGTCTGACAAATAGTTGGACTATTAAGCCTTCCCTGAGGCAACACTTTCCACTGAAACCTGGTGGCTGGTTCTTTATTATTTATGGCTGGTATAGTAAAAGCAAATTTTTCAAAATCCTGTTTTGCCAGAGGAGCGGTAAAAAAGCAATCCTTCAGATGAATTATAATTAAAGGCAAATCTTTGGGGATTATGGCCAGAGAGGGCAACCCAGTTGAGAGAGCCCCCCAGGGGTTGAATTACTGCATTGACAGCTCTTAAGTTGGTCAGCATGCCCCATCGGCTGGAATTTTTATGAATTACAAACACTGGAGAATCTAAGGAAAGAACATTGGTGAAACATGTCCTTTTTACAATAGTTTTTAAACTACTTTATGTAGCGCCCCCAACTATTCCTTAGGGAGCAGCCACTGTTTGACCCAGACGGGATGCTGCAGGGTGAGTCTGAATTGCTCCTTCACCATAGTGAACTGCAGGTTGGGCAATAATGGGTGCCACAAATGAGTCACAGTGAGCCTAGTTTCAGGCTCCCTCCTCCAGCACTCACTCGGCTGAGGAGGAGGTGGCCATCCTGGTTTTAGCCCCAAATGGCCCTGATGGTTCTGGACCTTTTTTTTCTAATTTTAATCTTTCAGGATATATTACCACCTGTAATTGATTGTAGCCAATATTTTGTGTTGACCAAGCCATTAAAGATCTGCTACACATTTACAATGTGAACTTTTCACACATTTCACAATTACAATGTGAAATGGCATGAATTTTTAAAAAATGAATGAATATAAGGGAAGCCAGTTCCTAATGATTCGGGTGTTAACATGGATTTTTGTGGATGCTTATTGGTCCCTTTTGCAACATAACTCTCAATGAGTAGCCCAATGAACCACCTTGGAAGCACTGGCCCCATCCTAAGTCCTCCTAGGCTTCTTGTCCTTATTTCCCATGCCTCATATAAGACTTTACATTGGAGAAAAACTTCATCCCCTACTGTTTTGTTCTGTTGCATTATAGGCATACAGCACCATTTTCAACATAAAACATAAAAACCCATTCAAAATGGAGGTGATGGTAGATGCCTGGACAGATTACCAGATCATCATTACTCAGCCTCAGAACCAGGTAGGAGCAATAGTTACTGAATACCAGGGCAGTCACTCTCCAGACATTCTCTGTGTGGCAATGAGGGAACTGAAACTGAGGAGTGGTGAGAAGAATGTTGACACTGTTGACGTATGCAGGTTTTGGAAGGGCTGTTTGGGAGAGAGGGTAGGGCAGTGAGATAAGGCTTGAACTTAGATCCAGTGATCAATAACCCTGGATGTGTAAATAAAATTAGGATTCCAAGCACTCAGTCTATTCCATCAAAATTCTGATCATAGGACTACATCCCAACCTAGACTTCTATGGCTGAAAGTGATTAAGAAGTGTTTTCACCTGCGAGGACTCTCAAGTGGAAGTGTCATCAGCAGAGGGTAGGCAGACATGTAGAGCCAGACCAAGCTGTCTATTCTAGGTACTATCTGGCTCTGGAATGTTAGTTCTTTCCAAAAGTTTATCTATTCACATGTACTCCAAGAGCCAATCACTGAGCCAGCCTCAGAGTCCTTCCTGGGTTAGGATTAGCTCAGGTGTCACCTTGCCAAAAACCCGGAGCCTTGCCAAACCTGTTTCTTATATTTTTTCCATACCTTAGGCACCTTCTCTTTTAAATCCTTAACATACACCATTTTGGTTACACTTCCCATTCGAGACAATGGAGCTATTTACTCACCCTCTCAAGGGCAGCTCACTTTAGTGCCCTAAAAGAAAGACACTATCTTCAGTGTATAAATAGTGAGTTATTCTTGGAGCGACTGCAAGGCCATTTTCTACACCTATCTTAGAAAAACAGAATGTTTCAAACAAGTTAATCTCTAGTATTCTAGGCCTATGCAAGAGTATTTTGTAATTGTAGGGCTATGTATGATATTTGTTGTATCTGGAGATAAAAAATGACTGGGATCATTACACCAACTCTTACCACATCTTCACCAAAGCTCCTGACAACTTAGAGGAGGTCACGCTCCGAGGTTATCAACTGGGAGCAAACTTTCCAGATCCAATCTAACTAGTCTGAGTTAAAAGAAAAGATGCGTGGTTTATTCCTAGCTGATATGGAAGGTATAAAGCAGTACCTGTCTTTCTCCTCTCTCCAGGTTGACAGGAGGGCTTGGATGAAGCAATAAGAAAGGTTGCAACTTCAAAATCAGTGCAGGTAGATTACATGAAAACCATGCTCTTTATACCGGAATTACCAAAGAAACACAAGACTGCAAGTAATGACAATATGGGGTTATTTAAAATGGGTGATGATAAGAAGTGAGATTTTACGTTTTACTTCCCAAATTCCTTGATAGAATTATTGAGTTGCCACAAAGGCTGTACTTGGAAGTGTAGAATTTGAGACTAAATTATGATGGGCTACAAAATTGCATGGGTAAAGAAAGGGCGTCACGTTAGGAACTGTGTGCTGAGCATGAACAGAGCCTTCATTAGACAAGGTCTTTATGCATATTATTTCACTTAGAGCTCACAAGAGTCCTTCGGAGAGGGCAATGGACATCATGGTGGCATCAAAAAATGTTTACTGAAACTATTTATATCTTACAAAATGCTACATGCTTATAGAAAGTATATAAGCATACAAAATGAAAAATAAAATCTGTCCTCTTGGGTTCCCCTGCTAGGTGTAAATAATTTTGACACTGATATGTATGCTTTTAGTACTCCATATGAGTTATGTATTTATTTTTGCAATATGTACACATAATTTACGGCACTTTCTGAAATGAATATCATCATAAATAGATTATTGAACAGTTGTATAAATATTTCTGAAAGATGAATTACCAGAATTAAAACTGTTGAGTCAAAGACTATGCATAATAAATGAATGATATTTCTAAACTGGATGGTAAGATTTTCATAAATTTAATGTGTGATATCATAACTTATGAAACAACCTAAACATCCAGTAATGGGGAAATAGAAAAAATCATTATGGTACATTAAAACATTAGAATACTATGAAGCCATTACAAAGAATGAAGCAGCTCTACATGACAGATTAGAAAATATTTCCAAAATAGTTTGCTATGTAAAAAAACATGAGGTGGATAGAACAATGTATATAGTATGCTACCATTTGTGAAAATAAACAAATGTATGTACATATCTAAAATTGCATAGATTTATGGGAAACTTGTACAAAATATATTGGTATTAGTGGTTGCTTCTAGAGAAAGTAATTGGGTAATAGGAGATCAGAGAAAGAAGAGAGATTTGCTTTCCTCTAGTAATCCATTTATGCTTAATAATTTTGTTACTAATTGAAAAAATAAATAGAATTTAAACACACATTCACAGATATGTTTGATTTAGCCAGAAAAGTTAACAGTCTTCAAATACTGCTTTGCCCCACCAGTGTTCCCATGAGATTGTTAAGGGGAACATATACACAGGGAACAATGATAAATGGGGATTAAATTATATTTAGTAGTATAACTCTGGAAGTCTGGCATGAAGTACCTGCCCTAAGGTGATTCCTCTAAGCCTACGCATGGATATCTTTATATCTTGCCATTCTAGGTTTGGCTATCCACAGGAGAGGGGTGCAGGAAAGCGTACTTGAGATCTTTCAGGAAGCAAGCCCAGGATCAGGTTAGGCATGGAAGTGAGCAAAAACAAAGCATCACCCATAGAAAACTTAGCGTTCTGTTACCCACCCACTGGCAAACATGAAGTGACTCTGAAACTGACAAACTTCTCAAAAGTCTTCCTCCCTGGAGAGGGGCAAAAATTCCTGGAGATCTTCTCTCTTTCACTATTTCCATATTTACAGAGGATATTACTATAATTTTACAAACAAGAAAACTGAGTCTTACATAACTTTTCCAAAAGAAAATAATCAGGATTAGAATCCCAAAGGTTAGTACCAAAAATTTAGTATTCTTTTTCCTATATTGCAGCTTCTTAAACTGCGTTTCTGGGTATGTGATGACAGGCTTTGGGACACATGAAGATGTAAGATCAGCATTGTTCTCATCTTCCTGTAAAATATGTTTGATTGGAATATCTGTTCAACGAATTACTATCTTGTATATTTAGATATTTTGTGGAGTAGAACTCAAAATGCACATGATTTCATACACGCATCTTTCAAGTAAATTCAGCCACGTGGAGGGCTTCTCTGGTCTATATCCTCACTCTTTTAAAGACGTGTTCATTTTCTTCCTTAGGATACTTAACGGGACATTTTGAGATGTCCTATAACATATCATATTATCTGTCTGCTATTAAATACACCATAAAACACGGTGTTCCCCCACCAATTATTTGGAAACATTTTGAAGCAGGAATAGAAAAGGTAGTTGTAATACAGCTATTGCCTCCTCTAGGCTGTAGGATCCTTAAGGAAAGGAATGGTGTTATTGGAATTTCAGTGTTTGATAATATTGGCTGAATAAAGGTAATTTTTTTTTTCTTCATAGGGAAGGAAACTTTTCAAACATGTTCTTAGGTGTTTCACATGCAGGTCTTGTAAATGAACACTGGGCCTTTGGGAAAAATGAGAGGAGCTTTAAATATATTGAACGCTGCATCCAGGATTTTCTAGGATTTGGTGTGCTGGGTCCAGAGGCACAGCTTGTCTCTTGGCTTGTGATGGGACAGTCCAGTGAGTTGAGAATGGGTTATACTGTCCCCAAACACAGAAACCAAGGCAACATGTCGCAAATTGGTTATCATCTTGAAAGTTATCTTTCTCAGAAAGAAATCCCATTTTATGCTCATGCGGCAGATAATAGTGAGAAAATCCTACAGGCACTGAAAAATGTTGGGTTTAAGATTTGACCTTGTGGCTGGCATCAGTGGAAATGCATCCCCAAGAAATATTGTTGATTAGTTCCACTGTCCATTTCAAATCTTATCAGTAGAAAATCATTAATTCAAACACAAATATGATGATGTACATTAGCACAAAAGACACCTGATTATCCAGGATCTGGGTATTATTTAAGCTCACCCTTAACATTTTTACCCTCCTCTTCCTCTGTATTCTTACAGAAAATTAGAAGCTCAATCCTATGGTCTCATAATTTCATTTATGGTGACAGACATCTCAGAATTAAAATCACCCAATGCCAATCATTAGTGTCAAGATAACCCTTTATAGCAACACTTTCTTAAATGAAGATGACTTCTTTGATGAAAAAAATTGCTTTTTATTCTGAGTACCCTCTGAGGAGCTTTGAGATGCTCAGCTAAATTAAATTTTGTGGCTAGGAGTGAAAATTTGGTTTTCTTACTTGCTTTTTATCACAAGGGGTTGCTAGGTTGAGTTGCAAATTTAAAGCTTAACTTTAAATTTTCAAGATGATTCTTATGTCTATGATGTATTAGTTTTCTTTTGTCATTATAACAAATTATGATAAATATGATTACTTAAAGCAACACAATGTGTTATATTTATGGCAGTCGGAAGTTCAGAATAGGATTTATGGGGCTAAAACCGACATGTTGGCAGGGCCAGCTCTTTCTGGAGGCAATGTGGGTAAATCAGCTCCCTTGCCTTTTCCAGATCATAGAGGCTGTCCTCACTCCTTAGCTTGGGTCTCTGAATCACATCATGTTTTATCTCTCTGCTTTCATCATCATCGCATCACATTCTTCTCTTCTGCACTCACATTTCCTTCTGCCTTCCAATTTTTTTCTTTCTTTCTTTCTTTCTTTTTTTTTTTTTTTTTTTTTTGAGACAGAGTCTCACTCTGTAGCCCAGGGTGGACTACAGTGATGTGAACTTGGCTCACTACAACCTCTGCTTCCCAGGTCCCAGTTCAAGCAATTCTCCTGCCTCAGCCTCCCAAGTAGCTGGGATTGCAGGCATGTACCACCATTCCCAGCTAATTTTTGTATTTTTAGTAGAGACGGGGTTTCACCATGTTAGCAGAGTTCCAATGGCAAATATGAATGGCAGAGTGGAAGACCAGAGCCAAAGGAGGCCACCTTTTGATCATGAAGTGTAATTGTTTTTAAGATCAGCGATTCAGAATTGTAATATAAGCGCTCAAATAGAAAGTTCTAATGATAGTGCATGGCATGTGTCCTTTCCATCATCTAGATTTTCCGCTTTTTTTGTCTGGCTCACTCCTACTCACTCTCCAGTCCTCACCTTAGTGGTCACTTCCCCTGGAATGCCCGTGACCCTTTAAGATAGCAGTGGCAAACACCAAATGCTGAACTTATAACCAGATTCACATGCAACACCTTGCCCTGTGCCATGCTTCAATAATGATGAGGAAGTGAGAAAGAGTAGGAGAAAGGAGGCACAACAAATGTTATTTCCATAGCAGAGGCCCCAAGGCCAGTCCACTTGATTCTCTAGATTTCCTTTTCTGCGTAACAATGATGAAAGGTAGCCTAGGAAAGCCATTTGTCTGAGACTTTACTTTGATACCTTGCTAGTCACTAAACAAAGAGACTGATTCCATTCTTTAGTGTAGCCATTGCCTCAATTCATATATATCAGGGTTATTTATTTCCAATAAAGTATCCATATAGATTAGGTATATTCTAATGACAATTTTATTAAAGTCCTTCATTTATCTTCCAGATAGCAGATTCTGTCAACCACATTTCATAAAGAGTTCTGATTCTAAGAGGTAAGAACTGAGCCTGGCTTTCTAGTTACATGTTTACTACTAAACCCGTCCTTCCCTACTACACTTATGCATATTTAAAGACTATACTCTCCCCTGCCTCCAGCCTGGATTGTAAGTTCCACAAGAGCATGGCTGTGTCTTCTAACATCAAGTCTCTATGTTAGAAAAGCTCCTGGCATATCATAAATGCCGAATAAACATTTGTAAGTGAAGAAACCTATTCTATGGTTTCTTCTACGGATATATTAAGAGATGGCTTGCACAAGATAGCTAGGTAGCTTCATTGTCTAAAATGGAACTAGATTCTCCGGGTATCAGGTCCATTGGTGGTACTTACACGTGGCCTCAAAGGAACAGAACTGCCCCACAAATCTGTGGGAGTCATCATTTACTTCTAGAAAAGAGAAGTAAAATGGACTATTATTCTGATGCAGATATTTCATGAATCCCATGATCACCCGTGCCATGTCGTCTGCCCTTTGGTATTTTTCCATGCTGTAGGCTATTCCTACATCACAAGAAGAGTCCAAGGTTAATCATGATACCGGAGCCCCATCTGGACCCAGCATACAGGCTGCTGGCAGGCCTCCTATACAGTGCTTGATGTAACGCCAGCTCCTCTCATTCTTCCTGCACCTCCAGTTATCATTTACCAGCCCTGAATAAGAGATAACCAACAGGGCATTCTTAAAGTTGGGAGTTTCACCATAGAAAACAAAAAGAAAGACAACAACATTCATCCTCACCCCTGTAATTTCTGGGTGCCATCACATTCTAGAGATCCCAGGGACTCTTCTTGTCTAATGACCCACCATTGCAAGCTGTGTATTTTGACCATTGACAACTTTTATTCATCCCAAAGCATGAATTCATCCTCTTTTCATTCCAAAACTCACTTATGTGAATAACAAAAATGTACAAGGAATAGCAATTATAAATGACCAGCACATGTTTTTGTCTCTCAAATTCATCATCTGGGTGGCCTGACTCAGCTCAGCTTCCAGCTTGCTTTTATTGGAGTCATGGAACTTCAGGATATTCTCCATAATAAAGAGGACTGCTCTTGATTGCTCTACCTTCAGTGACTTTGAAAATGCAGCCACTCTTATCCCCTCACCTAAACTTTCTTGAAGACCTGGGAAGAAAGCCAAGAAAGCAATATTGTCAGACATGGAGTTCTCTACTTACACTGCTCCCACCTGATTAATACATCAATGCTTAGTCGTTATCAAACTTGAGTTTACACCACAATCTGCTGGAGTCTTTGTCACACCACAGATTGCTCTACTTCTCCCAGTCCCCAGAGTTTTTGTAAATTTACATTTCTATTGAGCTCTCAGGTGATGCTAATAATATTAGTTGATGACTCAATTTGAGAAGAACAGCTGCTTGCCCATTTCTTCAGACTTGTTATCATGGATTTGGAGTATCTGTTTCCAGTTTATGATCTCACATATTTCAAAACTTCTTGTGATTTTTTAGTCTCTTTGGAGAACATACAATGTACATTTGTGTATGAATCCACGTCATCAGTCATCTCCTGTTTAGGATGGTGAAAGTTCAGATCATTCAATTGAACTTTTTCTTCACCTCTCACTGATTGCAATTATCAGAAAAATGAAAGTTCAAAAGAAAATTTTACCAGTGGCCCATGATGGCTGCAGGTGGGCACACGGATAATAAAACCTAGGCTTATAAGCTACTGCTGACCTCTTGCCTGCGTAACTGGAGTTTGTTAAATATTTCAGTGACAGGTACTGGTTATAAAACTGCTTATCAGATCCAGAAAGAAGACAGGATGAAATCAGCCACCTTCCACCAGGCCTTAAGATGCCTCACCTTTCTCCCTACTCACTCAATTGCACACTTACTTTATTTTATATATAGCATCACCGAGAACCCAGCAGAATCAGATTGCATCAGTTGCTTCTCTCCCTGCTTTTCTCACCTCCTGGGCCACAGGTATCCCCCTGTTATATATACTGTGCCCCCACGTAACCTCCTGTGTGACACATCCTGGGATGTACTGAGGCTGTATCTCTAGGATTAAGTCCTTAAACTTGGCTCAAAATAAATTTAGCTGTGAATTATCTAAATGTTAGTGCCTACTGTTTCACCAGACACCTAGAATCTATAGTGTCCTAGAATCTAGTGTCCAGGGCTTGGGCAAGATGCTTTAGTGAATATAAACATTAATGAGACACAGCCTTTTCCCAAGCCTACAGGATATCAGCCTATTGAAAGAGTGACACTGTCTTTAAAGCCAGAAGCCCACAAAATAGAATGAAATAGCTGAAATTTTGGCAGCACTCTGGGTAATTTATGTGGTGTTAGACTTATGGGTTTAAAAAAATAGACTGGTGATCACCTTCTGGCAAGCCACAAACTTCATGGGAAGATGAATTTCTGTTTCTTGGGTGAAATATAAACAATAAGTATGAGAGTTTTAGCAGTGAATATTATTTTAGAAAAAAGAGAAAATAGTGTGACTAATTTTAAAGAAAACTTCAAGAATTTGCGAGTGTTTTTATGAAAGGAAGTTCCTGAATATGGCCGAAACCAAAACTTCCATGAATTTAAAATAGTAGATGTTTTAAAAGACCAGATTTTTAAAAATGACTGAAAATAGCCAAGTAAATATTCAAGGAATTATAAAAAGATTATCAAAGTAAACTAGAAGAAAACAAATGGAACCATCTATAAAAATGAAAGCTACCTATAATGAAATGGAAAACAAGACATAGTATAAAGGATATATAAAAACCAGAGTTCATTTTTAAATGGCAAAAACAGAAAGAGAAGAGAGAGAGGGATAAACTTCTGGTAAGGTATTTTAAGGAAATACGAGAGACAGAGAAAAAACAAAAATAAAAAAATAAGCGTAGAGTATGAGAGATGAGAATGCAAACAGAGAAAAGAACAAAAAAATTATAATAGAGGATTATATACTACTCAAAGGCAACATATTTATTGATAAAAGAAATGGATGTTATCCCTCAAAAATAAACTATCAAAATTGACTTTCAAAAACATAGAAAACCTCAACAAACTATTATAAAATATGAGAAATTAAATTTAAAATCTACCGTTTAAAAATTGGACAAGGATTATGGCCTCCAGCTCCACCCATGTTGCTACAAAGGACAATATTTTATTCTTTTCTGTTGTTCTGTAGTATTCCACAGGAATATATATACCACGTTTTTTTAATCCAGTCTACAATTGATGGGCATCTGGGTTGATTCCATTTCTTTCATATTGTGAACAGTGCAGCAATGAATATACAAATGCATGTGTCATTTGCGTAGAATCATTCATTTTCTTTTGGCTATTTACCTACTAATGGCATTGTTTGGTTGAATGGTAACTTTGTTTTAATTTCTCTAAGAAATTTCCAGACTACTTTCCACAGTGCAATAATCCTAAGCAAATTAATGCTGTAACAGAAAACCAAATACCACATGTTCTCACTCATAACTGACAGCTAAGCATTGATCATACATGGACATAAATGTGGGAACAATAGATACTGTGGACTACTAGAGGGTAGAGACAGAGGGGCTGGTTAGAAAACTATTGGGTACGATGCTCACTACCAGGCAGATGGGATCGGTCCGTACTCCAAAATTCAGCATCATGCAATATTCACATGTAAAAAATCTGCATATGGACCACTTGTATCTAAAGAAAAAAATTAAAATTAAAAAATAAGAAGTAGCCAAAATCAGATTATTTTTCATTTAAATTGTACACAAGCCAAAACAAACACATAATTTTAATATTAAGCTTTGGAAACAGAAGAAAAGTTCCTAATGCCAAATCTGTTAAAAAAATAACAAAAAGAGACTTATTGACCATATTCTCTTATGAATACATATATAAAAATTCTGCATAAAATATTCAGTAGTATATCAGAAGAACATGAGCACTTCCAAGATGGCCAAATAGGAACACCTCCAGTCTGCAGCTCTCAGAAAGTTAGATGGAGAAGATGAGTGATTTCTGCATTTCCAAATGAGATACCTGGTTTATCTCATAGGGACAGGTTGGACAGTGGGCACAGCCCATTGAGGGAGAGCCAAATCAGCATGGGGCATTGCCTCACCCAGGAAGCAGAAGGGGTTGGGGTATTTCTGTTTCCTAGCCAAGGGAAGCCATGACAGACTCCACCTGGGAAAATGGTACACTTCTGCCCAAATGCTGCACTTTTTGACAGTCTTAGCAACCAGCAGTCCTTGAGATTCCCTCCCGTGCCTGCCTCAGCAGGTCTCACACCAATGGAGCCTTTCTCACTGCCAGTGCAGTAGTCTGAGATCAACCTGCAAGGCTGCAGTCTGACAGGAGGAGGTGCATCCGCCATTGCTGAGGCTTGAGTAGGTAAACAAAGTGGCCAAGTAGCTTCAACTGGGCGGATCCCACCGCAGCTCAACAAGGCCTACGTCCTCTATAGACTCCACCTCTGTGGGCAGGGCGTAGCTGAATAAAAGTCAGCAGACAACTTCTGCAGACTTAAATGTCTCTGACAGCTTTGAAGAGAGCAGTGATTCTTCCAGCATGGTGTTTGAGCTCTGAAAACAGACAGACTGCCTCATAAAGTGGGTCCCTGACCCCCATGTAGCCTGACTGGGAGACACCTCCCAGTAGGGGCTGACAGACACCTCATACAGGAGGTTGCCCCTCTGGGATGAAGCTTTCAGAGGAAGGATCAGGCAGCAATATTTGCTGTTCTACACTATTTGCTGTTCTGCCAGCTCCACTGGTGATACCCAGGCAAAAAGGGTATAGAGGGACTACCAGCAAACTCCAACAGACATGCAGCTGAGAGGCCTGACTTTTAGAAGGAAAACTAACAACAGAAAGGAATAGCATCAACATCAACAAAAAGGACATCCACAGCAAAACCCCATCGTAGATCACCAACATCAAAGACCAAAGGTAGATAAAACCACAAAGATGGGGAGAAACCAGAAAAGAAAAGCTGAAAATTCCAAAATCTGGAGCACCTCTTCACCTCCAAAGGATTGCAGCTTCTTGCCAGCAATGGAACAAAACTGGACGGAGAATGACTTTGACGAGTTGACAGAAGTAGGCTTCAGAAGGTCGGTAATAATAAACTTCTCCGAGCTAAAGGAGCATCTTCTAACCCATTGAAATGAAGCTAAGAACATTTAAAAAAAGTTAGACGAATGGCTAACTAGAATAAAGAGTGTAGAGAAGACATTAAATGACCTGATGGAGCTGAAAACCTTGGCACGAGAATTTCTTGATGCATTCACAAGCTTCAATAGCCAATTTAATCAAGTGGAAGAAAGGATATCAGTGATTGAAGATCAAATTAATGAAATAAAGTGAGAAGACAAAGTGAGAGAAGAGAGTAAAAAGAAACAAACAAGCCTCCAATAAATATGAGACTATGTGAAAAGACCAAATCTACGTTTGATTGGTGTATCTGAAAGTGACGGGGGGAATGGAGCCAAGTTAGAAAACACTCTTCACGATATTATCTAGGAGAACTTCCCCAACCTAGAAAGGCAAGCCAACATCCAAATTCAGGAAATACAGAGAACACTACAAAGATACTCCTTGAGAAGAGCAACCTTGAGAAGAGCAACCTCAAGACACATGATTGTCAGATTCACCAAGATTGAAATGAGAAAAAATGTTAAGGGAAGCCAGAGAGAAAGGTTGGATTACCCACAAAGGGAAGCCCATCAGACTACCAGCGGATCTCTCAGCAGAAAACCTACAAACCAGAAGAGAGTAGGGGCCAATATTCAACATTCTTAAAGAAAAGAATTTTCAACTTGGAATTTCATATCCAGCCAAACTAAGCTTCATAAGTGAAAGAGAAATAAAATCATTTACAGACAAGCAAATGCTAAGAGATTTTGTTACCACAAGGCCTAAGAGTTCCTGAGGGAAGCACTAAACATGGAAAGGAAAAACTGGTACCAGCCACAGAAAAAAACGTGCCCAATTATAAAGACCATTGATGCTATAAAGAAACTGCATCAAGTAGTGGGCAAATTAACCAGCTAACATTATAATGGCAGGATCAATTTCACACATAACAATATTACCCTTAAATGTAAATGGGCTAAATGTCCCAATTAAAAGACACAGACTGGAAAATTGGATAAAGAATCAAGACTCATCAATCTGCTGTATTCAGGAGACCCATCTCACATGCAGAGACACACATAGCCTCAAAATAAATGGATGGAGGAAGATCTACCAAGCAAATGGAAAACAACAAAAAGCAGGGCTTGCAATCCTAGTCTCTGATAAAACAGACTTTCAACCAACAAAGATCAAAAGAGACAAAGAAGGCTATTACATAATGGTAAAGGGATCAACTCAACAAGGAGAGCTAACTCTCCTAAATATATATGCACCCAACACAGGAACTCCCAGATTGATAAAGCAAGTCCTTAGAGTCCTAAAAAGAGACTTAGACTCCCACACAATAATAATGGGAGACTTTAACACCCCACTGTCAACATTAGACAGATCAATGAGACAGAAAGTTAACAAGGATATCCAGGATTTGAACTCAGCTCTGCACCAAGTGGACCTAATAGACATCTACAGAACTCTCTACCCCAAATCAACAGAATATACATTCTTCTCATCACATCGCACTCATTCTAAAATTGACCACATAATTGGAAATAAAACACTCCTCAGCAAATGTAAAAGAATAGAAATCACAACAAACTGTCTCTCAGACCACAGTGCAATCAAATTAGAACTCAGGATTAAGAAATTCACTCAAAACTGCACAACTACATGGAAACTGAAAAACCTTTTCCTGAATGACTACTGGGTAAATAATGAAATGAAGGCAGAAATAAAGATGTTCTTTGAAATCAATGAGAACAAGGAAACAATGTACCAGAAGCTCTGGGACACATTTAAAGTAGTGTGTGGAGGGAAATTTATAGCACCAAATGTCCACAAGAGAAAGTAGGAAAGATCTAAAGTCAACACCCTAACATCACAACTAAAAGAACTAGAGAAGCAAGAGGAAACAAATTCAAAAGCTAGCAGAAGGGAAGAAATAACTAAGATCAGCGCAGAACTGAAGGAGACAGTGACCCAAAAAACCGTTCAAAAAAATCAATGAATCTAGGAGCTGGTTTTTTGAAATGATCAACAAAATTGATAGAACGCCAGCAAGAAAAGAGAGAAGAATCAAACAGATGCAATAAAAAATGAAAAAGGGGATATCACCACCAATCCTACAAATAGAAACTACCATCAGAGAATACTATAAACACCTCTATGCAAATAAAATACAAAATCTAGAAGAAATCCATATATTGCTGGAACCATACACCCTCCCAAGACTAAACCAGGAAGAAGTTGTATCTCTGAATTGACCAATAACAGGTTCTCAAATTGAGGCAATAATTAATAGCCTACCAACAAAAAAAGTCCAGGACCAGAGGGATTCACAGCCGAATGCTACAAGAAGTACAAAGAGGATCTGGTACTATTCTTTCTGAAACTATTCCAATCAATAGAAAAAGAGGGAATCCTCCCTAACTCATTTTATGAGGCCAGCATCATCCTGACACCAAAGCCTGGCAGAGACACAACAAATAAAGAGAATTTTAGACCAATATCCCTGATGAACATCGCTGCAAATATCCTCAATAAAATACTGGCGAACCGAATCCAGCAGCACACTAAAAAGCTAATCCACCACGATCAAGTCGGCTTCATACTTTGGATGTAAGGCTGGTTGAACATATGCAAATCAATATACATAATCCATCACATAAACAGAACCAAAGACAAAAATCTCATGATTATCTCAATAGATACAGAAATGGCCTTCAACAAAATTCAACAGCCTTTCATGATAAAAACTCTCAATATACTAGGTATTGATCGAATGTATCTCTAAATAATAAGAGCTATTTATGACAAACCCAGAGCCAATATCATACTGAACGGGCAAAAATTGGAAGCATTCCATTTGGAAACCAACACAGACAAGGGTGCTCTTTCTCACCACTCCTATTTAACATAGTGTTGGAAGTTCTGGCCAGGGCAATCAGGCAAGAGAAAGAAATGAAAGGTATTCGATTAGGAAAAAAGGAAGTCGAATTGTCCCTGTTTGCAGATGACATGATTGTATATTTAGAAAACCCCATCGTCTCAGCCCAAAATCTCCTTAAGCAGATAAGCAACTTCAGCAAAGTCTCAGGGTACAAAATCAATGTGCAAAACTCACAAGTATTCCTCTACACCAATAAGAGGCAAACAGAGAGCCAAATCATGGGTGAACTCCCAATCACAATTGCTACAAAGAGAATAAAATACCTTGAAATCCAACTTACAAGGGATGTGAAGGACCTCTTCAAGAACTACAAATCACTGCTCCATGAAATAAAAGATAACACAAACAAATGGAAGAACATTCCATGACCATGGATAGAAAGAATCAATATTGTGAAAATGGCCATACTGCCTAAGGTGATTTATAGAGTCAGTGCCATCCACATCAAGGAACAAAAGACTTTCTTCACTGAATTGGAAAAAACTACTCTGAAGTTCATATGGAACCAAAAAGGAGCAAGAATAGCCAAGACAATCCTAAGCAAAAAGAACAAAGCTGGAGGCATCATGCTGCCTAATTTCAAACAATACTACAAGGCTGCAGTAATCAAAGCAGCGTGGTACCAAAACAGATATACAGACCAATGGAACAAAACCCTAGCCTCAGGAATAACACCACACATCTCAACCATCTGATCTTTGACAAACCTTACAAAGACAACAAATGGGGAAACTATTCCCTATTTCATAAATGGTGGTGGGAAAACTGGCTAGCCATATGTAGGAAGCTGAACGTGGATCCCTTCCTTACACCTTATACAAAAATTAACTCAAGATGGTTTAAAGACTTAAATGTAAGACCTAATAGCATACAAACCTTAGAAGAAAACATAGCCAATACCATTCAGGACATAGGCATGGGCAAAGACTTCATGACTAAAACAAAAAAACAATGGCAACAAAAGCCAAAACAGACAAATGGGATCTAATTAAACTAAAGAGCTTCTGCACAGCAAAAGAAACTATCATCAGAGTGAACAAGCAACCTACAGAATGGGAGAAAATTTTTGCAATCTACCCATCTGATAAAGGGCTAATATCCAGAATCTATGAGGAACTTAAACCAATTTAAAAGAAAAAAAAACCCCATCAAAATTGGGCAAAAGATTTGAACAGACACTTCTCCAAAGAAGGTATTTATGCAGCCAACAGACACATGAAAAAATGCTCATTATCACTGGTCATTAGAGAAATGTAAATCAAAACCACGATGCGATACCATCTCACTCCATTTAGAATGGTGATCATTAAAAAGTCAGGAAACAACAGATGCTGAAGAGGCTGTGGAAAAATATAAATGCTTTTACACTGTGGGTGGGAGTGTAAATTAGTTCAACCATTATGAAAGACAGTTTGGTGATTTCTCAAAGATCGAGAACTAGAAATACCATTTGACCCAGCGATGCCATAACTGGGTATATACTCAAAGGATTATAAATCATGCTACTATAAAGACACATGCACATGTATGTTTATTGCGGCAATATTCACAATGGCAAAGACTTGGAACCAACTCAAATGTCCATCAATGATAGACCGGATTAAGAAAATGTAGCATATATACACCATGGAATACTATGCAGCCATAAAAAAGAATGAGTTCATGGCCTTTGCAGGGACATGGATGAAGCTGGAAACCATCATTCTCAGCAAACAATCACAAGGACAGAAAAAAAACACTGCATGTTCTCACTCCTAGGTGGGAATTGAACAATGAGAACACTTGGACACAGGATGGGGAACATCAGGGCCTTTCAGGGGGTGGGTGACTGGGGGGCTGGGGGAGGAGTAGAATTAGGAGAAATACCTAAAGTAAATGACAAGTTGATGGGTGCGGCAAGCCAACATGGCACATGTATACCTATGTAACAAACCTGCACGTTGTGCACATGTACCGTAGAACTTAAAGTACAATTAAAAAAAAGGTAAAAAAATGTGAACAGGAACAGTTTGTTTTAGAAAGGCTTGAATGGCTTTGATTGGAAGATCTTTTAGTGTGATAAATTAAAGGAGGAAAAATTACATGAGTATATAAGTTGCCAAATAGAAAAGACAAAAATGAAAGAATATAAAATTTACTCTCCATTATAAATATAAGTTCTATGAAAGTAGGAACAAGAGGAAAATGCTCTAAACATGTAAAGACAGAATCAAATGCAATTCTACATATATGTTGTTATAGCTATTTTATTAAAATCAGGAATGAGACAAGTATAAAAATATTATTATTGTTAGTTGGTATTGTTTCCTTAGGTTGTAAATTATGCAATAAGTCAAGAAACTAAAAACCCTTACAAATATTGGCAAAGAAGCAGCAAATAACTTTGTTTGTACATTACAGTATTATGCATTGAGAAAATCCAAGAGACTTTGACAAAAAACAAAACCAAATAATACCCTACACAAACAGGATTTTAAAGAATAGTGTGACATATTTGGAAATCAAAAATACAAATGAAAAGCAATAACAAAATAATAATTCTCAGAAATAGAAAAGGAAAAATAATTTAATAATCTTAACAAATAATATAAAATACCGAAAAGTAAACTTAATGGAAAATCATGTAGTTTACTACAGGAAAACACTTAAATTTTACAAGATGGCATAGAACAGAAACTGAAAAAAGTGAGAAAAAGACCATATTTCTAGATGACAAGATGTAGTACCGCAAAAATAGTAATCTTTCCACAATCGTCTTTTAGACAATACTAACCACAATTGCAATAGTTAGTTGGGGTAGTTGGTGGGGAACTGGGAAAATTAGTTATTGTTCATATGGCTCTTAAGTGTATAAGAAATAGGAAAGTAAGAAAAGTATTGGTGAAGGGTGATTTGCTTTATTAGATATTAAAATTTACCACAAAACAATGAAATAGCATAAGAAAAGACTAGAAACAAATACAGAAATAGATACAAAAATATGTAAAGGTGATATGACAACATAGACATTTATGTTTCAGTAGTGGAATGACTTATTTAATAAATAGTAATAACATAATTAGCCAGCCATAAGGAAGAAAAATATAAAAGAATGTTATTTCATGCTATTCAAAAACATATTTTAAATAGAATGAAGATTGAAATGTCAAAAGTAAAAATTAACTCACTGTAAGACAAAATAAGAAAACACTTGCATGATCTTGGAGTAGGAAAAATCTTCCTAATTATTAACTAAAGAAAACAAAACCTCTGAAGTCATAGTGAAAAATATAACATATTTGATTACAGGAAAGTTAAAAATTTCTTCATGTCAAAATCTCCATCAATAAAATAGAAAATAATTCTAAATTGGGCAATAAATTTGTAGCATACGCCTTGTGTTAGTATCCCTAGTATCAAAAACACTTACAGAATTTTAAGAATGACATAAAACCCCAGTGTAAACATGGTGAAACAATACAAACAGTTCAGAAGTAAACCCCAAATTACTGATAAACATATGAAAATACAATATGTTGACTATCACTAGTCATGGAAATGCAAATTAAATCTACAATAAGATGCCAACTTTCACTCACCAGTTTGGCATAAGTTAAAAGAGGGAAAACATTCAGTGCCGGTGAGAATGTGGGGAAACAATTCTTCCACACATTGCTAATGGAAATAAAACTGGAATCCTTTGGGAAGGTAATCTGGCAGGGCTTACTTATGATAAAATAAATTCTGACTTGGAGACATCCCTTTTGGAAATCAATTGTATTGAGAAAAGTTTCCAGGATGTAAAGACATATATAAGAGGACATTTTTTGAAGCATTGTTTGTACTTGCAACAAAGTGTGAAAAATTTGAACCCAACAGCAGAAGAAAGAGTGACTAAATAGCATTGCATTGGCTCTGTGGAATGCCACAGTTGTTAAAACGAATATATTAGTTCTGTATTGATTTTCCCAAAGGGATGCCCATATGTCAAAGGCAAATTAACAAGTGATGACAGGATATATTCCCAGTAATGGCATGGCTGGGTCAAATGGTATTTCTAGTTCTAGAGCCCTGAGGAATCACCACACTGACTTCCACAATGGTTGAACTAGTTCATGTCCTTTGTTGGGACATGGATGAAGCTGGAAACCATCATTCTCAGCAAACTATCACAGGCACAAGAAACCAAACACCGCGTGTTGTCACTCATAGGTGGGAATTGAACAATGAGAACACATGGACACAGGAAGGGGAACATCACACACTGGGGCCTGTTGTGGGGTGGGGGTGGGGGTAGGGATAGCATTAGGAGATATACCTAATGTTAAATGAGAAGTTAATGAGTGCAGCACACCAGCATGGCACATGTATACCTATGTAACTAACCTGCACATTGTGCACATGTACCCTAAAACTTAAAGTATAATAAATAAATAAATAAATAAAGTGACGACAGGAGAGATCATCAGTGTATGTTAATATGCACAAGGACATTGATTACCCCAAAGGGTAGGAAATGAGGAGAGGAGGGGAGGGGAAGTGAGAGGTTATTAACTTCTTAAAATCATGTTAAATTTTTCCCTTGTATAATCAGCATATATTATCATTGTGATTAAAAACCAACAAAAAAAATATTTTTTTCTAGATAAATTCTGTTTCTCACCCTAAAAAGTTATTATTCAAGATCAAATTGACTTTCAACACTGCACGAAACATGGTATACTATGGAATCAGACAAGGTGAATGTAATTCAAAGTAAATTGCAGCATATTTCAATCTTTCCTTTTTTTTTGGTCATATATGTGTCCTGTGGAACTTTTATATTTCAATATTTTTGTATATTGACTCACTTTATAAAAACTAGCCTTGTTCAAAGCAATGCATATATGAAGTTATGGTTTGATGCTATAGTTACGATGCTAAAATACACATAATAAATACAAAGTTAGTGAAGTAAAAAGAACTATTTGGCTTCCTACAATTATTTAGCATATCACACTTTGAAGAACTTGGACCATGGATTAAATAAACTAAGCATTCATCTTCAATCCGAAATTGTCAGGAAGCCAGGAAATCAAAAGAACATCCTTAGGGAAGGTGTTAGGCTCAGCCTGGCTCTCACCCCCTTTACCCCTTTGTTCCTCAATCTAGGGTCACTTTGTCACTTTCTGCATTCCAATCCTGACCCAGTTTGCACGCTAGTCTTGAATTCGGGTGGCTTATTACTATTTGGAGGCTCAGCGCCTATACTCGCATGAAGTTGGGCTGGCAATGAGGCTTCAGTTCACTAACCAGATGTGCATAAAATGCATACAAAAAGGGGAAGTCTTTAGGGCAAAAAAATAGACCCAGGTTTGTATTACTATTTCAGCTTAATAGTTTATTCCTTATTTCAGCTTAATAGTTTATTCCAATTACCATAATGGCTAATTATGGTAAATACTATTTAAAATCATGTGCTATGTACTAAGTCTTTGATGTACAATATCTCATTTAAACGTCTTGTAATCCTCTGAAGAAGGTCCTGTTATTTTTCCCATTTTAACACATGATGAAACTCAGAGAAGGGCCTATGGTTACCGTCAGTCCTTTGAACTTTAATTCAGATTGGGCAATGCTTTAACGTCTGGTATCCAGCAGCTACATGACTTAATATTTCTCAGTGTCATTTCCTTATCTCTAAATTGGAGACATTAATGGTCACTTCGTTAGATTGTTCTAATGATAAGTCACTAACAAGACAATTGCTTCCAAATAGTTGACACACAGTAATTATGATTCCCTTCTCTGGTTCCTGCAAAGTAACCTCCTGGTTCTTGTTTTTTTGTTTGTTTGTTTAAGACAGAGTCTCACTCTGTTGCCCAGGCTGGAGTACAGCGGTGTGATGTTGGCTCACTGCAGCCTTGACTTTCTGGGGCTCAAGTCATCCTCCCACCTCAGCCTCCTGAGCAGCTAGGAGAATAAACATGCACTACCATGCCCTGCTAATTTTGTTTATTTTTTATTTATTTTTGTGTGTGTGTGGAGATGAGGTCTCACTATGTTGCAGAGGTGGGTCTCAAATTCCTGGGCTCAAGTGATCCTCCTGCCTTGGCCTCCTGAAGTGCTGGGATTACAGGAAGAAGACATCATGCCTGGCCCTGAGAGGAAATTTTTACTGGTAGACTTCTGCTTTGGTTTTTGTTTCTAAGTCACTGTTCTGATATCTCAGACACCCAACTTTCCCTGTCAATTTGCCTCCTCTCAGCCCCTGCAGGTGACCCCTGCCACCTCAAAAGGCCCTTAGTCTGTGAGTGTCAGCCTTATCATTTTCTTCCTCTACCCCCTCCACCCCTTTTCCTAGATGAGTCTTATGCTTTACAGGAAGGGTGGGAACACATGGCACTCTTGCAAGGTGCGAAGTACTTAAGGAGTCTTTTAAAATACTCACATTTTCTTTCACTCTATAAAAGCAGCCCTGGTGTCTCAACTGGTCAGTTCCTTAGGCCCTTTGGACCAACCTGGCTCCACCCGTCCCTATCTGTGTGCCTACCTGCTTTTGAGGCTGGATAATAACCATCTGATACTCAGGCCAGGAGTCCACTAGCACCTCCATATTGAAGGGGTTCCTGTGATTTATGTGGTACACAGAGCCATACACCTGAAGGAGGGATGGAAAGACTAGGAGAGCCTGGGATCCTCAGAGATGGAGATCTGGATGTGAAGAGAAAGAGAAAAACAAAAGTCAACAGACAGTACTGTGACCAAGTCAGTGATGGTGAGATCAGCAGCATCTCTAGGACCCTTCTGATTGACATGAAGTCACCATCAAGTAGGCAGAACTCACAGGTAGGTGTCCTTCTGATACCAAAGAGCTACTGTGCACTAGCTGGGCACTTGGCAATGCTCTTAGCACTTACATTGTATGGATTTATTTAGTGTCCACAAAAACTTTAAGAGGTAGGCGCTAATATTATTCCTATTTCCTTGATGAAAAGAACGAAGGTAAAGGCACAGAAAGGTAAAGAAACATGCACAAAGCCTCTGACTCTCTCACTGTTCCCTCACCTTCAGGGACTCAGGTATGCTCCAGGCCAAGGGTTTGTATAGAACCAGCAGCTTCTGGGAGTTATTCAGTAGAATCATTTTGTGGGATGCTTCAGTCCTTGAGCCATTCAAGAAGAAACTCTGAAAAGATAACAAGGGAAGGGACAATGTTAAGGGACCAAATGAATTTAAAATGCACTTTATATTTCTTCATTCAAGTAACAATCATGATGTAGAATCTGTTAGTATCATCCTCATTCTAAACATACCAAAGCTCAGAGAGACCAAGTAAATTCCTCAAGTTCTTACAGAGGTAAATGCCAGAGTCAAATTTTGAAACCATATATGAATGGCTCCAAAACACATACCCTTCCTCCCTGGTGGAATGAATTAAAAGTGAATATTAAGAGTTCTGTGAGGTTCTCAAATGCCTGTAGCAGAACATTCCACCACCAACATCATAACTTTTTCCCTGTCGTCTGGTCATCAAATGCCTGAGAAGTCTTTTTCCATGTGGAATAGAAAATATCAGCCATCTAAGAATAGTTATGGCTGAAAAACTTAGAGCAGGATGTGGCAACGATTTTCTTTAGTTTCTGAGGGCAAAATATTTTAGACCTATGGCCATTTTGGATCTTTTCTCATTTCATTACAAATTTTTTTTAAAAATGATGAAAAAATTTTGACACATATCTGTAAACTTCCATTGAAATAACATTCACAATTCTCAGAAATGTGCCGTTAATTTAATAATAACTTGGAGAAGGTAATCATCACCACTCATAGTTTCAAAGCTTAGGCTGGTTTCAAATTTTAATTATGTCTCCTACTTCTTTGTTAGGTTGCTTAATCAATCAGAACTCAAAGTGTTTTCTCACAGCTTTGGAGCCAGAAATTAGAATGCATGTTTTCCAGAGGAATTAGATTACACAATGCAATATATATAAAAATGCATAGCGTTATACCTGGCATTATGTAAGAACAATATTTAACATGTTAGTTTTTTTAATTGACTTTATATTAATCAACATGTCATATAGAGATTTAGCAATTATATCCAATGATATAAGATAATTAAAAATGTAAAGAACTTACAACAAATTTAACTAATGTAAGAAGAAACCCATGGATCAGATATTTGAAACAATCATTAGCAAATTAGTTAATACAGATGTTTGAAATTTTTTATCCATGAAGGTTAAATAGTTAACAAATATGTGTTAAGCAATAGGCAAGGTGAAAGATGTTTTGTCTTGTCTGGGGTCAAAGGCCTCAAAGTTCAACTATGTTCTGTAGCTAGATGAAGGAAAGTTTAAACAAAGGCATCCTTTTGCAAGATCTCAGAATTTCAGAATGCTTGAATACTCAAGGAAATTTTAGTAAATAGAACTGGATCTCTGACATGAGCCTATCCCCTGTTTAACTCTGCTGTTCTTGCAGTTGTCAAAAAAAACTGGTCTTTTTTTTCCCCCCACCTCCAAGATATGTCTTTTCTGTTTATCACCTGTCAACTAAAATTGTCCATACCCTGTGTTTTACTATTGTATTCTCCTTTAAAGTTTTAGTAAAGATTTTAGAAGTCTCAATTCAAGATCTACCATGCTGTATCACTTCCTGCAGAAAAAACTTGTGTTCCATTTGCCCTGAGAACTTTGTAGACTGGGCTGGTACATGAGAACAACTCCCACACCTATCAGCTGCCACATCTTTGTCCAAAATACCTCTCCTATCTATTCCCTACTCCATTCACTTGCAATGACCTTAGTTCAGGGCCTCCTTCTCCTCATACTTAATATTGCTTTTATAACCGCACCCAGGCCTCAGCTTCTAACATCTACCCAAATAAAAGTTTTCTCTACCCATATTCTTACCATCAACATTTCATTTATTACTATTATACTTTAAGTTCTAGGGTACATGTGCACATCGTGCAGGTTTGTTACATATGTATACATGTGCCATGTTGGTGTGCTGCACCTATTAACTTGTCATTTACATTAGGTATATCTCCTAATGCTATCCCTCTCCTCTACCCCCACCCCACGACAGGCCCCGGTGAGTGATGTTCCCCTTCCTGTGTCCAAGTGTTCTCATTGTTCAATTTCCACCTATGAGTGAGAACATGTGGTGTTTGGTTTTTTGTCCTTGTGATAGTTTGCTGAGAATGATGGTTTCCAGCTTCATCCATGTCCCTACAAAGGACATGAACTTATCATTTTTTATGGCTACATAGTATACCATGGTGTATATGTGCCACATTTTCTTAATCCAGTCTATCATTGATGGACATTTGGGTTGGTTCCAAGTCTTTGCTATTGTGAATAGTGCCTCAATAAACATACGTGTGCATGTGTCTTTATAGCAGCATGATTTATAATCCTTTGGGTATATACCCAGTAATGGGATGGCTGGATCAAATGGTATTTCTAGTTCTAGATCCTTAAGGAATCGCCACACTGTCTTCCACAATGGTTCAACTAGTTTACAGCCCCACCAACAGTGTAAAAGTGTTCCTATTTCTCCACATCCTCTCCAGCACCTGTTGTTTCTTGAATTTTTAATGATCACCATTCTAACTGGTGTGAGATGGTATCTCATTGTGGTTTTGATTTGCATTTCTCTGATGGCCCATGATGATGAGCATTTTTTCATGTGTCTGTTGGCTGCATAAATGTCTTCTTTTGAGAAAGGTCTGTTCACATCCTTTGCCCACATTTTGATGGGGTTGTTTGTTTTTTTCTTGTAAATTTGTTTGAGTTCTTTGTAGATTCTGGATAGTAGCCCTTTGTCAGATGAATAGGTTGCAAAAATTTTCTCCCATTCTCTAGGTTGTCTGTTCACTCTGATGATAGTTTCTTCTGCTGTGCAGAAGCTCTTTAGTTTAATTAGATCCCATTTGTCAGTTTTGGCTTTTGTGGCCATTGCTTTTGGTGTTTTAGACATGAAGTCCTTGCCTGTGCCTATGTCCTGAATGGTATTGCTAGGTTTTCTTCTAGGGTTTTTATGGTTTTAGGTCTAACATTTAAATGTTTGATCCATCTTGAATTAATTTTTGTATAAGGTGTAAGGAAGGGATCCAGTTTCAGCTTTCTACATATGATTAGCCAGTTTTCCCAGCATCATTTATTAAAAAGGGAATCCTTTCCCCATTTCTTGTTTTTGTCAGGTTTGTCAAAGATCCAATGGTTGTAGAAGTGTGGTATTATCTCTGAGGGCTCTGTTCTGTTCCATTGGTCTATATCTCTGTTTTGGTACCAGTACCATGCTGTTTGGTTACTGTAGCCTTGTAGTATAGTTTGAAGTCAGGTAGCATGATGGCTCCAGCTTTGTTCTTTTGGCTTAGGATTGACTTGGCAATGCGGGCTTTTTTTTTTTTGTTCCATATGAACTTTAAAGTAGTTTTTTCCAATTCTGTGAAGAAAGTCATTGGTAGCTTGACGGGGATGGCATTGAATCTATAAATTACCATGGGCAGTATGGGCATTTTCATGATATTAATTCTTCCTATCCATGAGCATAGAATGTTCTTCCATTTGTTGGTGTCCTCTTTTATTTTGTTGAGCAGTGGTTCATAGTTCTCCTTGAAGAGGTCCTTCACATCCCTTGTAAGTTGGATTCCTAGGTATTTTATTCTCTTTGAAGCAATTGTGAATGTGATTTCACTCATGATTTGGCTCTCCGTTTGTCTGTTATTGGTGCATAAGAATGCTTGTGATTTTTGCACATTGATTTTCTATCCTGAGACTTTGCTGAAGTTGCTTATCAGATTAAGGAGATTTGGGGCTGAGACGATGGGGTTTTCTAAATATACAATCATGTAATGTGCAAACAGGGACAATTTGACTTCCTCTTTTCCTAATTGAATACCCTTTATTTCCTTCTCCTGCCTGATTGCCCTGGCCAGAACTTCTAACACTATGTTGAATAGGAGTGGTGAGAGAGGGCATCCCTGTCTTGTGCCAGTTTTCAAAGGGAATGCTTCCAGTTTTTGCCCATTCAGTATGATATTGGCTGTGGGTTTGTCATAAATAGCTCTTATTATTTTGAGATACTTCCCATCAATACCTAATTTATTGAGAGTTTTTAGCTTGAAGGGCGTTGAATTTTGTTGAAGGACTTTTGTCCATCTATTGAGATAATCATGTGGTTTTTGTCTTTGTTTCTGTTTATATGCTGGATTACGTTTATTGATTTGTGTATGTTGAACCAGCCTTGCATCCCAGGGATGAAGCCCACTTGATTGTGATGAGTTAGTGTTTTGATGTGCTGCTGGATTCAGTTTGCCAGTAGTTTATTAAGGATATTTGCATCGATGTTCATTAGGGATATTGGTCTAAAATTCTCTTTTTTTGTTGTGCCTCTGGAAGGCTTTGGTATCAGGATGATGCTGACCTCATAAAATGAGTTATTTTGAGCCTATATGTGTCTATGTGAGATGGGTCTCCTGAATACAGGACATTGATGGATCTTGATTCTTTATCTAATTTGCCAGTCTGTGTCTTTTAATTGGAGCATTTAGCCCATTTACATTTACGGCTAAGATTGTTATGTGTGAATTTAATCCTGTCATTATGATGTTAGCTGGGTATTTTGCTCATTAGTTGATTCGTTTCTTCCTAGCATTGATGGTCTTTACAATTTGCCATGTTTTTGCAGTAGCTGGTACTGGTTGTTCCTTTCCATGTTTAGTGCTTCCTTCAGGAGCTGTTGTAGGGCAGGCTTGGTGGTGACAAAATATCTCAGCATTTGCCTTTCTGTAAAGGATTTTAGTTCTCTTTCACTTATGAAGCTTAGTTTGGCTGGATATGAAATTGTGGGTTGAAAATTCTTTTCTTTAAGATTGTTCAATATTAGCCCCCACTCTCTTATGGCTTATAGAGTTTCTGTTGAGATATCCACTGTTAGTCTCATATGCTTCCCTTTGTGGGGAACCTGACCTTTCTCTCTGGCTGCCATTAACATTTTTTCCTTCATTTCAACTTTGGTGAATCTGATAATTATGTGTCCTGGACTTGCTCTTCTCGAGGAGTATCTTTGTGACACTCTCTGTATTTCCTGAATTTGAATGTTGGCCTGCCTTGCTAGGTTGGGGAAGTTCTCCTGGATAATATCCTGCAGAGTGTTTTCCAACTTGGTTCCATTCTCCCTGTCACTTTCAGGTACACCCATCAGACGGAGATTTGGTCTTTTCACCTAGTACCATATTTCTTGGAGGCTTTGTTCATTGCTTTTTACTGTTTTTTCTCTAAACTTCTCTTCTCACTTCATTTCATTCATTTGATCTTCAATCACTGATACCCTTTCTTCCAGTTGATCGAATCAGCTACTGAAGCTTTTGCATTCGTCACGTAGTTCTCTTGCCATGTTTTTCTGCTCCATCAGGTCATTTAAGGACTTCTCTACATTGGTTATTCTAGTTAGCCATTCGTCTAATCTTCTTTCAGGGTTTTTAGCTTCTTTGCCATGGGTTGGAACTTCCTCCTTTAGCTCGGATAAGTTTGATCATCTGAAGCCTTCTTCTCTCAACTAGGCAAAGTCATTCTATGTCCAGCTTTCTTCTGTTGCTGTTGAGGAGCTGCATTCCTTTGGAGTGGGAGAGGCACTCTGATTTTTAGAATTTTCAGCTTTTCTGCTCTGATTTTTCCCCATCTTTGTGGTTTTATCTACCTTTGGTCTTTGATAATGGTGACGTACAGATAGGGTTTTGGTGTGGATGTTCTTTCTGTTTGTTAGTTTTCTTTCTAACAGTCAAGACTCTCAGCTGCAGGTCTGTTGGAGTTTGCTGGAGGTCCACTCCAGACCCTGTTTGCCTGGGTATCAGCAGTGGAGGCTGCAGAACAGCAAATATTGCTGAACAGCAAATGTGCTGCCTGATCGTTCCTCTGGAAGCTTTGTCTCAGAGGGGTACCTGGCCATGTGAGGTGTCAGTCTACCCCTACTGGGGGATTCCTCCCAGTTAGGCTACTTGGGGGTCAGGGACCCACTTGAGGAGGTAGTCTGTCCGTTCTCAGATCTCATACTCTGTGCTGGGAGAACCACCACTCTCTTCAAAGCTGTCAGACAGGGACATTTCAGTCTGCTGATGTTTCTGCTGCCTTTTTCTTGGCTATGCCATGCCCCCAGAGGTGGAGTCTACAGAGGCAGGCAGGCCTCCTTGAGCTGCGGTGGGCTCCAGGGTGCTTTGTTTACCTACTCAAGCCTCAGCAATGGCAGATGCCCTTCCCCCAGCCTCGCTGCTGCCTTGCAGTGCAATCTCAGACTGCTGTGCTAGCAATGAGTGAGTCTCCCTGGGTGTGGGTCCCTCTGAGCCAGGCACAGGATATAATCTCCTGGTGTGCCATTTGCTAAGACCATTGGAAAAGTGCAGTATTAGGGTGGGAGTGACCCGATTTTCCAGGTGCTGTCTCTAACAGCTTCCCTTGGCTAGGAAAGGGAATTCCCTGACCCATTGCACTTCCTGGGTGAGGTGATATCTCGCCCTGCTTTGGCTCATGCTCGGTGGGCTGCACCCACTGTCCTGCACCCACTGTCTGACAAGCCCCAGTGAGATGAAGCCCTCAGTTAGTACCTCAGTTAGAAAATTCAGAAATCACCCATCTTCTGCGTCACTCACGCTGTGAGCTATAGAATGGAGCAGTTCCTATTCGCCCATCTTGGAACTGCCCCCCAACATTTCTTTTCTGAATCAATTAGCTGGTAAAATCCTGGGTAGACCCCTCCCCATACTCTTTTAAAAAATTGTAAATTACTCATAACACAAAACTTACTGTTTAACCATATTTAAGCGTACAACGCAGTGGTTTGTGATCATTCACAATGCTGTATAAGCATCACCACTACCCATTTCCAGAACGTTTTTGTCATACTAAACAGAAACTATATCTATTAAACCACAATTACTCATTCCCTCTGTCCCTAGCCCGTGGCTAGGGATATATACACAAAATAACTTTTATTTTACTTTATGTCTTTAGGAGTTTGCCAATACTAGGTACTTCATATAAATGGAATTCTATGATATTTGTCCCTTTAGGCCTGGCTTATTTCACTTAGCATAATGTTTTTGAGGTTTGCCTATGTTGTATCATGTGTCAGAATTACATTTCATAACTAAAATAATTTTCCATTATATATGGGAAATAAGTTTAAAGTCCACTGAAGAGAAATAATAAATTTGTGAATGACAGTTAGTAAATATCAGTAGCACACAGTCAGTGGTCACTGGGAAGACTATAGAAAAGCAGTTATAATAAATAATGTGTAAAAAAGCAAAATATATAACTTGTCCATGTCTACCCAAAGTATGTATGCATGTGGACAAGGTCTTGAAGGGAATAAGTAAACATGAAAGTTGTTTTTGGGTGGCAAAATTATGTGTGATTTCCTTCTTATTTCAGAATTTTCTTTTGTACCATTGACATGTTTTTATTTTTATGCAAGATTGAAAAAAACATGGAAGGCACTAGAACCATAAAGATGAGAATTATGAAAACAGAATAAATGCTATTTTTCTGTATTTTTCTTTTTTCCCAGTAGTCCCATCAGCTATCAAGTTTCCCCTCTTTTAAGGGGAAGAAAAAAGCTCCCTATGTATCATGATTCTTTACATGCCTAATCCTGTCACCCACAGCCATCAACAAAGAATGCAAGGCAGATTATTCGAAAGAGAATAGCAGTTGACATCCCATAGTGCCAAACCTGTGTTTAGACAAAAAAGACTTTACTGAGAGCCCTCATTTTTAAATGTACTTCAATGCATTGTTGTTCAACTGGAATGTTCCACTCTAAGTTATCTTTAGTAAGATTTTGCCATTTCTGTAAGACTTTGCTGCCTCCGAGGCCTAATGTATAAGCCAGAAGGAACTCAGTTTTCCTGAAATTAAGGATTCAATTTTTACCTCTAAATACTGGCTTTACTCTCAGGCTCTCTTGATTAACTTAGCCAATGATTTTTTTCCTCCCTAGGTGCACACACACACACACACACACACACACACAAAACAAAGGGGGTAGAATACAAAAATCCCAGCGAATTGTCAAAAGTTAAATTTTATAACTCCTGTAAATTGCTGCTTACTACCAGTTTCTTTCTGACTGAGTGAGACATAAATGGCATCTAACTGGATCCAAGCCAGTTAATTCCCAGATCAAATCCGTTCCTAGACCCAGTCCATTTTCTGTTGCAACTCCAAACCCAGTTTGGATCAGAAATTTGCTCAAAGAAACTCAGCTCCAAACACAAATGTGTGAAGCTCCAAAATGTGAGATTAAGCTTACCTGTGATTCTCAGCCACTCTGAGAGATCAATGGACACAAGTGGATCCTGCAGGTACCTTCCATGTTTACTAAGTGCTCCTGGGTATACTAGAAACTCCACTTCGGATTTGCTTCTGACATAATCTGATAAAATAAAAACTTCAGCTGAATTAAATTTAAAGGAATATAATTGAGCAATGAACAATTTGTGAATCCGGCAGCCTTCAGAATCACAGCAGATTCACAGAGCCTCCCGGGGTGCCTCATGGTCAAAACGAATTTATAGACCAAAAAAGGTAAAGTGACGTACAGAAACAGGAAGTGAGGTACAGACACAGTGAGATTGGTAACAACTGGGCATTTGCTTTATTTGAACACAGTTTGAACATTCAGTAGTCTATGAGTGGCTGAAGTATGGCTGCTGGGATTGGCTAACACTCAAGCATTGTCACAAGTGCACACTACTAAATTAGGTTTTCAATTTTGTCTGACTATTAAGGTAGGTTACAGTTCCCCCATGAGGACTCAAATGCAGAAGTACAGAGTCCTTCTGAGGCCATATTTAGTTTGCTTTAACACTTTGTGGCAAAATTCACTGAAAGGATTGTCTATACATGCTATCTCCAATCCCCCTCCTAAACTTATCTAATTGGGATTTTGCTGCTACCATTCTACTGAAACACTTTTTAAAGCCTATGTTATTAAATCCAAGAGTCAATTATTATTTCTCATCTTAATAGCTCATCCTTTAAAGAACTTTCTTCACTTCTTTCCAAGAAAACACACTCTCTTGGTCTTCTTTTAGCTTCACTTGTTACTTCTTCTCAGTCTCCTCTGTGGACCCTTCTTTTCTCCCCAATTTCTTCATTTTGGATCACCTCTGAGTTCAATAATTGGCCCTCATTTTTATCCACACTTACTCCCTGGTTATCCCATCTGATCCCATGCCTTTAATATCAATCTACCTGCCAATGACTAATACATTTATATTATTACTCAAACTCATTTCCAAACTCAAAACATATTTATCTAATGGCCTGTTTGACATCTCCTGGATTCCCTCCAGTAGCCATCTCAAACTCATTATGTCTCAGATCGAACTCCTTATCCACCCTCTCCACCCAGCCTGCTTTACCTGTAGTCTTTCTCAACTTAGTTGATGGCAACTCCATCTTTTCCCTTGTTCAAATGAAAACATTTGGAGTTATTCTTAAGTATCTTTTCCCCTCCCACTTTACATCCAATCCATTATGACATCCTGATAATTCTGGTTGGAGGAAAATTCTTCATGACCTCTCACATTTCTGCATATCTTATGAGCAGAGACTTTGACAGTCTTTGCTCCTGACTAGCTTTTCAAGGATGTTTGTAAAGAGGACAGCTTGGAAGCTAGAGATACTGTTTTCTTCTGAAGCAGAGGGCAGGTTTGCTTACTGTTAAGTATAAAAAAGATAATGTCTTCCTCTGGAGCAAAGTTCAGATAGGTTTGCTTGCAGTTCATTATAAAACATACGTGTTCCCTAAATTCAGGGTTCCTTGGCTGCAACACACAACTATTGCATTTGCAACATTAATCTGCTGTTCTGTATTACCTCTGCAGGACTTATGGAGCAAGGATGACTGACACAAACACAAAAATCATTCTGCCTGTTGAATGAATCATAAAATACTGTCTTTGATCCAGGAGGCTTGTGTCATCTGCCAGCATTTATGAAACTGTGCTCCAAGTAGGGTAAGCTTTTAGATACTTCAGAGTTCCTGGCAGTCTTTTCTGGATGGAGAATGTCTTTAGTCTTTTCTCAATGGAAAAACAGAATGCTCCTTTTAAAACAAAAGCCAGATTTTGTTATTCCTTTGTGCAACCCCTGCTACTGCAGGGGTAACACCCAGTCTCATTCAGAGAGACACAAATTCCTTGTAACAGCCCCTCTAAGTTCTCCATGACTTAGACCCCAGTCACCTCCCTGACATCCCTGAGTGGGAGGCACCTGGCGGTTTCGCGCTTTCCCCGCGTTTTGTTTGCGTCAGAGCAGCGCGCTGGCGGGAGCTGCAGGGCAAATATCCCGCCCCGGTGCTTTGGTGTGTGGCACTTGCTGCCATTCTGCCGCTGTGGGGTGAGCGGCGGTGGCGGGACTAGCACCCAGGCGGGATCCGTTGGCAGCAGCAGAGAGAGCTCAATCCTGATGATGCAGAAGCCCAGACTCCAGCCTACTGCAAGTTCCAGAGCAGGCTGTACCCACGCCTGCGTGAGGGCTAGAGGGACTTGGCCTGCTCCGCAAATGATCCAACTTCCCGGACGGGCTGGTGAACACAGACAATGCCAGCCTGGATAAGGAAGCGGCCAGCACTGCTTAGGCATTGTTCTCAGGACGCGCATTACTGAGTGTGGAACTTTACCCTCCTGATGAAGACGCCAGAGTTGGGTATCCCCAAAGTGATGATCAAAGAAGTGCTTTGCATGGGGCTTGAGAAAACATCTTACTGTTTAAGAACAGAACGTCTTACTATCTAAGAACCTGAATAGAAGGAGATGCTTTCAGTATTGGGTGTTTGAAAAGTTGGTCAAAGAAGGGGAGACGATGGTTGATTAAGGGGGGGATGGTGACAATTATTTTGTAACTCATAGAAGGACAGATGTTGATGTAAAAGTTGATGGTTTTGGTGGAATAATCAAGAGCATGTTTCTGAAATTAATGTAAAATATAGAGAGACCCCTGAAATCACTGCTTAAATTACACGGGTGTTGTGGTGCTTGGAAAGAGAAAACTTTGGAAGTATAATTGTAAAAATAATATTATACAGAAAAACAGAAGAGAAAACTTAAGGACAGCTTTCTCAAATCGCTGTTATTCTTGAATCATCTGAAAGCAGTATAAGTGACTGGCACCAATATACATCGGAGAGTAAATCATTGCACAAGGAAACTTGATTTTCTTTTCATTATAGAATCTGGAGAAAAAAAGCTATGAAGAGCAAGAGGTGGTAGAGAATGGTGTTGTTGAAATTGCCTGACATCACTGGAGATAATTTGCCCTGGAAAGAAGCACTCCTTAGGGAGGAGCATCTGCACATTCCATTAGCATAAAGCACCTGGTCAGCCATATGAAGAAGTCTGGATTTTGTTTTAAATGTGAAATTTATTTTAAATGGAGGATTTGAAACAAGGGAGTAATATAACCTGACATATTTTAAAAAATCACTCTGGCAGCTGCGTGGGGGACAAACTCTGGGAGGACAAGAGGAGATGTGGAAGGGAGAAGGCGGCTAAGAGTCTGTCCCAGGATTGCAAAGATTTCGGAGCCCGGCCTCAGGTGGTAATGGTGGAGGTGTTAGAAATGGCTGGATTCCACATATATTTTGAAAGGCCAGCACATGGAATTTGCTTATGGATGTTCCATAAATAAGAGAAAAAGAGGGCTCAGTGATGATTCCTGGGCTTTTGACTTAAGCAACTAGAAGGATAAAGTCTCCATTAACTGATATGGGGAAGACTGAGGAAGGAGACGCTGTGTATGCCAGGATTGGGCTGTGTGTGTGTGTGTATGTGTGTGTGTATCAGTAATTCTACTTTTGACCTGTTGACTTTGAGATGCTAATCCATGCCAGTTAAAAAATAAGGAGGGAAGTGGACATTCAACACGTGAGGGTGAATGCCCACGGAGCCTTAAGAAGGGGCCAGAGGGTGAATCTGGGAGAGAAGAACATAGATAAAAATAAAAGACACATGGAGGGAGAAAGAGAGGGAAGCTAGGACTTATGATGGTAACAATGTTGTTCATTAACTGAGAAGTCTTTTTTTTTTTTTTTTTTGAGACAGGGTCTTGCTCTATTGCCCAGGCTGGAGTGCAGTGGCATGATCTCAGTTCACTGCAACCTCCACCTCCTGGGTTCAAGCGATTCTCATGCCTCAGCCTCCTGAGCAGCTGGTATTACAGGTGCTTGCCACCATGCCTGGCTAATTTTTGTGTTTTTGGTAGGGATGGGATTTCACCATGTTGGCCAGGCTAGGGTCAAACTCCTGACTTCAGGTGCTCTGCCCGCCTCAGCCTCCCAAAGTGCTGGGATTACAGATGTGAGCCACCATGCCAGGCCTGAGAAATTGCCAAGACCAGCTCAGTCGTGGATACCCTAACCCAGTCGCACTAGAGGAATTAAAGACACACACACAGAAATACAGTGTGTGGAGTGGGAATCAGGGGTCTCACAGCCTTCAGAGCTGAGAGCCTCAAACAGAGACTTACCCATATATTTATTGACAGCAAGCCAGTGATAAACATTGTTTCTATAGATTATAGATTATAGATTAACTAAAAGTATTCCTTGCAGAAAACAAAGGAATGTGCCAAAACAGAGGGATGGGCTCTGGCTAGTTATCTGCAGTAGGAACATTTCCTTAAGGCACAGATGGCTTATGCTATTGCTTGTGGCTTAGGAACGCCTTTAAGCAGTTTTCCTCCCTGGGTGGGCCAGGTGTTCCTTGCCCTCATTCCAGTAAACCCACAACCCTCAGCGTGGACTTCATGGCCATCACGAACATGTCACGGTGCTGCAGAGATTTTGTTTATGGCCAGTTTTGGGGCCAGATTATGGCCAGATTTGGGGGCCTGTCCCTAAAAAGAAATGTAATTAAAGTACAGAGAAAATTAAAAGGGAGAAGAAAGTTCGTGGAGAGATATCAGAGCAAATGATAACTACAAAAGTCTGCCTTGTTTCCCAGACCCCTTGTCTCTTAGGTGCCCTATATTTTACCTCCCAGTGAACCAGTCTTGCCCCTTTGTAATGGCACTCCAAGCAGCACTGCCACACACCCAATTCCAGAACTTCCCTGCTCCTTGAGCCTAGGAATAGTCATGCTTCTAATTCCTCTTTACTTGCTCATCACTGGAGTAGCAACTGAACCACACGATTAGAATAAGTAACATGATGTCATTTTTGGTAGCAATCTTCCATTTCTTCCTTATGTATAAAATTGAACCTCACAGAGAAACTAACTGCCTAGAGCTATGGGTCCAGAGTAGAGCTCTAGCTTTGCGTTTCTCTTTGCAGCTGTGCTCTGAGAGATTTGATGCAATCCCACTGCAATTTGACATCAGCGACAGCGTAGGGGTGCTCAGGGAATCTTTTGAGCCACCAACGAAGCCTCACTTCCAGCTAATACTTATATGGGGCTGTGGAAGTTGTCTCACATTCCTGGGGACAGTGTTTGCCCTGAAAAGGAACGTTCACTTGCCACAAAGCATCTTGTTGGCTGGATTTGATTATAATGTGACAAGAATTCTTTTGGCCACATAACTGGTGGTTGGGTCATTTTGTGTTTTTCAAACCAATAAGAAGAAAAGGCCTCTTACATGGTCAGGAGAGGTGGGAATGGATGAAGCACTAAGGTCAGGTCTGGTGAAGTTAGGGAATAAGGCCAGCATTTATGGAAAGTGATTTCCCCATGAACTCCTAAAAGATGCTCCTGAACCCTAACAGTAGGCTGATGTCTGTATTTAGAGTTGCAAACAACATGTTCTGGGAATACAGAGGAAGGCACCACTGCCTCTAACTTGCGAGTATATCACAGAGAAAGATTTATATTTGGGCTTGATGGATGAGAGATGAGTAGGAGTTTGATAGAAGAGAAGAAGGGAACCATCTGGATGTACAATGGAAGAAGTGGCAGGAAGGGCTAAGGAGAATTGGCTTCTGGGGATGGGTTAGAGATAAGGGCCTGGGCACCACATTATGGAGCTTGCAATGGGGTATGTAAAAGCTTATATGGGATGCTCGTTTTCTCTCCTCCCATGGGTTCATAGAGGGCTCACCTCACTCACTCTTGCTAACAAGCTGCCCTCATTTTAGAGAGAGCTGGAGTGGGGTCTCTAACCCTCCAGCAACAGCTTAGGAGCCAGACTTGAAGCCCTGACAGCCAACACTTTCCATATAGACCCTGTTGTCCATCCTATCTTAGGAAGACAATGCACTCAAGAGGAAGGTAACATCTACCTTCGGACTCCAGAGGCTCCAAGGAGCCTCTCTCTCTCTTCAAGACAGGCTTCACCTCCACCTTCATACAGTGGTACTGGGAGATGAACAGGGGTAGGGCGATCAAGATTTAGTTCAACCTGTAGTTCCAGTCGGGTGGTGCTTGGTAGTTGACTCATTTTGGTCCCATTTGATATTTGCAGCCACCTGCTGGGATAGGTGTAACTGTTGCTCCTATTTCACAGATTAGGACAGGATAGTTTGCTAGAGGTCAGAGGACGAGTTGCGGGAGGGAATGGTTGTCAGTTAGGTTTTTAACCTTAGAGCCTCATGTTTTCTTAGGATCTTGCAGGGAGACCTTGGGCAAATTCCTTTTCCTCTTGGGGGGTCTTCATTACCTTTTTGTAAGTTAAAGAGTTCTGCCAGTTTGTGATTCTCTGTACTTTAATGTTCAAACTTATCACTTGGATAGGTTTTTTAAAATGGGGATTCTGGGTACCCCCAATATATTTAATTTCTCTGGGGTGAGGCCGAGATTCATCTTCGCTGAGCTACATCTGTAGAGATTCTGTTTTGATACCATTGGTTGGACTGTGGCTCGGTAATTTGCATTTCTCCAAAGTGAGTCCAGTCAGCTGGTCAACCGCCCCGCCTGTCTCTCTGTGACCCCTTCCGGGCGTCCGCTCTGCTTCTGTACTTGCATCCTGTGGGAATGAGATTGGCGCAAGCAGCCCTCTTTTAGTACCGCCGGGGGCACGCTAGCCAAGCCTTTAAAAACCACGCCGAGCCCTCGGTTTGCAGGTATTCAGGGCAAGCTAAGGCGCGTTTCCGCGTTTGGTATGTTCCCGAGTGCGGCCAGCAGATGACGAGAGAGAACTAGCCAGCAGAATAGGAAGGGGCAAGGAGGCCAGGAAGAAAAGTGGCGGGTGAAGATTGACATTCACTAAAACCAATGGTAGCTTCCGTTCTCCGACTCCCAAGCTTACCTTAATGGTTGACATCCATTAAGGCCAATGGTAGCTTCCGTTCTGTGACTCCCAAACTTCCCATTCTCTTAAGAGGCTGCGTTTGTGGCGCTAAATGGAAGGATGGGCGTGGGGACATGTGCTGGGACATGTGCTCGCTGAAGATACACCTGTTAGTCCAAGGTTGCTGCTGCTCCTAGTGGCTCAACCCTCTTTGACAATTAACCTTCCTCTCAGTTTATTAAGGCTGCCTCAGCTGTGTCTAGGCAAACCTACCCCCCATCACGCTGGGTTTTTGGAGTTTTTTAAAGCGTCGCGGGGTAAAGCCAGCATTACACTTTTCGTTTTCTTAGCAGATAACTATTTCTGGTGCTAACAGCGGGGAGCTGCCGGGCGGGAGTAGGGGTGAAGAGAGAATAGGGTGAGAGATAACAGGTGTGAAGCGTCCCTTAATGCCAGGCATCCTGCTTTGGCACTTTTTATAGGTTTGTCTCAATTATCTTTTTATTTAATTCATTTTCTGTTTCACAGATTATGAAACTTCAAGTAAATTGCCCAAGGACAGCCCTTGAATAATTTTAACTTCTGTCAAACGGCAAAGCCTAAGGTCTTTTATCTTGCAGAGGCTGCTTTGTCAGGATTTCAATGCATGCAGGTCCTGCGAATCGCTGTTCCTCACTCACTGATCCATCTCGCTGTCCACGCATTCATTCACCCATTCATTTCTTAGGAGCTCATCTGCAAGGTGTGGGGCTAGTTGCTACTAAAAATAAAAAAGAAAAGGGACTCTGCTATAAAGTAGAAGAGATTTTTTTTTGAAAGATTTACACAGAATTCCGGTGCTCAGCATGGTTTCGATCTTTCCCCCCAACATACTACTGATACTTATTATGTTCCACATAATATGATGGATTCTGAAGATACAGAGATGGGTGAGATGTATCCTTGCCTATCAGGAGCTCCTTGCCATAGGCAAGAGTAATCTATGAGCTTTAATTTTACATACCTAATTTTTAACGATTTGAGCATCAACTATATATATATATATAGTTTTGAAATTAACATATTAAATAAATATCAGGCACATTTAATTTCTTATTTTTTAGATGAAGGTGAATCTAACTGGTGGTTCAAGTATGTTCTTTGTTCACCCTAGTGGACCATCTTGGGTGCTTCCTGGAGTGCTTCCTCAGACTGCAACCCTACCCCCCTGGTATGTGCTTGGCTCTCTTCATTCTGCAGCACTCTGTCAAATGCCAGGCTTTTAGGGAGGCCTGTTCTGACCCCTTCCTGTTTCCTCTCCCTTTTATCTTCTCCTATCTGGAGGCTCTTTTCCTATTTATTTGTTGTTCTTTCTCCCTCCATCATCTTCTCTTCCTGAATCCTGTGTTGTTTTTTCATATACTACATCTCAGTATGTAGGAAATATGTTTACTGGGTTTTTTTTTTCAAATTTTTTTTCAGTTTCTCTCTCCCTGCTCCAGAATGTAAGCTTCAAGAGGGGCAGTGAAGAGTTCTTAACACCCCTCACTGACTGAGAAACAGTTGGGGATCGAGGGAGACAGCTTTGCCTGGTACATCCTGAAATCCCCTGAGGTGGGGGAGGAAGTTGAGGGATCAGGAAACGTCCATTCATTTTATGAACTTGAAGTTGGGTTAAACACTATTGTCTTCTGTGACATTTGTTGTTAATCTCAACCTGAAACCCTCATCGCTAGTCATCCACTTCTTACTAGCTTTGTGACCTTGAATGAAGGTTCAAGTTTCCCTTCTTTCTTTGCACCTCAGTTTCCTTATGTATTAAGAGAAAAAAATTAAATTTGTTAAGCCTAAAATGTGGGGTCATAGGGCATCAATCCCCTGAGGGTAAAAGAAAAATATTTGTGGATATATAAGACTTCAGAAGTTATATTCTTGTGAGGATCAAAGAAAGGTATTTGTGAATTTGAGAGTCTTCAGCTATCATATAAGTAGCATAATTACACACAGAAAATATTGGAGAAAGAATTTTAACAAATCAAATGGGAACAGAGATCTCAAATAGGAGCAGATAAAAAGGAGAAGAAACAGTGGTGAGCCAAAAAAAATCTGACAAATTTTATGTAGACAGTTAACTCTGAATGGACAATGATAGACTCTACAGGAATGTGTATAAAAGTTTTAAAGAAGAATTCTTTAAATAGAAGCGACACACCACAAGGAAAATTCTATGACACCTGGAAATAAAACATCCAGGGATTGGGCTCAGGGGGATGAGGGGTAAAGAAATAAAAGCATTTTGTATCACTTAGCACACTCATCTGGATGGGAGGAGGGAGCAAAACAGGGAAATGAATCTATTGGAAGATGTCATCTCATTGAGGTATGGGAGAAAAAGTGGAATAGCTGGCACTTTATTTTATATAATAGTAAAGAAATTTGTGCTCAATTATGAGCAATAGAAGCATATACTAGTGGTTGAATAAAAAGTTAATAAGGGAATATGATGGATAAGTCAGTTAATAAGAGAACTTGGTGGATAAGTGAATTAATAAGAGTCCACAGTGGAGGCAATTTCCCTGTTTATAAAATGTTATCTTTTGAATATACACAGGATATACTTTTCGAAATAAAAAAATATATATAGGGGAAACAATTTTCACTCATCCTCTAGACACCCAGTACTTTTCCAGAGATAATCCGTTGCTATACAAGCATAATTCCTTTTCAATATATTTTTCTAGCAACTAAGAAATTCAGGATTTGTAATTCTAATAAAAAGAGTGCTGATCTGGGCTGAAATGAAAAGTTTTACCTTAGATATATGTCTCATAAATAGTTTTTATAAAGTCAGGGAATATCCTTAAAAAGCAATTACCAAGGCTGTACAACACATGAGTTTGAAGGCACAGGGAGATTAAGATTTAGAATAAATTTAAGTGAGATCTAGGGCCAAAGAATAGCAGGGTGGTGTTTGTGTGTGTGTGTGTGTGTGTGTGTTGGTTGGGGCAGGTGGGAGGCTTTGGAGTTTGCCTGTAGACTGCTATCATCTCTAGGCCTTGGTAAGTCCTTGCAAAGACACACAGTTCTGAAAGGTTGGCACCGGTGTAGGTTTTTAAATATTTTTGTTATCCACAGGGTGACCCTGGACACCGTTACAAAAATTTAAAAATTTCACCCCTAGGCACACAGATTACCCTTCTCGTGGTGGCATGGCAAGGCTTGATTTGCAAGAGTTTCTTTTGGACTGTCGTTAATTTTTCCCTTTAAAAACAGGAGCTCCTTCATGGTGACAAAGGAAGGAGGAAATCATCCCTTCTAACCTACTTTGTCGTCTTCATTCCAAGAACTCTAGAATGGCACAGCACGTTTGGTTTTGAAACCTGTGGAATTTTAGTGCTGTCCATTCTCCCAAGTGTATGCCTTTAGTGAAGGTAAAAGGAAAGACTGTTTTCTGTGTCAAGGGAAGATTCATATGCAAATCCCAAGACTCAGATGTTATTTCAGAAGAGTTGGTGTCCATAGTAAAGTAGAACTGGCCCAGGCTTATCTGCCTGAAAGGGCAACTGTTTGAGGTAGAGGGAACTGGCAGAATAGGAGGGGTGGAATCTTCCTGGGAGAAAGTAAAAAGAATTCTAGGTGGAGAGGAGATCAAGATGTGAACCAAACACATGTCTTCTAAATTACTATAGGAAATGTTGGAAAGGACTTTAGAACAAACAATAAATATGTCATAGGAGGAAAACAAAGAGAAGTCTTTGGGCCAGAAATAGAAACTGTTAAAAACAAAACAACAACAACAAAACATAAAAATAAAAAAAAAAACCTTTAAGTTTGAAAATGACAGAAGTTAAGAAGTGGAAAGTTGCATGGGATATGCTTTCATTGCGGCCTCTCTGATAAACCATTCCCCAGTCCATCTTTGTATCCTTGCTTGTCCTAAGCAGCATGGTAGCAGCCGTGGCATTCATCAGGCTAAAGTGGTCATTTTTGGCACTTGGGCTAGAGATGGCAGTGAAGCAGAATCATTTGGGTAAATGCCAGAGGCTTTTTGTCTCACAATAAGGAAATTGAAGATGTAGACACAGAAGGAGTGGATTTAAGAGTGGAAGGTTAATAGGCAAAAGAAAGAAGAGAGAGTTCCCTGTGCATTGGAAGGGTGCCTGAGCGGGTTTCTGGGTTTGGGGCAAGTTGCGGCTGGTTTTATAGATGAGCTTGAGGAGCCAGTGTCTGATTTACACAGGGCTCAGAGGGTTGGTTGGACCAGGTGTGAATGCACGAAGAGGCTGGCCATCCCATCCTAATCTTTTATTATGCAGATGGGGTCTCTATCTGGCCAGCGCCATGTTGCCTGAACACTTGAAGACAAAGAAAAGGGAAGAAGAGGCAGGGCGCCGTAGCTCACGCCTGTAATCACCGCACTTTCTGAGGGCGAGGAGGGTGGATCACGAGGTCAGGAGTTCAAGACCAGCTTGGCCAAGATGGTGAAACCTCGTCTCCACTAAAAAAAATACAAAAAAAAAAAAATTTAGCCGGGCCTGTTGGTGGGCTCCTGAAATCCCAGCCACTCAGGAGGCTGAGGTAGAGAGCTGCTTGAACCCGGGAGGCAGAGGGTGCAGTGAGCCGACATCGCCCCACTCCACTCCAGCATGGGCAACAGAGCGAGACTCCGTCAAAAAAAAAAAAAAAAAAAAAAAGAAGAGGACACCTCCATGTTGAACATGCGAGTATGCCTGGCTTCCAAGTATCCCTTTTCTATTGGCATAGGTGCCGGCATTCCCCTTTGCAAGTTTTAGCTTGCTTATCTATGCTTGCAGCTGATTTTTCAGGCTGATTGTTGTTAGAAAACAAAATTAGATGGGGGCTGCTTTTTTATTAAAAGGAAAACCTTACCAACGACTCCCTTACCCACACTAACTGCCTAAATAATTGATTTTTTTAGCTCCTGTATCAGCAGTGCTTGCCCCTGATAGATGATGATCATGGGGGGACCAGGAGCCTCTAGACTTAGAGAACTTTCCCCACCCTCCCTGTGGAGTGTTTCCCTCCCCAGCACCCCCTGCTGGTCAGTTTGACAAACAGATGAACAGAAGTTCTCAAATACACAGTAAGCAGATAACCCCAACATCACCAGAAATATCAACTTGTGATGGCATTTTGTCAAGTTGTCTTTGTTATCGGCATCATCTGTTGCTTTCTGAGGGAAGTATTTTGAGTTCTCCTACTGAGACTGTGGATTTGCCTATTTCTTTTTGTATGTCAGCTTTTGCCATATGTATTTTGTAGTTGTGTTGTGAGGAAGATTCATGACTTATCTTGTGGGAGAATTCTGTATTTAGCAGATTTTCGTCTTAAGTTCTGTTTTGCTTAGTATTGATGTTATTACTTTGCTTTTTCAGTTTCAAAATCATTTAGTATATCTTTTTCCTTTCTTTTAGCCTTTGTGTTTTTATTTCAGATGTGCTTTCTTATGTACTGACTGTGATCCCCAAATTCATATGTTGAAGTCCCAACTCCAAATGTATTTGGAGGTGGGCCTTTCAGACGTAATTGAGTTTAGATGACGTCATGAGGGTGGAGCCCCCATGATGACACTAAGTCCTTCTAAGAAAAGGAAGAGAGTCTGAGCCCTCCTCTACACCATGTGAGGGCACAGAGAGAGAGCAGCCATCAACAAGCTGAGAGAGGAGGACTGAGAATGAAACCTACCTCGCCAGAACCTTGTCATATCCCTTCCCGGTTTCCAAACGAGTGAGAAATCAATTTCTGTTGTGTAAGCTACTCAGTGTATGAAACTTTGTTATGGCAGCCAGAGCAGATTAATGCATGCTTCTTGGACTTTGTTTTTAACTCAATATGAAAAACATATGTTTTAATAAAAAAATTACCCCATTCATCTGTATTGTGTTTACTGATAATTTTGGACTTATTTTTGCCATATTTAAGAAATCCTCCTTCCTCTTTCCCATGCTTTCTTGTGTTTTTTTAATCCAAGTGGATGATAAGGTTTGGGAATCACTATCGTAACAGGACCATGAAGGGCTAGATAAGGGAAGCTGGCTTGCATTCAGGGAAGGGGCAGAGGAGGGAAGCTGCCAGCTGGGCTGAGCTAAGATGACCTGAGCTTACAGACCCTGGATGAGCATCCTCTTCTGGATACAGGACCTGCCCGAGGCACCATTTTGAAATAGGCAAATTTTATTTGCTTTGTCTTCTTTCATCATCTTTATTAGCTTTTGCATCTTGAGTGAAAAATATAGCTGTTTTCATATTACCCCAAGTTCCCGAGTTTATTTTTTATGTAAGAATGTTCCAACCTTTGAAATCCCAAATGACATGTTTCCTCTCTTTCTCAGACCATGCTTTCATTTCAGTCAATGTAACAAATCAGCCAGGTCTTAGGAGTTTAGAAATCTGATTGGATTGATTCATACTAAGCGGTAACAGATCTACCACAGCCTTCTAAGATGAAGTTTTTTAAAAATGCTCCATGACCTACACAATTCTTTAATTGCTGGAATTGCACACTTTAAAATCGCATCAAATATAAACATTCAATTTTGTGGAAGTTTTGTTTTTTATGGAGAGATGAAAATAGGTGTTTCTTAATACTGGCAGACTTTACTTCCAAAGCCAATTCTATTAAAGTATCTTTTCTGCTTCAAATCTAGACTATCAGAAAGAATGAAAATGCCAATTATTTATTTTTTTTATTTTTTATTTTGCTATAGCTGCAATGTTCACAGTAATCCAAGTTCCAATGGCAGGGTGGCAGAGTGGAACCAAAAGAGGCCAAGTTTTGTTGGTGAAGTATAATTATTTTTTAAGATCAGGGATTCAGAATTGTAGTATCAGTGTTCAGTTAGGAAGTTCTTATGATAGTGCATGGCACATGTCCTTTCCATCATCTGCATTTTCTGCTTTTTTTGTCTGGCTCACTTCTACTCACTCTCTAATCCTCACCTTAGTGGTCACTTCTCCCCGGAATGTCCCTGACCCCTTATGATAGCAGTAGTGCAAACACCAAAGGCTGAACTTACAACCAGACTCGCAGGCAACACCTTGCCTTGTGCCATGCTTCAATCATGAAGAGGATGTGAGAAAGAGTAGGAGAAAGGAGACACAAAAAATGGCATTTCCATAGCAGAGACCCCCAAGGCCAGTCCATTTGATTCTCTGGATTTCTTTTCTGTACAACAGTGATGGAAGGTAGCCTGGGAAAGCCATTCGTCTCAGGCTTCACCTTGGATACCTTTCTACTCACTGAACTGATTCCATTCTTTAGTGTACCATTGCCTCATAAATCCAGAAATAGCAGGGACATTCATTTTTGATAAAGTATCCATACAGATTAGGTTTATTCTATTGAAAATTTTATTAAAATCCTTCATTTATCTTCCAGATAGTAGATTCTATTAACCAAGTTGCATAAAGAGTTCTGATTCCCAGAGGTAAGAACTGAGCCTGGCTTTCTAGTTACATGTTTACTGGTAACCCCGTCTTTCCCTATAACACTTAAGCATATTTAAAGAATATACCCTCCCCTGCCTCCAGCCAGGATTGTAAGCTCCTCAAGAGCATGGCTGTGTCTTTTAACATCAAGGCTCCAGGTGAGAAGAGTTCCTGCTGTATTATAAGTGCCCAATATGCATTTGTAAGTGAAGAAATCTATTCTGTGGTGTCTGCTTTAATATTAAGAGATGGCTTGGCAGAGATTACTAAGCAGCTTCATTGTCTAAAATGGAACTAGATTCTGTGGGTAGCAAGTCCATTGGTGCCACTCACAGGAGGCCTCAAAGAAACCAAACTGCCCCACAAATCTGCGGGAGTCTTCATTTTCTTCCAACACAGAGATGTAAAATGGAATATTCTTCTGACGCAGATATTTCATGTATCGCACCATCACTCGTGCCATGTTGCCTGTCCTTCGGTATTTTTCCATGCTGTAGGCCATTCCTACTTCACAAGAAGGGTCCATGGTTACCCATGAGACCGGGACTCCCTCTGGGCCGAGCATACAGGCTGCTGGCAGGTCTTCTATGCAGCGCTTGATGTAATGCAGGCTCCTCTCATTCTTCCCTCGCTTCCAGTTGTCATTTACCAGCCCAGAATAAGAGACATCCAGCTGGGCATACTTAAAGTTGGGAGTTTCACTGTAGACAACAAAAAGAAAGACAACAACTTTCATCCCCAATCCTGTAATTTCTAGGTGCCATCCCAATCTAGAGATCCCAGGAACTCTTCTTGTTTAAAGACTCACCATTGCAAAGTTTTGGATCTTGAACTTTGACAACCTTTATTCATCCCAAGGAATGAATTCATCCTCTCTTCATTCCAAAACTGATTTATGTGAATTACAAAAATGTACAAGGAATCGCAATTATAAATGATCAGCACATGTTTTTGTACCTTTCAAATTCATCATCTGGGTGGCCTGTCTCAGCCCAGCTTCCAAGCTTGCTTTTACTGGAGGCATTGAGCTTCAGAATATCTTCCGTAACCAAGAGGAGTGCTCTCGAATGCTCTACTTTCACTGACTTTGAAAATGTAGCCACTCTTATCCCCTCACCTAAACTTTCTTGAAGACCTGGGAAGAAAGCCAAGAAAGCAATCTTGTCAGACATGGAGTTCTCTACTTACACTGCTCCCACCTGATTAATACCTCAGTGCTTAGTAGTTCTCAAACTTGAGTTTACACCACAGTCAGATGGAGTCCTTGTCACACCACAGATTGCTCCACCTCTCCCAGTCCCCAGAGTTTCTGTGAATTTACATTTCTAATGAGCCCTCAGGTGATGCTAATGCTGTTAGTTGAAGACACAATTTGAGAAGCACAGCTGCTTGCCCATTTCTTCAGACTCGTTACCTTGGATTTGGAGTCTCTGTTTCCAGTTTACGATCTCACAATTTTTCAAAACTTCTTCTGATTTTTGAGGCTCTTTGGAGAACATACGATATACGTTTGTGTATGAATCCATGTCATCAGTCATCTCCTGTATTGGATGATATAAGATCAGGTCATTCCCTTGAACTTTTTCTTCACCTCTCACTGGTTGCAATTATCAGAAAAATGAAAGTTCAAAAGAAAATTTTAACAGTGGCCCATGATGGCTGCAGTTGGGCACATCGATAATAAAACCTAGGCCTATAAGCTACCGCTGACCTCTTACCTGTGTAACTGGAGTTTGTTAAATATTTAACACTGACAAGTATTGGTTATAAACCTCCTTATCACATGCAGAACTAAGACAGGATGAAATCAGTCACCCTCCACCAGGCCTTAAGATGCCTCACCTTTCTCCCTACCCACTCAACTGCACACATACCCTATTTTATATATAGCATCACCAAGCACCCAGCAGAATAAAAAAATGCAACAATTGCTTCTCTCCCTGCTTCTCTTACCACCTGTGCCAAACGGATACTCCTGTTATATATACTGTGCCCCAGGTAACCTACTGTGGGACACATTCTGGGTTGTACTGAGTTTGTGTTGTTAAGAGTTAAGTCCTTAAACTTGGCTCAAAATAAATTTAACTGTGATTTCTCTAATTTTTAGTGCCTACTGTTTCACCAGACACCTAGAGTCAATAGTGTCCTAGAATCTACGGTGTCCAGGGCTTGAGCAAGATACTTTAGTGAATATAAACACTAACGAGACCTTGCCTTTTCTCAAGCCTACAGGATATCAGCCTATTTGAAAAGTGACACTGGCTTTACACCCAGAAGCCCACAAAATAGAATGATGTAACTGAATTTTTTGGTAGCTCTCTGGGTAATTTATGTGGTGTTAGACTCTTGGGTTTGAAAGAAAGAGACTCGTGATCCCATTCTGGCATGACAGAAACTTCATTGGAAGATGAGGATGTTTCTCTGGGAAAATATAAACAATAAGTGTGAGCGTTTTAGCAGTGAATGTATTAATATTATGTTGGAAATTGTATTGCTAAAGAGTTAAAGAGAAAATAGTGTAATTAATTTAAAGAAACCTTCAAGAATTTCAGGGTGCTTTTATAAATGCAAGTTCCTGAATATGGTCAAACCCAAAACGTCAGTGAATTTAGAAGAGTAGATGTTTTAAAAGACCTGATTTTAAAAGAATGACCAAAAATAGCCAAGTAAATAGTCAAGGAAATATATAAAAGAATATCAAAGTAAACTAGAAAATAACAAATGGAACAATTTGTAAAAATGAAAGCTATAAATAATGAAATGGAGAACAAGACATAGTGCAAAGGATATATAAAGCCAAAAGTTCATTTTTAAATGGCAAAAACAGAGAGAGAAGAAGAAAGAGAGAGATAAACTTCTGGTAAGGCATTTATTAAAAGAAATACAAGAGAAAGAGAAAAAAGCAAAAAAAAAAAAAAAACAGACTGTAAGCTATGAGAACAGAAACAGAAGAAACAGAGAAAAGAACAAAAGACTTCTAATAGAAGACTACATACTACTCCAAGGCAAGATATTTACTGATAAAAGAAATGGATGTTATCCCTCAAGAATAAACTATCAATATTGACTTGCAAAAAAATAGAAATCCTGAACAAACTAATAGAAAATATCAGAAATGAAATTAAACATCTACCTTTTAAAAAGTAGACAAGAGTTATGGCCTCCAGCTTCAGCCATGTTGCTACAAAGGACATGATTTTATTATTTTCTATTGCTGTGTAGTATTCCATAAAAATATATGTATCAAGTTTTTTTTATCCAGTCTACCTTTGATGATCACCTGGGTTGATTCCCTGTCTTTGCTATTGTGAACTGTGTAGCAATGAACATACAAGTGCATGTGTCATGTTGGTAGAATGATTCATTTTCTTTTGGGTATTTACCTAGTAAAGACATTGCTGGATCGGATGGCAACTCTGTTTTAATTTCTGTAAGAAATTTCCAGACTACTTTCCACAGTGCAATAATCCTAAGCAAATTACTGCTGTAACAGAAAATCAAATATCACATGCTCTCACTCATAACTGGGAGCTAAGCATTGACCACACATGGGCATAAATGTAGGAACAATAGACAGTGTGGACTACCAGAGGGTGGAGTAAAAGGGGCTGGGTTAGAAAACTACCTATTGGGTACTATGCTCACTACCAGGATGATGGAATCTGTCCATACTCCAAGAATCAGCATCATGCAATCTTCCCATGTAACAAATCTGCACATGTACCCCCGTATTTAAAAAGAATGTTGAAATTAAAAAATAAAATGTAGCCAAAATCAGATTATTTTACATTTAAATTCTACATAAGCCAAAAACAAACACATGATTTTAATAGTAGACTTTGGTAACAGATGAAAAGATCCTAATGCCAAATCTGGTAAGGAAATAACAAAAAGAGAGTTATGACAACATTCCCTTATGCATGCAGATACAAAAATTATGAATAAAATATTCAGTAGCATATACAAAAAATGTGAATATGAACAGTTGGTTTTAGAAAGGCCAGGATGGCTTTGATTGGAAGGTCTTTTAGTGTAATAAATTAGAGGAGAAAAAAATTACATGAGTGTATAAATTGCCAAATAGAAAAGACAAAAATTAAATAACATAAAATTTACCCTCCATTCTAAATATAAGTTCTATGAAAGTAGGAGCAACAGGAAAATGCTCTAAACCTGCAAATACAGAATCAAATGTAATTCCAAATGTAAGCTTTTATAGCTATTTAAAATCAGGGATGAGACAAGTATAGAACTATTATTAGTTGGAATTGTTTCCTTAGGTTGCATATTATGCAATAATGCAAGAAACTAAAAACCCATACAAATACTGGCAAAGCAGCAGCAAATTACTTTGTTTGTAGATTACAGTATTACACATTTAGAAAATCCAAGAGACTTCGACAAAAAAACAAAACAAATAATGCCCCACACAAACAGGATTTTAAACAACAGTGGGACATATTTGGAAATCAAGACTACAAACACAAAGCAATAACAAAATAATAATGCTCAGAAATATAACAGGAAAATAATTTAATAATCTTAACAAATAGTATAAAATACCTAAGGGTAAACTTAATGGAAAAATCACTTAGTTTATCACAGGAAAACACTAACATTTTACCAGATGGCATAGAATGCAAACTGAAAAAAAGTGAGAAAAAGACCATATTTCTTGATGAAAAAATTTAGTGTCACAAAAATATTAATTCTTCCAAAATTGTCGAAAAATGGTCCTCCAATACCAATCACAACTCGAATAGTTATTTGGGATAGTTGGTGGGGAACTGGAAGAATTAGTTTATGTTCATATAGCTATTAAGTTTATAAGAAATAGGAAAGTAAAAAAAGATTGGTGAAGGGTGATTTGCTTTATTAGATATTAAAATTTACCACAGAAACAATGAAATAGCATGAGAAAAGACTAGAAAAAATACAGAAACAGATACAAAAATATATAACATGTTATACGACAAAATAGACATTTATATTTCAGTAGGGAATGACTTATTTAAGAAATGGTACTAACATAATTAGCCAGCCATAAGGAAGATTAATATAAAAGAATGTTAATTCATGCTATTCAAAAATATATTCCAAATAGAATGAAGTTTGCAATGTCAAAAGTAACAATTAACTCACTGTAAGACAAAATGAGAAAACAGTTGTATGATCTTCGAGTAGCAAAAATCTTCCTAATTATTAACTAAAAAAACCCAAAACCTCAGAAGTCATAGTGAAAAAGATAATATATTTGATTACATGAAAATAAAAAATTTCTTAATGTCAAAATCTCCATCAATAAAATAGAAAATAATTATAAATTGGGCAACAAATTTGTAGCATACACCTTTTTTTAGTATCCCTAGTTTCCAAAACACTTACAAAATTTTAAGAATGACACAAAACCCCAGTGTAAAAGTGGTCAAAGAATATAAACAGGTCAAAAGTAAACACCAAATGACCGAGAAACATGAAAATATAATATGTTCAATATCGCTAGTCAGGGAAATGCAAATTAAATCCACAATAAGATGCCATTTTTCACCCACCAGTTTGGGATAAATTAAAAGAGGGATAATATTCAGTGCTCGTGAGAATGTGGGGAAACAATTCTTCCATACATTGCTAATAAAAATAAAATTGTGGAATCCTTTGGGAAGGTAATTTGGCATTGCCTGCTTAGAATAAGATAAACTGTAACTTGCAGATATTCCTTTTGGAAATCAGTTGTACTGAGAAAAATTTCCAGGATATAAAGATATGTATATGAAGATGTTTATTGAAGCTTGTTTGTAGTGGCAAAGAAGTATGAACAGTTTGAACCCAACAGCAGGAGAATGATTGACTAAATAGCATTGCATTGACTCTATGAAATGCCGCAGTTATTAAAACGAATACTTTAGTGCTGTATTGATTCACCCAAAGTGATGTCCATATGTTAAAGGCAAATTAAGAGTGATGACAAAAGAGATCATCAGTGAATATCCCTCTGTTTATTTTTTTGTTTTTTTTTTTTTAGACGGAGTCTCGCTCCGTCGCCCAAGGCTGGAGTGCAGCGGCGGGATCTCAGCTCACTGCAAGCTCCGCCTCCCGGTTTCACGCCATTCTCCGGCCTCAGCCTCCCAAGTAGTTGGGACTACAGGCGCCCGCCACCACGCCCGGCTAATTTTTTTTTTTTTTTTTTTTTTTTTTTTGTATTTTTAGTAGAGACAGGGTTTCACCGTGGTCTCGATCTCCTGACCTCGTGATCCGCCTGCCTCGGCCTCCCAAAGTGCTGGGATTCCTTCTGTGTATTAATATGGGCAAGGACACTGATTACAACCAAGGGGTAGGAAAGGAGGAGAGGAGGGGAGGGGAGGTAAGAGGTTATTAACTTTTTAAAATCATGTTGGATTTTTTTACTTGTATAATCAACATAGATTATCTTTGTGATTAAAAATCAACAATGAAAAAATTAATTTTTTTCTAGATAAATTCTCCTGCATCCCACCCTGAAAAGCTCTTATTCAAAATCAGATTGACTTTCAATACTGAAAGAAACATGGTATGCTATGGAATCAGACTAGGTGAATGCACTTCCAAGTAAATTGCAGCGTATTTCATTCTTTCCTTTTTGTTTTTTTTTTGGTCTTATATGTGTGGTGTGGGACTTTTATATTTTCATATTTTTGTTTATTGACTCACTGTAAAAACTAACTTTGTTCAAAGCAATGCATACATGAAGGTATGGCTTGATGCTATAGTTACGTTGCTAAAATACATATAATAACTACAAAGTTACTGAAGTAAAAGGAACTATTTGACTTCCTACAGTTATCTAGCATACCACACTTTGAAGAAATTGGACCATTGATTAAATAAACTAAACATTAATCTTTGATCCCAAATTGTCAGGAAGCCAGGAGATCAAAAGAACATCCCTGAGGAAGGTGTTAGGCTCAGCCTGGTTCCCATCCCCTTTACCCCTTTGTTCCTCAAGCTAGGGTCACTTTGTCACTTTCTGCATCCGAATCCTGACCCAGTTTGCAAACTAGTCTTGACCTGGTGTGGCTTATTATTATTTGGGGGCTCAGCGTTTACACCTACATGAAGTTGGGCTGGCAATGAGGCTTCAGTTTACTAACCAGATGTGTATGAAACACACAAACACAAAGGGGAAGTATTTAGGAAAAAAATACACCTAGGTTTGTATTACCATTTCAGCTCCATCATTTATTCCTTGTGTGTCCTCAGCCAATAATGGCTAATTATTGTAAACACTATTTACAGTTATGTGCTATGTACTAAGTGTTTAACATACAGTATCTCATTTAAACCTTGTGTAATCCTCTGAAGAAGATCCTCTTATTTTCCCCATTTTAACGGATGATGAAACTCACAGAAGTGCCTATGGTTATATAGCTAGTAAAAGTGGTAGAGTCCACTGCACTTGAATTCAGACTGGGCAATGCTTTAACATCAGGAATCCAGCCGCTACATGACTTAATATTTCTCAATGTTGTTTCCTTATCTGTAAATTGGAGATATTAATGCTCACTTCATAAGATTGTTCTGATGATAACATTCACTAACGAGAGAAGTGCTTCCACACAGTTGACACACAGTAATTATGAGTCCCTTCCCTGGTTCCTAAGAAGTAACTTTTTTTTTTGAAAAACAAAACAAAAACAACAGGGTCTCACTCTGTTGCCCAGGCTTCAGTACAGTGGTGTGATCTTGGCTCAATGCAACCTCGACCTTCTGGGGCTCAAGCCATCCTCCCACCTCAGCCTCCTGAGTAGCTAGGAGTATAAACATGCACCACCATGCCCTGCTAATTTTGTTTATTTTCTGTAGAGATGAGGTCTCACTATGTTGTACAGGCTGGTCTCAAACTCCTGGACTCAAGTGATCCTCCTGCCTTGGCCTCCCAAAATGCTGGGATTACAGGTAGAAGACACCATGCCTGGCCCTGAGAGGTAATTTTACTGGTAGACTTATGCCTTGGTTTCTGTTTCTAAGCCACTGTTCTAATATCTCAGACACCCAACTTTCCCTGTAAATTGGCCTCCTTTCAGCCCCTGCAGGTGACCCCTGCCACCTCATAGGGCCCTTAATCTGTGAGTGTCAGCCTTGTCCTTTTCCTCCCTTTCCTCCTCCACCCCCTTTCCCAGAAGGGTCCTATGCTTTACACGAAGGGTGGGAACACGTGGCACTCATGCAAGGTGCCCAGTACTGAAGGAGTGTTTTAAAATACTCACGTTTCCTTTCACCCTATAAAAGCAGCCATGGTGTCTGAACTGGTCAGTTCCTCAGGCCCTGTGGACCTGCCTGGCTCCACCAGTCCCTGTCTGTGTGCCTACCTGCTTTTGAGGCCGGATAATAACCATCTGATATTCAGGCCAGGAATCCACCAGCACCTCCATGTTGAAGGGGTTCCCGTGATTGATGTGATACACAGAGCCATACACCTGAAGGAGGGATGAAAGGGACCAGGAGAGGTTGAGATCCCCAGAGATGAGGATCTGGTTGTGAAGAGGAAGAGAAAAATGGAGATTAAGAGAAGGTACTGAGACCAAGTCAGTGATGGTGAGATGAGCAGTATGGTCCTGGAGAGGACCATACTGATGGACGTGAAGTTACCAGCAAGCAGGCAGAACTCACAGGTAGGACTGTCCTTGTGATACCAAAGAGCTACTGTGTACTAGCTGGGCACTTGGCAATGCTCTTAGCATTTATATTGTATAGATTTATTCAGTGTCCATAGCAACTTTAAGCGGTAGGTGCTAACGTTATTCCCATCTCATTGATGGAAAAACCAAACGTAAAGTCAGAGAAAGGGAAAGAAACATCCACAAAGCCATCTGACTAGAAAATGGCAGCCTTGGAATGCATATCCATTCAGACAGGCTCCAAACCATGTTCGTAGCCACCATGCTCCACTGCCTCTCCAAATGAGTGGCAAAACCTGCAGAGTGGACCTAGCTGCCTCTTCCCAAAGAGAAGCAGCAGCTCTTGATATGCAGCCTGTGCCCCCAGTCCCATCCTGTTTCCCAGCTCCAACCCTCTGCAAACAGTCAGGAAGGACTAGAATCACAAGCCTGCTATTTTCTCATCCTCAACACCCCTACTCCCATACCCTGACCTCCCACTGTTCCCTGACCTTCAGGGACTCAGGGATGCTCCTGGCCAAGGATTTGTATAGGGCCAGCAGCTTATGGGAGTTATTCAGTAGGATCATTCTGTGGGATGCTTCAGACCTTGAGACCTTGAAGAAGAAACTCTGAAAAGATAAGAAATGAAGGGAAAATGTTAAGGAAACAAATGAATTTAAAATGCACTTTATACATCTCCATTCAAGTAACACTCGTGATGTAGGTACTGTTAGTATCATATTCATTCTGAATACACCAAATCTCAGAGGGACTAAGTAAATTTCTCAAGTTCTTAGAGATAAATGCCAGAGTCAGATTTTGAAACCATATATGACTGTCTCCAAAACCCATGCCCTTCCTCCCTTGTGGAAAGAATTAAAAGTGAATATTAAGAGTTCTGTGAGCTTCCCAAATGCCTGTAACAGAACACTCCACCACTACCATCATAAGTTTTTTCCTGTATTTTGGTCATTATATGCCTGAGAATTCTTCTTTCATCTGCAATAGAAAATATCAGCCCTCTAAGAACAGGTATGACTAAAAAACTTGGAGCAGGAGTAGGCATAGATTTTCTTTAGTTTCTCAGGGCCAAATATTTCAAACCTACGGCCATTTTGGAACTTATCCCAGTTTCATTACAAAAATTAAAAACAGATAGAAAAATTTTAACACATATCTGTAAACTTTTGTTGAAATATCATTCAGAATTCTTAGAAATGTGCCAATAATTTAACAATAACTTGGAGAAGGTGATCATCACAACTGATAGGTTCAAAGCTTAGGCTGATTTCAAATTTTAGTTCCATCTCATACTTCTTTGTTAAGTTGCTTAACCAATCAGAACCTCAAAGTGTTTTCTCACAACTTTGGAACTGGAAATTAGAATGCATGTTTTCCAAAGGATTGAGATTACACAATGTAATATGTATAAAATGCATAGCATTATGCCTGGAATAAAGTAAGAACAAGTTTTAATATATGTTAGTTTTTTTAATTGACTTCATATTAATCAACATGTCATATAGAGATTTAGCAATTATATTCAATGATGTAAAAATAATTAAAAATGTGAAGAACTTACAACAAAATTAATGTAAGAGAAGGAACCCACGAATCAGATATTTGAAACAATCATTTGCAAATCAGTTAACACAGATTTTTGAAATTTTTTATCCATGAAGTTAAAATAGTTAACAAATATGTGTTAAGTAATAGGCAAGGTGAAACATATTTTATCTTGTCTGGGGTCAAAGGCCTCAAAGTTAAACTATGTTCTGTAGCTAGATGAAGCAATGTTTAAACAAAGGCATCCTTTTGCAAGATCTCATAATTTCAGAATGTTTGAATACCCAAGGAACTTTTAGTAAATAAAACTGGATCTCTGACATGAGCCTATCCCCTGTCTGACTCTGCTGTTCTTGTAGCTGTCAAAAAAAAAATGGTCTTTTTCTTCCCCCCATCTCCAAGTGCTTTCTTTGCTCTGTTTCTCACCTGATTTAACTAAAATTGCCCATACCCATGTGTTTCACTATTGTCTTCTCCTTTGAGCTTTTGGTCAAGATTTTAAAAGTTTTAATTCAAGATCTACCATGCTATATCACTCCCCGCAAAAAAACTTGTGTTCCATTTGCCCTGGGAACATTATATCCTGGGCTGATACATGAGAACAATCCCCACACCTATCAGCTGCCAATCTTTGTCCAAAATACCCCTCCTGTGCATTCCCTACTCCATCCCCTTGCAATGACCTTTGTTGAGGGCCTCTCCTCATACTTAATATTGCTCTTGTGACCCCACCCTGGCCTCAGCTTCTAACATCTACCCAAATAAAAGTGTTCTCTACCTGTATTCCTACCATCAACATTTCTTTTCTAAATCAGGAAGCTGCTAAAAACCTGGGGAGACCCCTCCCCACCTTCTTTAAAAAAATCGTTGTAAAGGACACATAACACAAAACTAACCGTTTAACCATTTTTAAGCGTACAATGCAGCGGTATTGTATACATTCATGGTGCTTATCCATTTCCAGAGCCTTTTTGTCATCCTAAATGGCAACTATACCCATGAAATCACAATTACTCATTCCCTCTCTCCCTAGCCCCTGGCTAGGGGTATATATATATATACCCCTATATATAATATATATATTTTATATATGTATATAAAATAACTTTTACTTTATTTCTCTAGGAATTTGCCTATTCTGGGTACTTCATATATCATGGAATCCGATGATATTGGTCCATTTGGGTCTGGCTTATTTCACTTAGCATAATGTTTTCAAGGTTCACATCTGTTGTATTATGTATCAGAATTTCATTCCTTAACTAAAATAATTTTTCATAATATATGGAAAATAAGTTTAATGTCCACTAAAGAGAAATTATAAATTTGTGAATGACAGTCTGTAAATATGAGTAGCACACAGTCAGTGGTCACTGTGAAGACTACAGAAAAGCAATTATAATGAATAATGGGTAAAAATATCAAAATATATAACTTTTACATATGTACCCAAATTATGTTTGCATGTGGACAAGGACTTGAAGGGAATAAATAAACATGAAAATTGTTTTTGGGTGGTGAAAGTATGTGTGATTTATTTCTTATTTGAGAATTTTAGTTTGTACCATTGAGATGTTTTTATTTTTATGCAAGATTGAAAAAAACATGGAAGGCAATGGAACCATAGTTAAATATGAGAATTATGAAAACAGAATAAATGCTATATATTTTTTTCTTTTTTCCCCACAGTCCCATCAGCTATCAAGTTTCTTTATTTGTAGGGAGAAGGAAAAAGCTCCCCATTCACCACAATTCTGTACATGCCTCATCCTGTCACCCACAGCAGTCAACAAAGAGTGCAAGGCAGATTATTCCAAAAAGAATAGCAGTTGACATCCAATAGTGCCAAAACTGTTTTTAGTCAAAGAGACTTTACTGAGAGCCCTCATTTATAAATGTACTTGGCATTGTTGTTTAAATGCATTGGCATTGTTGTTCATTTGGAATGTTCCACTCTAAGTATCTTTAGTAATGTTTTGCCATTTCTGTAAGACTTGGTATACAGTCCTAATGTATAAGCCAGAAGGAACTCAGTTTTACAGAAATTAAGGATCCCATTTTTATCTAAAATATTGTCTTTATTCTTAGGTTCTCTTGATGAACTTAGCCAGTGATTTTTTTCCTACCTAGGCGCACAAAAAAAAAAAAGAAAAGAAAAGAAACAAAGGGGTAGAACACAAAAATCCCTGTGAATTTTCAAAAGCCAAATTTTATAACTCCTGCAACATTACTGCTTACTACCAGTTCCTTTCTGACCCAGTGAGATGTAAGAGGCCTCTAACTGGATCCAGGCCAGTTAATTCCAAGATCAAATCTGTTCCTAGACCCAGTCTGTTTCCTGTTGTGACTCCAAACCCAGTTTGGATCAGAAATTTGCTCCAAGCAACTCAGAGAGCTCAAAACACCAACGTGTGAAGCTCCAAAATGCGAGAGGGAGCTTACCTATTATCCTCAGCCACTCTGAGAGATCAATGGACACAATTGGATCCTGCAGGTACCTTCCGTGTTCACTTCGCGCTCCTGGGGATACTAGAAGCTCCACTTCAGATCCTTCTTGTGACACCATCTGATAAAAGAAAAACTTCAGCTGAATTAAACTTAAAGGAGTTTCATTAAGCAACAAACAATTTGTGAATCCGGCAGCCTACAAAATCACAGCAGATTCACCGAGGCTCCGGGGGTGCCTCGTGGTCAAAATGAATTTATAGACAAAAAAGGTAAAGTGATGTACAGGAACCAGAAATCAGGTACAGAAACAAAGAGATTGGTTACAACTGGGCGCTTGCCTTATTTGAACACAGTTTGAACATTCAGCAGTCTATGAGTAGTTGAAGTATGGCTGCTGGGATTGGCCAACACTGGAGTATTGTTACAGGTGCACACTACTAAATTAGGTTTTCAATTTTGTCTGATGATTAAGCTACGTTACAGTTTACCCACAAGGACTCAAATGAAGAAGTACAGAGTCCTTCTCAGGCTGTAATTAGTTTGTTTCAACAGTTTGTAGCAAAATTTATTGAAAGGATTGTCTATACATGCTATCTCCAATCCCCCTCCTAACCTCATCTAATTGGGTTTTTGCTGCTACCATTCTACTGAAACACTTTTTAAAACCATCAGGGATCTCTGTGTTATTAAATCCAGTGGTCAATTATTGCTTCTCATCTTAATAGATCATCCTTTAATGGACTTGGTTTCCAAGACAACACACTCTCTTGTTTTTTCTTTAACTTTACTGACTACTTTTTCTCAGTCTCCTCTGTGGACCCTTCTTTCCTCCCCAGTTTCTTAATTTTGGATCACTTCAGAGTTCCCGGTGATCCCATCTGGTCCCATAGCTTTAAAATCAATCTACCTGCCAATGACTAATACATTTAAATTACTACTCAAATTTTTTCCAAACTCAAGGCATATGTATCTAACGGCCTGTTTGACATCTCTTGGATTCCTTCCAATAGCCATCTCAAACTCATTATGTCTCAAATCAATCTTCTTATCCACCCTCTCCACCCAGCCTACTTCACCTGTAGTCTTTCTCAACTTAGTTGATGGCAACTCCATTTCTTCACCTGTTCAAAGAAAAATTCTTGGAGTTATTCTTAAGTATCTTTTCCCCTCCCACTTTACATCCAATCCATTATGACATCCTGCTAATTCTGGCTGGGAGAAAATTCTTCATGGCCTCTCACATTTCTGTATGTCTTATGAGCAGAGACATTGACAGCCTTTTCTCCTGACTATCTTTTCAAGGATGTTTCTAAAGAGGACAGCTTGGAAGCTAGAGATATTGCTTTCTTCTGAAGCAGAGGGTAGGTCTGCTTACTGATCAGTATAAGAAAGATAATGTCCCCCTCTGGAGCAAAGTTCAGACAGGTTTGCTTGCAGTTCATTATAAAACATCCAGGTGACCTAAATTCAGGGTTCCTTGGCTTCAACACACATCTGTTGCACTTGCAACATTAATCTGCCTTTCTGTATTTCCTCTGTAGGACTTGTGGAGCAAGGATGACTGACACAAACACAAAAATCATTCTCCCTGTTGAATGAGTCATAAAACTCTGTCTTTGACCCAGAAAGCTTGTGTTATCTGTCAGCATTCATGAAACATTGCCCCAAGTAGGGTAAACTTTTATATGCTTCACAGTTCTTAGCAGTCTTTTCTGGATGGAGAATGCCTTTAGTCTTCCGTCAATAACAAATGAGGATGCTCCTTTTAAAACAAAAGCCAGATTTTGTCATGTCTTTGTGCAACTCCTGCAGCAACTCCCAATCTCATTTAGAGAAAGAGGTACAAATTGTTTATAACAGTTCTCTAAGTTAGACTCCAGTCACCTCCCTGACATCTGTCCAGTCAGGTCCTAGACCTCACTCTCTTTGGCCTCTCTGCTTCAGGCACTTGGCTGTTCTTTTTCTTCTGCCTGCATTCTGTTTTCTTATTAGACCTATAAAAACTCTATTACCTTCTTTAAGTCTTCACCTAAAAGCCACCTGCTCAATAAGGCCTCCTTTGGCCATCCTATTAAAAATTACTACTCCTCCCCTTTGGGTATATACCCAGTAATGGGATGGCTATAAATCATGCTGCTATAAAGACACATGCACACGTATGTTTATTGCGGCACTATTCACAATAGCAAAGACTTGGAACCAACCCAAATGTCCAGAAATGATAGACTGGATTAAGAAAATGTGGCACATATATACACCATGGAATACTATGCAGCCATAAAAAATGACGAGTTCATGTCCTTTGTAGGGACATGGATGAAACTAGAAATCATCATTCTCAGTAAACTATCACAAGGACAAAAAACCAAACACCGCATGTTCTCACTCATAGATGGGAATTGAACAATGAGAACACGTGGACACAGGAAGGGGAACATCACACTCTGGGGACTGTTGTGGGGTGGGGGGAGGGGGGAGGGATAGCATTAGGAGATATACCTAATGCTAAATGACGAGTTAATGGGTGCAGCACACCAGCATGGCACATGTATACATATGTAACTAACCTGCACATTGTGCACATGTACCCTAAAACTTAAAGTGTAATAATAATAAAAAAAATTACTACTCCTCCCCTAGTCTCCCTGCAATGCTTCTGTGCCCCATTGTCATTCTCTGCCTCTATTTGTCTTTTTGACAGGGTCTCGCTCTTTCACCTAGGTTGGAGTGCAGTGGCTGAATCAAGACTCACTGAAGCCTTGATCATTCAGGCTCAAGCAATCCTCCAATCTCAGTCTCCTGAGTAGCTGGAACTACAAGCATGAATCACTGTGCTTGGCTAATTGTTTAATTTTTATTTTATAGAGATGGGGGAGGGGGTCTCTGTTTCCCAGGCTTATCTCCAACTCCTGGTGACAACTTTATAAACTTCTGTGCCAAACTCTCATACCTCAAAATATCTAGCAGAAACAAATACAAAACCCAGACAAAAATGTATGCTGACAACTATGATGACATTTCTAGTTTTATTTTACAAAATTTTAATGCTAGCTTGCTAAAGATTTACTTAAGTAGCATGAACATGAAAAATACTTTGGACTTGTTTACTTAATCTATGAGCACTCTTTTATTTATAATCCAATTGGGTAGTCACAACATTTAACGTAATACATATGCCTACACATTAACACATCTAGACATACATACACCCAAAGACACATCTAGACATACATACACCCAAAGATCCAATAGCTTTTACCTTGGAACTCTAGCTATTGAAATAGAAACTCATCAGTCTGCAAACATGTTCACATGGCTGAACTTTGTTAGCCTTGATAGGTAATCCAGTGAAGGCTGTGAACCAAAATTTTCAGTAAAACAGTTTCCGTGGCAGTTTAATTTTTAAAGTCCAAAGTTCTCCAGACTCCAAAGAACACTGGGGTCAAACAGCACCACAGGAGAATATCACATACTAACTTGGCCCAACAGCAGCAGCACAAAAGCCTGGATACATGGAACTCCAACCCACTTTCCCATTCAAGGGCAAATACCAGATTCCAAACTATACTGGGGTCAAACAGTGTTACAAAAGAGTGTCAGTTTATTAAATTCTGATTTCTGATGACTATATCAGACACTTGCAAACAATCACTAAAACAATCCAACTGTTGCAGCATCAAACAAGCCCCAAAAGTCTACAAACTGAAACAGTTGGGGTGATTCCTCTCTCCATTGGTTGGGCTCAATCAACCTGCAAATCAAAATTCCTTCAGAATTTCTCAAATGGAGAGGAGCTGATCCCACTATCTAGTACCCACAAAAGACACTCACTTGCCTGGACACACACACAATGACAAACAAGCCCCCAAGAATGTCCATACTGAAACAGTCAGGGTATTTTCCTCTCTTCGTCAGTTGGGCTTATTCAACCCGCAAGTGGAAATTCCTTTAAAAATTTCCCAAACTGAGAGGAGCAGATCTTTCTGTCTGGGCCCACAAAGGACAGTCACCTATCTGGATGCCGATGTGAAATTCCAAAGGCAGTTCTTCCAAGGCAATCAGGACCATGGTTGGGGCCAGCTGTGGTGGCCCCAGAGGGTACTTATCTCTCCAGCCAAAATTGGGTAAGCAGCTGCTTAGTAGTTCTGTGAGACTCCTGGCCCATGGCAACTGAGCCAAAGTGTTCCTGGTCGGGAAACCAAAAGCTGTTACTGAAACACCAGGGGTGTGGTCTAGGTCCTGCAGCTCACCACACAGAAAGCCAATCAATATAACCAATTGCCAAGGAAGAAGGCTGAGTTGGATGCTGTAGCAGAGGAGATGCAAGCTCGGTCTCAAATCCGTCTTGCTGATCAACTAAAATTATGAGTTTTCATAGCAGTGAAGAAATGTAACAATGTGTAGAAAAACAGGAACTCAGGCGACCTAAGGAAGCAATCATAATTTATGAGGGGTCTGGTGTCCCATTGTCTGGATGGGATCATCTGGTGAGTTTCAATTCTTTGATACTTTTTGAGGGACGTAGGGGTCCTTTACTAAGGATGAAATTCATATAAAACAAATAAAAGTTTCAAGCATTAAGATCAGAAGGGTCAATTTCTATGTTTATACAAAAAAAATTCTCTATGGGACTACAGGGGAGGTTTCAATTCCACTGCCAGTGCTAGCTCCAGTCGGCCTCAAGTCTGCCTATGATTCTGGCAAACTGAATCAGGACCTTGGCCAGGAGAATAGCTTCCTCTCCCATCTCTGGGCTCCTCACCTATCTGTAGGGCTGCTGAGCTTGCCAGTTTCTTATAACACTTCAGTTCCAGAGCAGACTCCTTTGCATCAGCCTTTCAGACCAGCTCTGGAGTCTCTCTAGAACTCAGCACGTGCATATGGGGTGCAGAGGGATACGGCTGGAACTAGACCCCTGTGCTTTCCTCTCAGAAACACATGCTATCTGACAGAGTGGTTACTCTCTAGGACTCCAGCAGGGGATTCTCCAAGTCCACTTCTCTGATGTATCTACTCTGTGGATCAAAACTCAAAGGTTTAGCCTTATGTGTCACAACCTCAGGGCTCTCCGGGCCTAGCTTAGTTCTGATATCAGTCCCATTGTACTCAGTATTAGTCATAAGTGACTTCATGAAACACTCGTGGCAGCTTGGATTCTGACATGAACATGGGATCTCTGAATGGAAGCAATGAATTCTGGTTTCACAGGTGCTGAGGTTATGCTCATCTGCTTTGGGCTTTTCAGGCTGTGTGAGAGATCTCTGATTCTAGGTCTCTCCAGCTGGCTACCCCTGAATGTTCTTCCATCTTTGGGACTTTGCAGGTCCATCATGGGGTCATGGTGGAAGAGACAACTAGGATACCATTTAGGCATGGCCCCACTTTCAAAAAAGTTCCCAAATTTGAGATTCTAGTGTTATCACCCAATGGTACAGAAACACAGACAGAATGGAGAACACATGCACCATAAATTACACACTGCCAAGAGTCCACTCTGAATTAATGCTTTATAATTCCTGCACTGATCTTGTAAGTAGAACAATAATATTGCATGGCATTTTTGAGGTTGTAAGCATACATTTATACACATTTAAAGCTATTATATTATCAATGTTTAGCCTACCTTTACGTGTTGGTGTACTTCATACTACAAAGAGTGGCAATGATTTGGCCACCTTTGAACCCCTGTGAGGCCCTGAAACTCTTGCTCATGGCAGGGAATGGGAATAGTATGGCTGAGTGTCTGTGGGAGGTTGATGGAGCCCCACCCTCTGTGTACTCTCACAATGTGTCAAGGGTCTCTGGGATGCTTCTTTCATATCAATGTCCTTCTTTAACCCTTAGCAATGTGAAACTGGGATGCAGCAGCCATCGTTGGAAGACATCTGATAGCTGTTGGCACCTATTCATAAAATCTGAAAACTTCCTAGGGAATCTGAGGAGAGTTGCCTTTGCAAGATCATTTGGAAAACTTTGGAGACTTTGCCTCCTAGGGATAATAAAATTAATAAGATTATGGATATTAATCATGTTTGTTTCAGGCACGGACCGAACAGTCAAAGAATCACTCTATCTCAATCTAAGTCATAATAAATTCAAAGTTACTTTGAGGCAGTGACTAGATGCTTGTACATCTCTTCTGTGTACTAGTACTTTTCTGATTTCTGTTCACCAGGGACCTCACCATGAGACTCTCATGCTCTCAAATCTTGGGGAATTTTTTTCTCTCCAGAAGTCTTTCTAGGGAAGAAGGTTTCTTTACTGGCTTCTGAGATGACAGGAGGACACTGGGACCTGTGGTTCCCCAGCAATGCTTGCTCTATCTCAGAATTCCTAATGAAGTTCCTCCTGAAGGTCCAAAGGAGCATCCTAACTCTTAATTCAGGAGCTTTGGTGATTGAGCAGATTCTTCATATCTGGACACTCAGGGAGGGGTTGTTAATGCAGTCAGAGGACCTTGCACTGCTGGTGGCTTTAGATGTGGCTGCACCTCTCTGTAGCAAAAGAAAGCTGTTTTAACTGACTGGTGGCTGGTGGCAAGACACAGAAGAGCCAAGTAAACACAGGTTCTTTATGGTAGAAAAGACTGACAGCACCAACTTAAATAAATATCAGAAAAGGATGAGGGTTTCTGGAGTTTGATATAAACAACAATCTGCCTCTGTAGAAAAACTTGACATGAAAGTGGATTCTTGAAGCTTTTAGAGAGGAAGAAGGGGGATGTTTAGGGACTTCATGGAGAGAACAAGTCATGCTAAACTGTTCTGGGTTGGTGATGAGGTTTCAGTGCCTCCGGAGAAATCAGCAAGTGGTATTTGGTTTTAGCTAGATCAGGGAACTGAGAAGGTGTCGGATCCACAGGACATGCTTTCTTGGCTTTGGCATCCTAGAACATTTTAAAGCTCTCTGATGTCTTCTAGTCCTCTAAGAGTCTAAGGAAGAGAAAAACAAAACTTTGGCTATACTACAAATCAATAGGGGACTCTTTGTTGCTCCTTAATATTTTCTTTCTGATTCTTTCGTCTCCTGTTCCCCATTTTTCTACCCCAAATTCAGCTTTCATTATTTGCTTAGTCCCTGCTAATGCATTCTCTAAAGCCATGTCCCAAAACTGTGGTTAAGAAAGACACCTGCCTTCTTCCTTCATCCTTTGTGACCAAAAAGCTGATCTGAGCACCTGCCTAACTTCCTGAAAGGGAGGAAAATCAGATAGGAGGTTTAGTAGAGATTGTCTAGTTTCAAGAAACTAAGTCCTGGGAAGTGGACACATGATTGCATGTGCAAAACCAAGACCAGAACCCAGATGCTCAGAATCCCAAGCCATTGTTCTTTGTATTGTAAGATGCTGGTTTCCACTTTGTGATGAATTTTGCACATTGTGACTCCAGATATCTCATCATGAATCTCTTCCTCTTGAGACTTTAGTTGAATTAGTTTACACAAATATTTGATCTGGAAACTTTCTCTCACTCTAGCCTGGTACTGGCTTGAATATGTTGAACAATAAGTCCTATTATGTTATGAAAAAATTTGATTGATTCATCCTCAAATCCTGCATTTTTGTCTTTTCTAGCCTAACATATTATTTCTCTTATTATACTTATCATCAGAAAATCTGGAAGTTCAGTAACCACCAGAAACCTGAAATAGAAGTCATACTTCATGGAGAAAGAGGCCAAAAGTATTTTTCCTCTATGGTGTTTATTTATTTTTTTGTAGAACTACTTTATGGAGGTATAATTGACATACAAAAAGCTGTATGTGTTTAATATATAAACCTTGATGAATATAGAGGTGAATACATACATACTCATGAAACTATCACAACAACAAAAGCCATAAACATATTCATCACCTCCTAAAGTTTTGACAGCTCTATTTATTATTATTATTGTGTGTATATATGTGTGTGTTTGATAAGATCATTTAACATAAGATCTGCAATCTTTCTTTCCAAATTAGCAGGAGACCTGTCTCTGATGCTGCTGAGCCACTTTGACAATCGTTATATAGAAATCTGATTGGATGCCGTGAAACTGGACATCAGCAAAATGTCAGAATGGGACTTTCTAGCATTTATCCTCACACAGAAACATCAATTTAAACAACTATCTATGCATGAAAATACCTTCAGAAGAGCTAAGAAAACCAGGTGAAAGGTTACAGAAATGTTGTGTAGCAGAGAAATAAGAAAAGATTAATTGAAGAGCATAGGAAGAACAATTTTTCATTTCCTGTGTCACCCCTCCCACAACACCAGGCAGCAGGGCACAGAGAGAGGCAATCTCTGTGTCGAAGAAGAAAAGTGAAGTGAGCACTGAACTTTGCCTTGGACTCCAACGCAGAGCCTGCTTCAGTAAAATCCAGTAATGGGTATGCGACTATTGCCCGAAACTCCAGGCTAGTACCTGCACACTAAGCCAGACCAGATCACACAGCCCAGGCTCCAGGCTTGCCTGGTGGACTTGGTTTCTGGGTATATCCTCATGCCAGGTCTACCCCAGTGCCTTGGATGTCAGACAGTCTTTGGGACCAGGCCAGCCCCAGTGACTCCAGGCTCCAGACTGCTCCCAGAACAAGGCCGGCCTCGACAACTCCAGGTTTCAAGCCAGCCCCAGGACCAGGCTAGCTCCTGCAACTCTAGTCACCATGCCAGTGTCCATATATCCAACCCCTAATCTGGCCCCTGTGGATACAGGCTCGAGGACTGCCTAGCACAAGGCTAGCCCCTGTGGTCGCAGACTCCAAGTCCACCCTAGGTTCCAGACCGGCCCAGAACTAGATTGGCTCACACCAATCCAGGATTCAGGCCCACCCCATTTCCAGGTTGGCAGCCCTAGCCCTAGGCCTTAGTCAGGTATCTGGCAAGCATCTGCAGACCCAGGCTCCAGGCCTCCCGAGGCCTAAGCCAGTTTCTGCCACCCCACTCTCCAGGCCAGTTCCTATGGTCCCATCCTCTAGCAGACCCAGGGTCCAGGCCCATCACAGTTGACTCCAGTATTGGGCAGGTGCCTACAGACCCAGTATCTAGTACTGCCTCTGTGGACTTAGGTTCCAGTCCAGTTCCTACAGCCCTAGGACCCAAGCCACCCTTTGTGGCCCTAGTGTCCATGCCCACTTCTGAATATGTTGGTTCTAGGACAGATCTCACACAACCAGCCTCCAGGCCATTCCACAATTCTTGGCCCACCCCTGTGGCTACAAGCACCAGTCTAGCACCTATGGTCTCAAACTTTAGACTGGCCCCATCTCACCACAGCCCTAGGCCAGCATCAGACTCCAGGCTGGTTTTTGTAACCCAGCATCCAACAAACTCAGGGCCCAGCTGTGCTCTAGCAGACCCAGGGTACAGGCCGACTTCATTAGACCCTGTTGCTAGGCTGGCCATCATGGACAAAGTCTCTAGGACCATCTCTGAAGACTCAGGCTCCAGGTCTGCCCCCGTCTACCAAGATCCCAGGCCCATTTCTCCAGATTCCGGCTCCAGTCCTGCACCAGTACCAGGCCAGTCCCCATGGACTCAGATGCCAGGCTTATCCCAGCAGACTCAGACACTATGCTCATTCCAAAATCTGGCCAGCCCCTGCAGACACAGGCTCAATGCACGCCTCAGAGCCATGTTAGCCCCTGTGGACCCATGCTCAGTCCAGCACCTACTGTTAACAGGCTCTGTACCTGCCCTTATAGAAATTGGCTTTACGTTCATCCCCACATACCCAATGAAAAGATCCACCCCAGTTGATCCAGGCTTCAGGCCCAACTCTACAGACCCAGGAAACAGGCCTACCATCTGCTAACACAGGCACCAGGCCAGCCTGCCTGAGGACTTTGGCAACAAGTTCACCTGCAGACCACACTAGACACCCTACAAAGAGTTGCTGGATGACTAGGAAAGGGTTTTTCCAGATAAAGCCGGTATGCAAGAACTAGAATAAGTTTCTTGTTTTTCAAATGTGCAGACACTAATGCACTGCCTAAAAATCAAGATCAAGAACAATCAGAGAAAAATGATACCACCAAAGGAAAAAAAAAATAACCAATAGCTGAACCTAAAAAAATAATAGTTTATGAACTGTCTCATAATGAATTTAAAATAATTGTCATTGAATAGCTTGGTGAGCTATAAGACAACCCAGATAGATGACTAAAAATAATCAGAAAAATAATACATATTCATAACTCAGAAGGAAATCATTGTGAAGCCTGAAGTATTGGATCTAATCTATATAAATAGAGGAATAAGCCTGGAGGGAGTAAAATCAGGAGGGACAGCTGGGCTTGGATCATTTAGTAGGTAGGTACAATGGAATGAGCTGAGATTATAGGAATAGTGATTTCCTTTTTATCTTGATGCTCTCCCGTCACCTCATGTTTTCAAATATTTATTGCTCAAATCTATCTCCGCAGCACTGACCTCTCATCTAACCTCCAGATATTAATATTTTGTTGCCTCTTTGACATCTACTCTTGGATATGTCAGAGGCATTTCACTCTTAACCCCTTCAAAACCAGAGTCATAAAATTTAATTGTGCCCCTCTTCCTGTGTTTCTGAATCTGACAATGGTGTCATTATCCATTTGACTACCCAAGCTAGTATCCTGTGAATACTTCTCAGGTTCTTCCTTTACCTCTTATACACTGTGTTTTTAAAAAACTATGAAACATATTCTACATTCAAAAGCAATTTATGACAGCCAATATTTCATATAATAAACATCCATGTATCTCTTTCCCAACTTAAAAAATAGCACACTACAAATCATTAGAGGCATACAGTGTGTCCCTCCTTCATCTTATCTCCCTTTCTCATTCTCAAGGACAACCACTAAGTCTAAATTTGTTTTAAAATTAGTAGTGTCTTACACTTATTTAGAGACATATATATGTAGTAAAGGTATAAATAGTAAACTTTTGTTTTGCTTGGTTTGATTTTATATAAACACATCCAGCTGAATTTGTTCTTCTGTGATTTGCACTACTTTTTTGAGGTTCATTGTAGTTGATGAAATTCTCTATCCACTTTTACAGTTAGAGAGAATTCACTGAAGAATCAACTGCTTATGCACATTCAGGGGTTTTCTGCTAAAAGCAGTGGCAAGTTTTTCTATGAATATCTTTGAATATGTTTCCTGGTGCACATATGCAGGGGTGTCTCTCAAGTGTAGATGTAAAAGTGGAAATGCTCAACTTCAGAAATAGATTTGAGCAATAAATATTTGAAAACATGAGGCAATAGTAGAACAAGAAGAAGAAAATGCATAATCTCCCTTATTATAATAGATATTGCCCTATTATTTTACAAAATGGTTGTACCACCTTGCACCTCAACCAGTGAGAAATGAGAGTTCTCATTATTCTATGTCTTCATCAAAGCTTGAAGCTTGGTATTATCCATATTTTAATGTTTGCCAATTCTGTGGGTGTAATAGGGCATCTTATTGAGGGTTTCAACAGTAGTTTTCTAATTACTAATGGAATTGAACCCTTTTTCCTTTTTCATGCTTCAGGCTCTAAAATGTTTATGTCTTTTTTTTTTTTTTTTTTTTTTTGAGAAGGGGTCTCTTCTGTCCCCTAGGCTGGAGTGCAGTGGTGTGATCTCGGTTCACTGCAACCTCCACATCCCGGGTTCAAGTGATTTTCCCACCTCAGCCTCCCAAGTAGCTAGGACTACAGGTGCATGCCACCACGCCTGGCTAATTTTTGTACTGTTTTACTAGAGATGGGATTTCACCATATTGGACAGTCTGGTCTGGAACACCTGACCTCCTGATTTGCCTGCCTCTGCCTTCCAAAGTGTTTTGCAAATTTTTCTACTGGATTATTTTTCTTTTTAGTATTAATTCTAGAAGTAATTTAATATTGTAGACATAAATTGCTTATTCATCATACGTGTTAAACATGTATTCTGAGTTTCTTCTTGATTTTTTATTCTCAGGTGTCATAAAGAACAGGAGTTGTTCATTTTATTGTTGTCAAGTTTATTAATCTTTTTATGTCATTACAACATCTTTCAAAGGATGTATTCTGTTGTTTTCTAAAAATTGCAAATGTTTGCTTTTACCATTCAAGTATGTAATCTGGAATAATTTTTTGTATATAGCTTGAAGTAGGTATCACTTTCTATTTTTTGCATATAGATAAGAAATTACTCCAGTGATGCTGACTGAATTGTTCATTTTTTCTCCACTGATCTGTACTGCCAGGTTTGCAACATAAGATTGTTATGGGTTGAACTGTGTCCCCTCATAATTCACATGTTATAGTCCTAACCCCTAGTACCTCAAAATGTGACCTTATCGGGATATACATTTCTTCTTGATAAACTTAGTTAAAATGTGATCACACTGCAGTAGGATGGGCCCCTAATCCAATACCCCTGATATCCTTAGAAAAGGGGAAAATTTAGACATAGAGACAGACACAGAGGGAAGATGACGCAAAGACCCATAGGAAAAACATGGCCAACTACAAATCAAGGAGAGAGTCCTGGAACAGATCTTTCCCTCACAGCACCAACAGGTTCCAACTCTGCTGACATCTTGACCTTGGACTTAGAACCTCCAGAACGATGAGATAATGCATTTCAGTTGTGTAGGCCATATAGTCTGTGGTACATTATTACCCCTAATAGTCTGTCTAGTCTGAACTTTTCTAACAAAATACATAATGTAGAGCCCTCATGATCTAATCATTCAACAAAGACCCATCTCTTAATGCCATCACCATGGAGATTAGGATTTAAACATATGAATTGTGGGGGATGCAAAGATTCACACCATAGCACAAACTAATACAAAGATATTTTCTTATAATTCGTGAGTCTGTCTCTACTCTCTCTGTTCTGTTCCAATGGTATATTTTTCTGTATATTCACCAACTACTGTCTTAATTTTGAGATTTCCTACTCATTAGTATACCTTGTCATTGACTTATGTCACATTTTTGTGTCTTCAACAAAATAATTTTCTCCATAAAAGGTTAACAAATCATTTTTACATTTATTTCTAGGTAAATAATATTTTTCTAGGCATTATAAAACAATTTGGGGGGTATTACATTTTCTGATATTGTTGACTAAGCTAAATCCAATGTTTTGTAAATATCATTCTTAAACCTAGCCCGTTTACTACTTTAAACTCATTCTAATATTTTATCTATAAATCTTTTTAGTTTCAAAAATAGGTAATGATATTATCTGTGGATATTTCATGAATATGCTTTGTTCCCTTCTTTTCAATCCTCAAATATTATCTTTTACTAATTTTTCTTATCACACTGCATTGGCTAAAATAAATTTTATTTACCAGCTAAATAAAGGCAGTAATTGTGAGCACTCCTGTATTCTTCCTCATTGTAAAGGAAATACTTATAACGATTCATTATTTCACATTATGTTCCTTGTGAGATTTTGAAGTTGCCCTTAATCTGCCTAAGAAACCTTCTGGTATGTTTATACTTATATATTTGATAGTAATAGGGGCAGCCAAGATAAAGTAAGCCCTTTATAGCACATTATTTCCACTAATTAAAACTAAAGACTTTGGAAAAAAATTTTTTTTTAAAGCAGCATCCTGAGCTTCTACTCTGGCCACCATGGAATAACAGAGAACTAATTTGCACTCCTGCCTGAAAAACCTGGAGAAATAAACAAAATATTCAAAATGGCTTCCAAGACATTGAGCATTAGTCAAAGAAGGACAGTGATCCTTGAGAAACACAAAGAAATGATCCAGACTCTAAGACTGCCCCAGCTTACTGCCTGAAGAGAGGCTCTAGGCCATGATGCAGGTGAAAGAATCCAGGCAAAGCTCATTTGCAACTGAGTTGAGGAAAAGGAAATGAGTTCAGGGAAGCCAATGAGTTTAGCTTTCGAAGGGCAGGAGAGGACTGTACAGAGAGGGTCCCCATGAGTCTTTAGATGAGTAGTGATCTGCACATGCATGTGAGGAAATTACCTAGGTCTGAGAAACCAGCTAACTAAAAAGAGTAGAAGGAACAATCCCTGGAGGTCTTACAGAGCTGGGAATATTGCTGTTCCTGTCAGACCTAGAAAAAAACATCATAATTTGGGGGGCATTGAGTACAATACCAAAAAGAAGTTTGGCTCAGCAATAGGGAAAAATTAGCTCTATAATATACGGGTGAAACATTACAAAAAAAGAAAACTGCAGGCCAATATAAAGATAAATGCAAGAACTAACAGGTAAATACCAGTTATGCAAGGTTGGTTTAACTTTTGAAAATTATATCACTGTAATAAGCCAATTAGAATAATTAAAATTTCTATATATACATAGAATCATCTCAATAGACATAGAAGAAGAGTTTGGTAAAGCTGATATCTATTTCTAATAAGAATATCAGCAACCTAGGAATAAAAGGGAACTTCTTAAATCTCATGAAGAACACTTATGAAAAACTTAGAGGTAACATCATACTTAATGGGATAGGACTGAATGCATTCCCAAGACTAGAAAAAAGTCAAGAATGTCTGCTCTGGCAGATTCTATTCACCATTGTGCTGGATTGTTGGGATTCACACAGGATGGTGGCAGAAGTATTAAAGGAAAATATTAGGGAAAGTTATAGGGAATAGTCACAAACCTTTTTGAAAGGTTGAAAGGTTATAAAGCTTGTAATAATTGAACAGGCTGAAGGCAGCCATTTCTTACCTTAGAGCATTAGGTCATAGGGTAAATACTAGGGACAACACAGGCTTCCCCAGTTAGATCTGTTTACCCTACCTCCATTAAGTAACCTTTGAGACAGATGGCCCTCTTGGGGGTAGTTTGACCAAGGATATTGCCCCCTAATGGTATTTACTTTAAACCAGGGTACCTGAGTTTTAATCATTCCTAGAACTACTCTCTTAACCATGTTAATTATCCACAAGTGTGTTTACTCAAATCTTCTGTTGTTAATTCTACACTAAATAAACTCCTAGAGTCTGAGCTACTCAGGGCAAGCTGCAGTGACAAACCTCTTTTGGTTTACAGGCGGTCAGACACTCAGCATGACTGGCAAAACAGATTATCTGTGTGTCAGTGTACATTTTATTCATCCGTCGTTTGGGTCAGGGTCTGCGGGCAGACACAGGTAGCTACTGCCCTGTTGTGAGAAGCAATACCTCAATTGGTGCCCCATGTGAGGAGAGCTGTGTGAGGACAGTCAGGGGTCTGCAGAAACAGACCTTCCGCAGTTGGAGCCCCTTGTAAGGCAAGCTATGAAGGAAGTGTAAGGACCGCTTTCATGAGGAAAGCTGCAAAGGAAGCCTGAGGAATGCGACGGGCCCCCAGGAAACAAAGGTGAAGAAAAACCGCGTGGTCAAGTCAGTGAGTAACTAGTAAGTCATTGGTGCCCACTCAAGGTTACCAAGTTCTGGGGAAAGTTGGTTCAAGCTGAGATTTCATCATGGGACAACAGTTATTAGCACAGCAGAAACATTATATAAAAGTATTACAACAGCTGCTTAAGGCTAGTGGAGCTTCAGTTTCACAGGCTCAATTAAGGCACCTAATCATGCATGCTAGACAAATTGCTGTAATGCAAACTGTTAAATCCCAAAGTCCATGGTTCCCAGAAGAAGGAACGCTAGACATAGAGCTCCGGGAAACAAGTGGGGAGAGATCTTAAAAACATCAGTTGCAAAGGCAGCAAGTCCCAGTAACAGCTTTAACGTTATGGGCTTTAACTAGAGCAGCCCTGGCTCAGTCACACACGGAAAAGCCTAAAAAGGGGCAGGAAGAGGAAACATTACCTGCCTTATCACCTCGTCTTCCCTGGGCCCTAATCACCAGGCGGAATTAACAGAGAGGAAAAGGAGGTCTTACCTGAGCTTCCTCCAATAGATAAGAAAAAAGGCAGAGGATACACTACAGTTATCAGTTCCCGTCTTAAGCAGGCTGAATTAAAAGAAGATCTCTTAGCCTGCCCAGTAACGCAAAATTGGCAAAGCGATCAGATACCTAAAGGGTTAAAAAAGGGCATTAGAAGCTAGAGCTGCATTGCCAAGCAAGCAGTGAGAAAAAACTAAAACTCCGCCCACATGGCAGCAGAGGCAACGAAGAGCTAAGCCACCATTGGAGCTAGCCTGCAGGGGAGGGGCGAGAGGCACATACAACAAAGTCAGCCCAAGGGGAGGCTGGGGTCCACCCTGGCCAGGAACAGCCAATGGGTGCCTGCGGGAGGGAGCCAGCACAGGCAAAAAGCAGCGCTTTTACAAGTGCAAAGCAGCCAAAGCCCCAGGACGCACCTGCCTGACTCTCTAGCTTTGCAGACAGCCCACAGCAAAATTTCCTGTGCTCCTTGTTTACAAGTGACATCCCAAATTATAATTCTCTGCTAAAATTTAAGTAAAATGTAAGAATTTGAAAAACCTCTTTTCAGATAATAGCCACTGCTGTTATCTCTCTCCTACCCCCGAGGTAGCTCTACAAATCCAGTTTAAGTAAAACAGTAGCCTCTGAAGGGAGAGAGATTAAGGAGGGCCCATGAATTAAAGAATAATTAAAAGTTAGGCATGTAAAACCACACATTACCCTTAGAGGAGAACTTTAAACCTAATTAAATGATATTTGTTCAATTAAAAGGTGAAAATATTGTGCCCTTCTCAAAAGGTGAAGAAGAGTTATATGTAAGTGTAGCCAAAACATGCATGAATGACTGTCTTAACCCACTGATTACAGATAGTCTTTGATTCATACTTGCTAAAAGAGTCCCAAATTAAGTTCCCCAGTTAGTGAGTCACTGTTTTCAAGACTGTTTTCCAGATTAAAGTCCATAAACTTGGTCAGCCTGAGAACTCCATTGCAACATTTAAGCTATTCTGCCTGTGGCTTTAAGCACATGGTTAAAATATATAATTTAAGTCTCTGCTTCTAAAGATGCTTTCAGATTTTCTTTTTAAACTTCACGTTATTTATTTCAGCTTGCCATCTTAATGATTAATGCAGTCAATTGCTAAGTTATGACTCGATATCATCAAAATTCCTTTAAGTAAAATGCAATTCAAAGCCGTATTGCAATCCCCCATACCAAATGCTTTAACACTGTTTACTGATGGGTCTGGTAAACATGGAAGAGCAGTAGTCTAATAGAGACCACATAATCCAATCACTGGATCTAGGTTTACTGGCACTCAAAGAGCTCAGGTTACTCTGTGTATTTGTTAAAGAACTTTTACAGCCTCAATTAAGTTTACTCTGGTGCACACTCTGTGTACTCTTTTTCTGACTTCGGCAATTGCTGGACCAACGTACACATCCTGTTTTTATTACACATATTCAAGCCCACAGCTCACTGCCTGGCCCATTGGCTTATGTCAATGAACGAGCAGACCTTCAGGTGATGACATCACTGCTAGGCCTAGCCACCCAATCGCATCAATTTTTCCACCAAAATTGGAGAAACTTATCTAAACAATTTCAACTTACTCAGAGGCTGGCTACAACAATTATCCTACAATGTCCAGATTGCCAGCTCACAGGCACGTCCCCTCCTTCAACAAGTGTTAACCCTAGAGGATTGGAACCTAAGCAGTTATGGCAAACATATTACACACATGCCTAAATTTGGAAAACTAAGATATGTGTGTGTATCCATTGATAATAACACTCATTTAATTAATGCACATGCTCTGCCTGTAGAGTCTACTCAAGATGTCATTAAACATCTTTTAACTTTTGCATTTATAGGATAGCCCACAAAGATTAAAGCTGATAATGGACCAGCTTATGCCAGCTGACAATTTCAACAATTTTATCACACGTGGAATATTCAACATTCCACAGGCATCCCATATAACTCCAAAGGTCAAGCAATAGTAAAAAATCAGAAAAAGGGGAATATAGGTAAAGACCCTGCAACACTACTGGCACAAACCTTGTTTACCCATAATTTTCTAAATTCAGATGACAAATTTCAATCAGCTGTAGAAAAACACTTTGCTAAAACCTCTCAAGGCATAAAACCAGCAGTTTTATGGAAAAATGTGAACAGTAATAAATGGTGTGGTCCAAATAAATTATTAACATGAGAAAGAATGTGTGCATATGTCCACCCCTAGAAAGAGAAATAAAGGGAAAGAATGATTTAAAAAGAAACTAGAAGAAACAGATCAGAAAGAGACACAAAAAGAAAGACTAAGGAAAGAAAGTGGGAAGAAGGAAAAGGAAATATTTAAAAAGTTATTAATATAAGAATGCACCCTTAGTAAGGAAGATTACAAAACAGAGTTAAAAAGTTAAGGCATGTCAAAAATTGTCTGTGAAAGTCGTGAAGAATGTTATAAAAGGGATTCATGCAGGAAATGTATAATTTTTGTTTTGAAAGTCTAAGCAAGTTGTAAAATGTTAATTGTAAAAAATTCTATATGTAAACATATTGGCTAAATTTAAAAAAGTATCCAGTTTTTTTCTGTAAACTAGACATTAAAATGAAGCACAAGTTTTTCTTGAAGTACTATCCTGCTCTTTAAAGATTATAAAGATCTCTTAGCACAGGTACCACCCCTAGAATTTCCAGTACACCAGCACCAGCCTGGAGACTGTATCCTCATCCAAGGATGGAAAGAAAAAAAACTCAAGCCAGCCTAGGAAAAACCCTAAGGACCCACAGCCTCAACAATGTGGCTTCCAGGAACAGCACAGGCCTCACACATTATGCTAAGGAAGCAGAAGGCTAAGCCAAATAATTTACTCATTTTTAATTCTCTCACTTTGCCTATTACCTATACCTGCTACACTCTATTAAGCTCATCTTCTGAATCTGCCTTTTGTCAGCCCTTTTACTTAAACAAATACTCCCTTTCCAGCTTCTAATGACATAACTGCTTGGCTGGAAGGAGTTAACATACCCTCAGTGGGGTTCCTTAGCAACAGTACTCACCAAACTAAGATGCCAGGTAACACTACCGGTCACTCTTAGACTGGAAACAAATGTTGCTAATTGTACTCATAATTGTCTTGTATTATTTGCTAATTCTAGGATGCAAAGCCGGAATAAGAGCAGTGACCACCTCACCTGACAATCCTATGGCTGTACATATCTGCAATCTGAAATCAAAAAGACATGATACCGAAAACAAAAACGGGGAAATGTTGGGATTCACTCAGAATGGTGCCAGAAATATTAAAGGGAAACATTAGGGAAAGCAACAGGGAATAGTTTACAAACCTTTTTGGAAGGCCAAAATGTTACATAGCTTGTAATAATTAAACAGGCTGAAGGCAGCTGGTTCTTACCTTAGAGCATTAGGTCATAGGGTAAATACTAGGGACAATAGAGGCTTCCCCGGTTAAGTCTGATTACCCTACCTCCACTAACTAATCTTTGAGCCAGATGGCCCTCTCAGGGTGAGATTGACCAAAGATATTGCCCCCTAATGGAATTTACTTTAAACCATGGTACCTGAGTTTTAATCGTTAGTAGAACTACAATCAACCATGTTAATTATCCATAAGTGTGTTTATTCAAAGCTTCTGTTGTTAATTCTATACAAAATAAATGCCTGGAGTGCAAGCTGCTCAGGGCCAGCCACAGTGACAAACCTCTCTTGGTGTGCAGGCGGTCGGACACTCAGCAGGACTGGCAAAACAGAGTATCAGTGTCTCAGCGTACGAGTTATTCATAGGTCGTTTGGGTCAGGGTCTGTGGACAGACCCCACAGCTAATGCCATCTTGTGAGAAGCAATACCTCACTGGATGTTTTGGCCAGTGAAATTAAAAAAAGAGAAAGAAATAAAAGGGCTTCTGGATAAGAAAGAAATTAGTACAATTATCTTAATTCACAGGTGACAGGTAATCTATGTAGAAAACTCTGACAAGATATGCCAGACTTTTGTCTTAAAATATATTGTAAGAATTTAAACAAGACCTGGCTGCCTTCCCCACTTCAGGTTCTCCTGAGTCATCAAAGACAGCCTTGAGGAGCCTCCTGGGAGCCAAGGGGAGGGGCAGGCTGGCAAGGAGAGGGATGCCCCAGATCTGAAGGAGTGAGGCAGAACAGGATCTGGAGGCAGGGAACCTAAGGATGATTCACACTCACTTCCTAGAACTCAATCAAAAGGAAAATCCCACCTCTCCACAATCAAGTAACAAAAGGATCAGAGGTTACTCCCTTTGCAAATCATGCCACCAATTCCCGCTTTCCACTGCATTGCAGATGAAAAAGGGAAAGTACCTCTGTTTGGTCCCCTCCCGCAACCATTCAAACTGGTTGCGGGCCACTACTTCATTTCCGTAAGGTGTAAACAAAGTAACCAATGAGAAACCTCTAGAGGGCGTTTAAACCCCAGACTATCTGGCTCATTCAGAAAAGCAGGCAGCTCCCCTGTGACTTTACCCAAAGTCATTCAAAGCAATTGCACGTAGTTTGTTTTCCCTCTAGAGTGAGAAAGAAGGAAGGAAGTTTACAATTCTACGTGCATCTCACATTGAGATGTTCACCTGATTCTATCACTGCCTCAGAGACCTGGTAAAAATCCTGGGGATTGACAAATGGAGAAATGGATGCCCAAGTTCAGAAGGGATTCGGTCTGAAGCAAAAGTCTGAGCAAGTGTGCTGTGCCATAACTGGGAGGAAATAGGAAGAAAATTATTGAGACCCACCCCATTAGAATGCACGTTAAAAAATTTTAAGAAAGGCTATGTGAGGAATTATGGAGTCAAGGTAACCCCTCAGATGTTAAGAACTCTCTGTGAAATAGTATGACTCTCTTTTAGTGTTGGCTGGCTGGCTGAAGGCACTATAGATAGGGAAACAATTGGCCATGTATTTAAGGTGATGACCACGGTTGGAGGACAGTCAGGGCATCCAGACAAATTCTCCTATATCGATTTATGGCTAAATAGAATTCAAATTCAACCAGCATGGCTGCAAACCTGTCTGGCAGCATACTGTAAAATGCTTGTAGCTCAAGCCAAACCCAAAGTGAAAGAAAAATCAACGGCATAGGAAGGTAAAGAGACAAAGGCAAAGTCACAGGAAAGGCAAGAAAAGCCAGTTTTGCAGTCACCTCACGTGTTCCAATCTACCACCCTTTACCAAGGCTAACTTCCCCTGAGGAGTCAAGCTCAAATGGATACATGTCCCCAGTCTCACCGGAGAGGGAGGAATTGGAGCTTCAGGAAGTTAAAGGAGAAGGCCCAGAACATCAGGCAGGCCATCTCTGGTCTGGCTGCACCTGAGTTATGCAAATGCCTCTCAGGGAAAGAAGAGGACCCACCTATTATAATGAGCATGGCCACATCCAGGGAGGAGAACAAACCTTCATTTACCAGTTTTTTTGAACCACTGGTCTCCTAAACTGGTAGCATCATACTCCCTCTGACACAGAGAAGCCCTAGGCCCTTATAGATGTAATGCAGTTTATCTTCCTAACGCACCATCCAACTGGGCCAGACTGAAACAGCTCAACCTGATGCTATTTAACACTGAGGAGCGCCAGAGAGTAACCCAGGCAGCCCTCCATTGGCCAGAAGCCAATGCACCTGCAGGCACAGTTGATGCCCAGGCATATACACAGGGCCAATTTCTTGAAGAGGATCACCACTGGGATCCAAATGATGCAACCCAGTTTCAGCACCCACAGAGCTAACAAGAGACAATCCTGCAAGGGTTAAGAGATGACAGGAAAAAGGCAATCAATGTGGGGAAAATCTCAGAGCTGCTACTATGTGCAGATGAGAGGCCCATACAGTTTTATGACTCTGTGAGGCATTCCAGTTATACACTCCATTTAACCCTGAGGCTGCTGAAAATCAGCGCGTGGTGAATATGGCATTCGTAGGGCAGACCAGGGAGATATCAAGTGGAAATTGCTGAAGTTAGAAGGCTTTGCAGGCATGAATGCTACTCAGCTTATTGAAGTGGCTATCAAGGTGTACATTAACTGAGATCAGAAGGCAAAGAAGGAGGCTGAACGGAGGCTTGGGAAAAAGGCTGATTAGCCAGCGGCAGACCTCACAGGAAGAGAAGCTGGCTTTGCAAGGGGTCATGGATGCGGTCATGGAAGAGGCTGGTCTGGAAAGGGATTCGAGAGCCGGCCAAGGCTAAAGAGAAATCAATGTGCGTGATGCAAAAGGAAAAGACACTGGAAGGATGAATGTCCAGAGAATAATAACGTGGAGAATGGTTAAGGCCACGGTATGAAAAAACCACTGGCCAAGGGCTACCATACCCTGTGAGGAACCAGACACTGACCTGATCAGGATGGCAGGGGCTGAAGAATATGAGGTCTCAGACAGACCGGGCTCCTTCTCTTTGGGCCCCTAGGAACGTATGGTCATATTACTAGTTGAAGGCCAGCTGATGGACCTTATGGTAGACACCAGGACTGAACACTTGGTAGTGACCTGACCTATAAGGCCACTATCCAAGAACTGTGAAACTATTGTAGGTGCCACTGGAGTCTCAGCTGTTTGTGCGCTTCCCACTCCAACTATCTGGCATCAAATAAGACAGTTCCTAGGAGCAGCAGGGTTCTGCTGCATCTGGATCCCAAATTTCTTGCTCATGCCTAAGCCATTATATGAAGCCACAAAGTGGGGAGAAATGGAGCCCCTCCTCTGGGAGGCCAATTAGGAGAAGGCCTTAAAAACAATCAAAGAAGCGTTAATTCAGACCCCAAACTTGGGACTGCCAGACCTAACTAAGCCTTTCTTTTTGTATGTCCATGAGTGAAAAGAAATGGCCATAGGAGTCCTGACTCAAGTCATAGGATCTTGGCATCGCCTGGTGGCATACTTGTCCAGGCAACTAGAATCTGTGGTGCTTGGATGGCCTACTTGTTTCAATGTGCTAACTGCCACTGCCCTACTGGTGCAAGAAGATAATAAACTGACTTTATGGCAGCAACTGAAAATCCGGGTACCGCACTCAGTTATAACTTTGATGGACCAAAGGGGACACCTTAGGTTATCACATCCAAAAATGACTCGATACCAAGGGCTTCTATGTGAGAATCCCAGCATAGCTTTAGAGACTGTGAACACCCTAAACCTGGCTACCTTTCTCTCCATCTTGTCAGTGCCAGGAAGCCCCCTTTAGTCCTGTGTGGATATGGTAGATTAAGTGTTCTCAAGCCAGAGAGATTTGACAGATCAGCCCCTCGGAGACCCGGACATTGAGTATTTTACTGATTTGAGCAGTTTCATACTAGAGGGAGTACGCCAAGAGGGGCATGCAGTGGTGACTTTGGACTCAGTAGTAGAGGTGCAGTTTTTGCCTACTGGAACTTCTGCTCAGAAGGCAGAGCTGACAGCTCTGACAAGAGTTCTCTGACTAGCAAAATACCTAAAAGCAAATTTTTAACCACACTCCAAATATGCTTTTGCCACTTTCCATGTTCATGGGACTATTTACAAAGAAAGAGAACTCTTTCTTTCCTCCTGCAGTTGCAGGAGGAAATAAACTAAAATACAAGGAAGAAATTCTACAGCTCTTAGACACTGTATGGGCCCGGAAACAGGTGGCAGTATTGCACTACAAAGGGCACCAAAAATCAGGAACACTAGAAGCTAAAGGAACAGGAAGGCAGACAAAGAGGCAAAACAGGCAGCAATGGCAGCTCTGCCTTCTAGAGAGAAAGCCTTAGCTATGCCTCCCCTCTGGGAGATCCTCCTCCCGGAGACCCCAAGCTACATTTCAAATGAAAGGGCCTGGTTTGCCCAAAAAACTGGGAAATACATTGAGGGAGAATGGTGGAAAACCTTTGATGGGAAGCTAGCCATACCTGAAATGGTGGCCCCCAGGTTTGTGAAACAGTTCCACCGAGGAACTCATATGGGAAAAATGGCACAAGAAACATTGCTAGGATGACATTTCTATGTGCCATGGCTCACTGCCATTACCTGAGCCATTTGTGAACAATGTCTAACTTGTGCCGAGAACAACCCTCAGCAGGGGCCTACCCGAACCCCGGGAATTCAAGAAATTTAAGCCACATCCTGTGAAAATTTGCTTCTGGATTTTAATGAGCTGCTTCAGGCAGGAGGCTATTGGTACATGTTGGTGTTTATTTGTACCTTTTCGGGGTTGTTTGAGGCTTTCCCCACCCAGACAGAGAAGAAACGAGAGGTAACCAAGGTGTTGTTAAAAGACATTATTCCCAGATTTGGACTACCCCTGACTCTGGGGTCAGACAATGAACCAGCATTGGTGGCTGAAATAGTTCATTACTGAACTTGGCTATTAAAAATAAAATGGAAGTTACACACAGCCTACCGGCCACAGAGCTCAAGAAAAGTGGAGCACATGAACTGGACACTCAAGCAGCTGCTGAAGAAATTTTGTTAGGAAACTCATCTGAGGTGGGATCAGGTCTTGCCCATGGTCCTCCTCCAAGTCAGGTGTGCCCACGCCAAACAAACTGGGTATTCACCCTAGGAGAACTTATTCAGCCGGCCACCTGAATTATATGTCAGATTAAAGGTGATCTCTGTGAGCTAGGAGAACTAATTTTAAGGAGGCAAATGCAGGCTTTAGGTATGGCCATGCCAAAAGTACATGGCTGGGTGCAGGAAAGAATGCCTATAAGTCTGACAGACACTGTATACCGTTTCAAACCTGGTGATTCTGTTTGGGTTAAGAAATGTAATCCAACCACATTAGGACCCATATGGGATGGGCCCCATCCTGTAATCTTGTCCACTCCAACTGCTGTTCAAGTTACAGGAACCGTGCTTGGATCCACTACAGTTAGCTGAAACTAGCAGCCCAGGACAAGTGGACCAGCCAGGAGTACCCAGACCATCTGAACCAGCTGATAATGCCATGAGACCGAGATGTCACTGAGGACCACAACAGCCTTGCTCTGGTCACTCCAGAAGCTAACCATTCCACACATGGCAAAACCTTGATAAAACAGCAAGCCCTGCTCTAGTCACTCTGGAAGCTGACTAGTCTATGCACAGCCGAAGCTTGCAGAGTCACCATCAAATGAGTAAATGTGGCCAGAAATTTTAGGCCCAATAACTTTCCTTATATTATTAATTATACTTCCATTATTCTGTTGCTTTGGCCAACCCCCTCCCCTGGGAAAACACCTCTTCTGCCCATTCTGGGTGTAAGAATGCTAATCTTTGCTTTACCTTTGATGGCAACCATATCTATGCTATAAGGAGAAGAGCTCATAGAAGGATGCCCTCCCTGCATGCATACTACATGGAAAGGAAACACAGTAGTTAAGACTTTACTATACCATACTTACTATGAGTGCAGGAACCCACCTAGGAACCTGCATGCACAACCAGACAACCTAACAAATTGCTGCCTAGAAATCAATGACAATGGGAAAGCCATTATAGAAATGACTGCCAAGATGTGAAAATTAGCTCATGTTACAGTCCAAACCTGGAAACCAGGATGGTCTGCAGATTCCCTCTTAGGAGGTTGGTTTTCATTCTTTGGTGGATTTAAAATATTAATAGAAGTGGTGCTGGCTATATTAGGAGGTTGCTTAAGACTCCCTTGCCTCTTGCTCCTTCTTACCAGGAGCATCCAATCAACCATAGAAGTCCTAGTAGACAAAACAACCACCACTCAACTAATGGCTCTAACTAAGTATCAGCATTTGCCAAAGAGAGTAGATCTGCCTTGTCAGTGAAGAAAAAAATTGTAGTGAAGCTTTCTATTAAATTCCATTTATAGGAAGCATCAAAGGGGGGAAATGAGGCAGGAAATTAAAGAAAGAAAGAAAAATAAAATTTAAAAGAGCAAAACATGCTTTCTATATTAGGCTGAATCATCCCAAAGGCAGTAACAGGCAAAACCTGGACCCAGGTGAAGTCTTGATAACATTATCTAAGAAGCCAGGACTGAAAGGAATGTGCTCTGGAGACTTCCAGCATTCCCTCCACAAAGGGAGAAGAAAACAAATTTTCCTTTCCCCCATGATATGAGTAAACTTATGAGTTTATAGATTTCTGTTTTCTGTAACTAGTAACTTCAAGTATCCTGTTTTTATCTATGCAGCAAGTGAAGGTCATGAGATGCCTGAGTAGGCAGGCCTGGACTGCAGCCATCTAGGCACCATAGCAAAAGTTATGAGATAAGCCCATGCAAAGCACTAGAGCAAGCCTGGATAACAGCCATCTAGGCTGTATAGCAAGAGTCACATGTAATCCTGAGTTATACACCTGTCACAACTTGATTAACTGCCTTTCTTCTGCCTCTGTATCCTTGCTTGCATGCCACTACGTTTTTGCCACCGTAAACTTATTTCAAGCTAGCCCACCTTAGAAGCGTGTATAAAAGTCAAGTGCTGTCTTTGTTCTGGGACCAGTGTTTGGCTGTTAATCTGCTGGGTCTGAGTGCACTCAGTAAAAATCCTCCTGTTTAACTCTGTGGTCTCTCTGGTCCTCCTTCATTCCCACAGCAATCAAAGACAGCCTTGCAGAGCCCCAGGGGAGTCAAGGGGAGGAGCAGGCTGGCAAGGAGAGAGATGCCCCAGGTCTGAAGGAGTGATGTAGAAGACAGGATCTGTTGGCTGGGAACCTAAGGATGATTCACACTCACTTCCTAGAACTGAATCAAAAGGAAAATCCCACCTCTCCACAATCAAGTAACAAAAGGATCAGAGGCTACTCCTTTTGCAAATCATGCCACCAATTCCCACTTTCCACTGCATTGCAGATGAAAAACGGAAAGTACTTCTGGATGGTCCCCTTCAACAACCAATCAAACTGCTTGTGGGCCACTATATGATTTATGTAGGATGTAAACAAACTAACCAATGAGAAACCTCTAGAGGATATTTAAAACCCAGAAAATTCTGCAACCAGTGCTCTCGAGCCCCTTTCTCAAGCCTGCTCCCACTCTGTGGAGTGTACTTTCACATCAATAAATCTATGCTTACATTGCTTCATTCTTTTGTTGCTTTGTTTGTACCTTTTTACCAATTCTTTCTTTAAAATGCCAAGAACAAGGACAACTTGTAGTCAAGACCATCCACTGGTAACAGGAGGAGGACTGGGGAGTCACTCCCTCACTTCCAAACCTCAGAGGAAGGCTTTGACTGGGGAGCAGATTCCTTGAGGGCCAGGACAGGGTCTGAGGTGGACTGAGGATTCAGTGCCAGTCCCAGATTGCACTGTGAAGCCTCTGTGGGAGGTAGCAGGGTCCAGAGGGTGGAAGCACACATCCAGGCTCTGCTACTATTACCACCCACTGTGTGACCTTGGGCTACTTGTTTAACATCTCTGAGCTGTGCTTGGTAAGTGAGATAATATATGTAAAAGGCCAGGCTCTTATGGGGAGACTTGGTAAGTGTGAAGGCAGTAGAACCATATGGGGTAATCGTACTTTCAGCCCTAAAGGAGGATGTAAAAATCTGCACTCCTCCTAATCTCCTCAGAAGCTATCAGAGAAGCAAACATGTCAAACAAATGTAATTCTTCTTTCTACAGTTTGATGGGACCTGAGATCTTAAGGAGGCACTACAGAAAAGTCACCATGCCAAAAGAGTGAAAGTGGCAGTACAGGAGGCAGTACAGAAAAGTCCCCATTCCAAAAAAGACTGGAAGAGGAAGGAGAGTCTAGGGACAGCAAATTCCAACTAAAACATGTCTCTTCCTTTCCAAGGTTGTGGGAAAGTATGTGGTAGTGGTGGTGGGTTTTCTGCTAAAGGTATAGCAAGATCTGTAACTAAATAGGGTAAATCAAATTATCTGGCTCATTCAGAGAGGCAGGCAGCCCACCTGTGACTTTACCTAAAGACATTCAAAGCAACTTAACAAGTTTCGTTTCCCTCTAGAGTGAGAAAGAGGGACGGTTACAATTGTGTGTGCATCTCCCACTGAGATGTTCACCTGATTCTATCACTGCTTCAGAGACCTGGTAAAAATCCTGGGACTTGACAAATGGAGAAACGGATGCCCAGTTCCAGCAGGGCTTTGCTCATGGCCTCTCACATTCAGTATCTATTGGAGAGCAAGGATTCCACCTGCCTGGCAGTCCCAATCGGTGTCTGAGTTCTTGCCATCATTCTGCATCAGAATCACCTGGGGGTTTCTTGAAACACAGATTGCTGAGCCCTAACCCACAGGATATGACTTAATATATCTGAGGTGAGTCTTCAGATTGTGTTGATCTTGCTGGCCCAGGGGCCAGGCTTTGAGAATTCCTGAGTTAAGGCAAAGAGCAGCTGGCCAGGCCCAGCTACCTTAGCTCCTCTCTACTCTGAGACCTTCCCTTGATGGCCCCCAACTACCTTCCCCTCAGTCATTCTAGAATCCACTCACTCTTCCATCTATAGCTCTGGGATCCAGAAGAGGGGCTCACATGGGAAAGGAGGACCCGGCTCTGTTGAAGGTCCCTTCACTGAGCCTTAGAAAACTCTGTGGGATGGACTTTCTGGGACACAGCATTTCACCTCACCAGGAGGAGACTGTCTAGAATTAAAATCAGAATAAATTACTGAATTGGGTAATCTGCACTTACTGTATGCCTTCTAAGAGTTTATGTGTGACTGGCAGGCATATTTGGAGATATTGTTATGCTTTGTTGGTAAGAATAGAAGAATTTTGAATCAGCAGAATTTAGAGCAACATGTTCTGTCAGCAAGATAGCTAGAGAAACAGAAATGACTGAGGAATAATAAAGGGGAAATGACTAAGGGCCAGGACAGGAGCCAGAGCCTAGGTGTAATCTGAGCTGAGATTCTAAGATTTTGGAGTCTCCTACATACTGCCTCTGTCTTGAAGCCTTGGGGCGCAGCTGGAATTGACCACATCCACTGCACTCCCACAGTGAGATTACTCTCAATCCCTAGCAAAATAGCCAGAAAGGCAAATAATGCACCAGAAGGTACATATCCTAGTGAGACAGAGTAGGGACAGGACTTGCCTCCACCCCCATAATGCATTTTTCTCCACCCACTGACTACCAGACCTTGAACTTCCACTGGTGCCATCCTCACTGGCTGGAATACCATAAAGAAACTAAGATAAGAAGCATTCTATCATAATTCTCATTCAAGGGAGTTAATCCTATCACCTCCATGCACACAGGACCAGAACAATGACCAATCTTTACCCTTTGCCTCATTATCATATGGAAATCCCCACCCAGGGAGGGATTTGTCTACCATTTTTTGATCATGCGATGTAAGTACTAACATGATATCTCACCGGGCCTGCACACTCTACACTCCTCCCAACCCATGTAATGATATTAGCTTACCTTATGCTTCTCATGTTAACTTTCTTAAAACACCAAAAAGACCTGTCTTTGGGGAGCCATCCGGAGACCTCTGACTCTACTGCTGACTCCCATGTATTCAAGCATAAGCCCCTAATAAAGCCTTGTCTGGGAAACTCACTTGGCCTTGTGTCAATTTCTATTGCATGGGAGACTAAAAACTTGTGGCTGGTAACACAAGAAACAGAAAGTTTTAGTGTCATGGATGCCACAACAGTGGCAGAGGTGTGGAATTGGATGAGAGGGTGGGACCTGCAGGTGTTAAAAGCAGAAACAGCATGGGTATGAGTGGTGGGGTCTGGAACAGCACAGAACCTTCCTATTCCTTAGCTTTCTCTACCTTTTCTCCAGATTGTAACAGAACCAAACCTTGTGTTTCCCTGACCCCTACATCTAAGCCTGGCCAGGGTTGGGAAAAGAAGAATAGCATAAAGAGAGAGAAAGTGGCCCATATCCTATCCCTCTGACCACTCTTGCCTCATGAGGAAAACCCAGGCATGTTCCTTAGAGAGTTCCAAGTTTAATGGAAGGGACACAGGTACTGATTAGTGAGTCAACAAGCACTAGACCTACTGGTCAGTCAACAAGCACCCTCCCACCTCTGAACCTTTGTACTTGCTGCTTCCTCTGTCTTCAGTGTTCTTCCTCAATATATTTCCATCTAAGACTCACCTGCTCACTCCTTTGAGGTCTCAGATATCACCTTATCAGAGAAGCCAACTATGACCACTTCCAAAACAGCCTCCTCCATTCTCTTTTCCCTTCTGCCCATATCAAAACAGACACACATATGTGCATGCACACACACACAATTTATTTTTCCCTTCTCCCTCTATGGTGTCAGCTCCAAGAGAACATGAATATCACTGTATTAACTGGTATATCCTTGGTGCCTGTGACATACCAGGCAAGTAGTTTTGTAAGAAGTGTTCATTGAATAAGTGATCAAAGTGATTGAATATCTACTATGTACTCACCACTGTGCTGGCCAATGAGAGACGAGGAAGAAAAAGGCAAAGTTCCTGTCAGTGTTAAAGTGCTTGGGTTTTAGTTTCAAAACCCACTTGTCATTTCTCCTCCCTCTCTGGCCTCCACAGTTTAAGCCCTACATCCTCCATCTTTCATTTCCTTCACACCTCTCATCCACTCCATCTGCTCCTCTCTACCCCTCCAGCTCCCAGCCTCAGGCCACTCCAGGCCCCCTCCCTTTTAGCCTGGATGCCTGTGGAATAGCCTCCACTCTCAACTCCTCTGCCCCTTCAAGCATCTTCCCATCCCCTCTTTTCCAAGGCCTATGAGAGTGGAGTGTTCTGGCCCCTGTCCACCCCTCCCTCTGCCCCATCTCCTGCTGCTCAGCTCCTCTCCCCTTGATCCCAGCTACATTGCTCACTCAGGCCCTGGACAAAAAGCCCTAGCCAGTCTCAGGGCTTGTGTACTCACCATTCTGTATGGCCTTCCATTGGATGTCTTCAGGGCCTCCTCAGAGGCCTCTCAAATTCCCCAGCCAGAGTAGCACTCCCAGGCACACACTTGCCACTTTCTCTTACCTTTGTATGTTCTTGATCCACTAGCAAAACTTTTCTATTTGTGTGTTTCCTGGATAATCTATTTCCCTGTTTAAAACGTAAGGTCCACAAGAGCTGGGACTCTGCCCCTCTTTCACATGCCCAGTCCCTAAAGTGGGAGCTGGTCAATAAAGTTTGCTGACTGAGGGGCCAGGCTTCAAATGCATTCAGAACAAATACCTCCCCTCTGTTTTCTGTCAAATTGGAAAACATTTCCCTCCCAGTGGTGAGACTCCCATAAGACGTAAATAAAGTACCTGGCAGACTGTCACATCTGGCATACAAAAGTCCCAATAACTTATTATCTTGACCATCCAGTTTTCAGAGGGCTCTAAGTCTGGGGGTCTCCGATGGAGACATGAGTACATCTGTGCAGAGCTTTTGTCTGGGGAGGGAGATTCCAGTGCTGGAGGTTTATCCTTTGAGGATTTTAGGGAGTGTGGAGGAAGCAAGGGTTTCTGGTCAAAGGGGCAAGACAGTGCAGACACACTCCAGAGACCCAGAAGCAAAAGCAGGAAGTCTGCTAGGAGGAGCCACTAACAGTTGACTGGACAATCTTAAAGCTGCATGATGCCAGGATGACTAACCTTCTTTGTCACTCATGCCTTGTACTTCTGATCTTTCTAGTTCTTGCCTTGTCTCCTGGCCTTGGAGAGAGTAATGCACAAGTCACATTGCCCCTTCAAACCCCAATCCCTGCTGTACCTTCATTTACCAGGTTTGCCTATTCTCCCAGATGCCCTCCAGCAAAAGAAATTAAACAAGACAAAAATAAATGGAGAATATACTTGTTCAAGATTGGAAGACTCAACATTCTTAAGATGCTAATCATCCACAATTGAGTTAATTTTTTACACAATGAACACACAATTTACACAAACACACAAAATTTGACCCAGATATCACACCATACAAAAAAAAACTTAAATCAATCACAGACTTAAATATAAAACTATAAAACTTCTGGAAGAAAACTTAGAAATGATTTTTGTGATCTTAGATTTAGCAGAGTTCTCTGATGTAAACAACAAAAGCATGATCCGCAAAGAGAAATAAACATATAAAGTAAACTTCATCAAAATTGAAAACTTTTCCCTCCCAAAACAGAACCAAGAGGATGAAAAGACAAGCCATGGAGAGATAAGAATCAGCAAATATCACAAATATTATGAGAAAAGCAATATAACAAAGGACTTGTTTCCAAAATATGTAAAGCCCTCTCAAAACTCAGATATAACTAACCAGTATAAAAATGGGCAAAATATTTTAATAGACATTTCACCAAAGAAGATATGTGGATGATATAAGAACATAAAAAGATGCTCAAATTATTGGTCATTAGTGTAATGCAAATACTACAAAAAGATGCCATTACATACCTATGAGAATGAAAGAATCAGAAAAGCTTTGTGTTGACAAGTATATGAAACAACTGGAACTCTCACACATTGGTAGCGAGGATGCAAAATTATACAGCCATTTTGAAAACATTTTGAAGATTTTGACAATTTCTTATAAAGTTAAACATACACTTTCCATGAAAGCAATTCCACTGCTAGGTGAACTCAAGAGAAATGAAAATTAACCTTCATACAAAAACCTGTATGCAAATGTTCCCAACAGCTTTATTTACAAAGCCCCCAAACTGGATACAATTCAAATGTTCTTCAGTGAGTGAATGGATAAACAGATTTTGATACATTCACACAGTGGAATGTTACTCAGCAATAGAAAAGAAAAACCTATCAATGCATGCAACAATACTCATGAATCTTAAATGGAATGTTCTGAGTGAAAGAAGCCATGCTCAAAGGGTATAATTCAGTCTATGTTCCATTTACATGATGTTCTGGAAAAGGCAACACTAGAGTAACGAAGAGATTAGTGGTTGCCAGGGACTGGGGTGAATAGGGGATAAGTGGGGAGCACAGGGAATTATTTAGAGTGATGGAACCACACAAGGAATTAGTAAGGGTGATAAAACTGCTTTGCTTCTTGAATTTGGTCTTGGTTACATGACTGTAGGTGTTTGTCATAAGCCATTGAACTGTATACTCAGAAGACTGAATTTTACTATGAAATAAATAAATGTAAACGAAACAATAAAAGTTAAAGTCTTTCAAATAATCTGTAAGACAATCAATTGGGCATGGGGATTTTTGTGCTCATTTCTATCATCGTTTTTTGTAACTTCTACTGTTTCTAAATTTTTATTCCCTTGCTTTGTTGCCTCCATCATTTTTCCCTCTCATTCTATTTTCTCCACAAACAGTTTGGCAGTTTTACACTCTAGTTCTGTTCTATAAGTGGATGCCGTAGACTAGTACTACCTAATAGCATATCTGCAGTGATGGAAATGTTCTACATCTGTATTGTCTAATACCACAGCCACATGTATTTCTTAAGTATTTGATATGTGATTAGTGCAAATGAGAATTTGTATTATTCACCTTTTTCATTATTTGATTTTAGTTAAGTTTAATTTAAATAATCACATGTGATTATGGCAACTGTCTTGAACAAAATAGCCTAGGCATTTTATCATTAATATTTAACTTAACAAAGTCTAAAGTGAGTTGAAGAACTCCTCCTAAGCAATACAAAGATAAAGTCTGTAAACACGTCTCCTTTATTTACAGAAGAAAATCCAGAAACCTACACATGGAATTCAAAGAAGGAAAAGATACTGCAGCTATTTTCCAGAAAGCTATTCTACCCCTCTCCCACTTTTTAGGAGCCATAATGTATGGAAATAAATTCATGCCAGTTTAAGAATATCTGTAAGTGCCCTCTCAGTCACAGGGTTTTGTGCAGGAATGGGTGAGCTACTTAAGTTGGGACAATTAGATGGCAAGAGAAGTTTCCTTAGAAAACCAGGATAGACTCATTATTGGGAGAATAAAACATCTGATATTACTGCAGCTCTGTTTGCCACTATGCAGGAAGCCAGCCAGGGAATAATATGAAAAGCAGAACATAGAGACCGAACACACAAACAAGCCGTTGAAGAAATTGTATAAAACTGAATTAAGAGCTCTGCTGAATTCTGGAATATCCACTCATGTGAACAAATGAATCCATTTTATTGTTTCATTATTAGAAAATATTTTTACCAGCAATATGGAGAGCTCTTATTGATAGAAAGCCTTCTGAGATCTTGGCACCACACTACCTTACCAGTCTAGAAAGCATTATTTGCCTACTACATTATTGAATTCTCCTTATATACCATCAAATGCAGCTGTCTTATTCGCCAAATATATTTTCACGTGTACATGACTTTATTCAGGCCATTCCTTCATCCTTGATACACAAGTGAAATGTTATTCATTCTTTTAAAAGAATAAATTAGTTTTAGACATACAGAATGCGTAACTAATGTACATAATTAATGTATGCAACTTGATGAGTGTGGAGATACATTATCACCAGAATCTATGACATCAACCTATCTATCACCTCCAAAAGTCTCATCCATTCTGCCCTCATTTATTACTTTTGTAATAAGAACACTTAACATAAGATCTATCATTTTAGCAATAATTTAAGTATACAATATTGTTAACTATAGGCACCATGCTGTACAGATCTTGAGAACTTATTCACCTTGTATAAGGAAACTCTGTACCCCTTGACTAATACCTCTGTTTTCCTCTCTTCCCAGCCCCTGACAACCACTTCTACATCTATGAGTTTGACAATTTTAGATTTATTATTCATTAGGATCTGTCTCATATGACACTGCTTTAATTTCTTAAGTCTGAATTAAGAATTCTTCTCTCTGTACTCTAAAATCACTTGTTTATGTCTCAATTTAGTATTATCATTTTCCATATTTTGAACAAAATAGTGTGGGTCAAAAACCAGCCTCTGCAGTCTGATGGCCTGGGTTCAGATCCTTGCTCTGAAGTTCGTTATTTCTGCAACTATAAGGAAGCTGAGCTTCAGTTTCTTTTTTGGAAAATAAGGATGATAATATTACCTACTGCATAATAATATTAAGTGTTAAATGAGATAATTCAAATGATGGAACACAATTCTAGGCACACAGTGTTTCCTCAGGAAACATTAGCTAATTATTTTTGCCTGTGTGTACTTTCCATGATTTTAAGTGTCCATATTGTTTGTTACTCATCTTGTTGTCTTAAGACATGTTTATCATTGTTAACTCATACCCTATCATTTTGCTTTACACAAGCACTTATGTGTATGAGCTCCCCAAATATATTTTAAACAGCCTAAGATAAGGACTTATAACTATTATTCTTTAGGAATTTATCTCCAAGAATCTGAATTGGCACCACGGTTAGACTATCTCTCCAGTGAGGAGTTGTAAAAAAGTAGATATGCCTTTGAAACTTCAGGTCTAGCCCTCTGGTCATCCTCTGTAGCACTAAATGACTTGTTCCCTTCAGTCTTCATGGAATTCATGATGAGTTCAAAGACAATATAACTAACTTCTACTAGTGGAAAAAATGGAGAACCAAGGATTGAATTTATTCTGCCACCTTAAATGTCTAAAAAAACAAAAAAACAAGATCTATGAAATAACCACTTTCAAACACTGGACATCAGGCTGTGTGGGATCTCATCTCTGATATCTGAGAAGAAAATCATATGCGGTAACCCCTATGGCTATCTAGCTTACTGTATGGCATTTCCAAGGCATATCTCAGGGAGGGGAAACAGGCAGAACCTGGCAGTTTCCCTGAGTTGAGAAGACAAGCTGGGAGTTGTGGGAGGCCAAGATGACTGGAGCCTGTATGGCAGAGTACTAGGATGAAGAGCGCCACAGGAGCACAGAGGATCAGAGATGTGCAGTGGGCAACCCTTGAGATTTCAGCTTGGTCAATGCATGAGTATAATGAAACTGTTGAAAAGGAACAGGAAAAGAACTATCGGAAAGGAGCAGATGTAACAATTTCTGAGGCTCATACAGGACAGAAAATGGTTTCAGTTCCCCAAAATCCGACTAGAAAACTTCATAATTCATGAAGTATCAGGGAGACTACTCAGAAAGTATTGCTTCCATAGTGGGACAACATTAGCCCTTGTTCTGGTCCCACCTAACAAATAAATGCAAGCTTTGAAAGTATGAAATGGTTTCCATGTAAAATAACAACGTACTGGAACAAAGCTCAAGAATATTGATAGGAATGTAAAAATTTTTGGCACCCAAAGTTGTGAAATTAACAAAGCTTGATATCTAGTCAAAAATCAGGAAGTATTTAAAACGTGGAAAAAATATGACCCACAATGACTAGAAACATCAGTGAATAGAGACAGATCCAGAAGTGAGAGAGATGATAGAACTAGTAGTCAGGAACATTAAAAGTCATTACCTTGAATTTCTGGCCAAAATGGAGTAACAGGGACTGGATTTTCCCCTAGCCTGAAAACAAAACAAAACAAAACAAACAAAAAAGAGCGAAATACATGAAATAATGGTTTGCAAGGAACTAGACATCATGCAATTAAAGATGGTGACAACTGAGATGCGTCCTAAATTCCACTCCAGCAGACTACCGTGAGGGATTCCAGGCCAGTGTCGCAAGGAAGGGCAGCAAGACAAAGACAATTGGAAGTCCAGATTTCAGAAGACAAAGCTGAGAGACCAAGGTGACAAGAGATCACAGGCCACAAACCTGGCGGGTGACCTGCAGAGGCAGAGAGAGAGAGACAGAAAACTCAGGATATATGAAGAGGTTTCCCCTAAAGTATTCAACTGTGTACTGATCAGAGCCCCGGCTGAGAAAACTTTCCAAGGCCAGGAAAGAACCACCCTAAAACTATTATGGTGTAACTTTCCTCCAACCCTCTCCCTGTACCTCTGTTAGGGATCCCCATTTCCTCATTTCTAAATTAAGGAGTTTGGCTCAGATCAACCTTTTATTGTTCCTGTGAATTGGCTCCTCTGAGCTTTTTAAAAAAGGATTCCACATCCCACCTTCACAGACTCTGATTCAGTATGTCGGGGTGTAGCTATGGAATCTGCACTTTTACCTGCCTCATCCCACAACCCCCGCCTCAAATGAGCACCGCGTTGTTTAAACAACCGTCTATGTGGCCACAGAATGACCTCAATGCTTTCCTAAAACTCCAGAACCTATGAAGGTAACCTGTGCTTGCAGCTGTGCTTGCTTACAGAAACAAAGGCTGGATGTCAGTAACCACCGTGCTACAAGATGGGAAAGAGCTCAGCAGCGCTACCCTAACATGAATCTTTGCTAATTACCATACCTAAATCTCTGCCCCGGGGAGAAATGCACCTTGCTAGGCACATGTAGTGCTGTGGTGCAACAGAAAGAATGAGACTGCCACATTCAGGTCTTCCTGGAAAGCCCCACCTCTTTCCAGGAATCCTTGTCCTCAGTCTCCACCTAGGAGTCCTAAAAGACCTTAAAAAGCACCCCCTCACTACACCCCAGGAACTTTGAACAGGAGCTCTCCTGTTCCATTCCCTGATCAGTGAATAAAGTTTCTGCTCTGCTTAACCGAACCTGGTCTCATTCTATGGGTGCAAAGGGCACCAGGGAAGGAAAGGATCCACCAGGGTCAAACGACACTCTTGAGATTCAGGAACACCCAGACGATCTCCATGTATCTTTTCAGGAGTAACACTCTTGGCCTTTGAAGCTGAGAGGCAGGAAGGGAATTACCACAACGGGCGGGGCCCAGCTCCCCATCCAAAACCTCCTTGGTTTTGGGCTGAGATCCTTCTGTCTACTGCCCCTGCCGGCCATCCACCTAACTCCGGGTCCGACCCAGAACCAGAAAAACCACTCAAAGAACCGGCGAGCCTGACCAGACAGTGCACGTGCTAGTGCCCGCTGCTCCCGATTCGCAGGTGTTGGGAAGACTTCTCTCTTGCCTGTCTAAGCTGAACTTTTCCCGCCTGGAAGAGCAGGCTGGCGCGCGGGAGGGAGCCTGGGAATTGACACTCTCGCTGGCCAATGGACGAAGAGTCTCTGGAGGCTGTTTTCTCTCATTGGATGGAAATGATTCATCCTCTCATCCACTTTGGAAGCTAATTCGCATCACTCCAGACAGTGATTGAAGAGAGGAAAAGGGATGAGAGTGCACGCCTGGGCGCACGCGCTCGCGGGCGGGTCAGACGGCCAGGCCGAGGGGACTGCGCGCCCACCCGCCCACCCTCCCTATTTGTCCAGATGACCCATCCCGGTCCCAGCGATCCCCTCCCCCGAACCACTCGGTCCACAGCCAGTTCCCGCGTACCAGGATAAACTAAGCAGTCACTGCCCTGCTTCTTCCTGCTCATCGGCGTCCCCTGTCTCCCAGTGGAAGCCAAGGAGGGGTTGCGCGGCAGCCGGGTGGGTATGGGAGATGCCTGGCGGTTTCGCGCTTTTTCCGCCTTTTGATTGCGAGTGGGAGCAGCGCGCTGAGGAGAGCTGCAAGGGGAATAGCCCGCCAAGGTGCTTCGGTGTGTGGCCATTGCTGCCCTTCTGCCGCTGATGGGTCGGCGGCGGTGGCGGGACGTGCATCCAGGCGGGATCCAGCGGCAGCAGCAGAGAGAGCTCCACCCTGATGATGCAGAGGCCCAGCTTCCAGCTGACTGCAAGTCGCAGAGCAGGCTGCACCCGCGTCTGCGTGAGGTCTAGAGGGACTTGGCCTGCTCCGCAAATGATCCAACTTCGTGGAGGGGCTGGCGAACACAGACAATGCCAGTCTGGACGAGGAAGGGGCCAGCACTGCTTAGGCCTGTTTCCCAGGACGCGCATTACTGGGTGCGGAACTTTACCCCTCAGATGAAGAGTATTTAGGCCTGTTTCCCAGGAGGCGCATTACTGGGTGTGGAACTTTACCCTTCGGATGAAGACTCCAGAGTTGGGTATCTCCAAAGTGATAATCAAGTAAGTGCTTTGCATGGGGCTTGAGAAAACATCTTACTGTTTAAGAACAGAACGTCTTACTGTCTAAGAACATGAATAGAAGGAGATGCCTTCAGTATTGAGTGTTATTTTTGAGAAGTTGGTCAAAGAAGGGGAGAAGATGGTGGATTAATAGATGATGGTGAAAATTATTTTGTAACTCATAGAAGGACAGATGTTTATGTAAAAGTTGATAGTTTTGGTGGAATCATGAGCATGTTTCTGAACTTAATGTAAAATACACAGAGACTCCTGAAATCACTTAAATTACACGGGTCTTGTGGTGTTTGGAAAGAGCAAACTTTAGAAGTGTAATTGTAAAAATAATATCAAACAGAAACAGGGAAGAGAAAAACGTAAAGACAGCTTTCTCAAATCGCTGTTATTCTTGAATCATCTGAAAGCAGTGCACATGACTGGCACTAATATGCATCGGAGAGTAAATCATTGCACAAGGAGACTTGATCTTCTTTTCATTGTAGAATCTGGAGGAAAAAAGCTGTTAAAAGCAAGAGGTGGTAGAGAATAGTATTGTCGAAAGTTTCTGACATCACTGGAGATAGAGAATTTTCCCTGGAAAAAAGTGCTCCTTAGGGAGGAGCATCTGCACATTCCATTAGCATAAAGCACCTGGTCGGCCATATGAAGAAGTCTGGATTTTGTTATAAATATGAAATTTATTTTAAATGGAGGATTTGTAGCAAGGAGTAATATAACCTGACATATTTTTAAAAATCTCTCTGGCAGCTGCGTGGGGGACAAACTCTAGGAGGACAATAGGAGGTGTGGAAGGGAGAAGATGGCTAAGAGTATATCCCAGGATTGCAAAGATGTCGGAGCCCAGCCTCAGACGGTAATGGTGGAGGTGTTAGAAAATGCTGAATTCCACATTTATTTTGAAGGGCGAGCCCATGGAATTGGCTTGTGAATGGGGTTTTCCATAAATAAGAGAAAAAGAGAGCTCAATATGATTCTTGGGCTTTTGACTTGAGCAACTAGAAAGATAAAGTCTGCATTAAGTGATATGGGGAAGTCTGAGGAAGGAGATGCTGTGTGTGCCAGGAGTGATGAGTGTGTCAGTAATTCTACTTTTGATATATTGACTTGGAGATACTAATCCACTCCAACTGAAAAATAAGGAGAGAAGTGGACACTCAACACATGCGGGTGAATGCCCAGAGAGCCTTAAGAAGGGGCAAGAGGCTGAACTTGGGAGAGAAGAGCATAGATCAAAATAAAAGACACACAAAAGGAGAAAGAGAGGGAAACTAGGACTTATGATGGTAATGTTGGCCATTAACTGAGAATTATTTTATTTTATTTTATTTTGTTTTTTGAGACAGAGTCTTGTTTTATTGCCCAGGCTGGAGTGCAGTGTTACAATCTCAGTTCACTGTAAGCTCAACCTCCTGGGTTTAGGTGATTCTCATGCCTCAGCCTCCTGAGCAGCTGGTATTACAAGTGCCTGTCACCACGCCCGGATACTTTTTGTATTTTTAATAGAGATGGAGTTTCACCATGTTGGCAAGTCTGGGGTCGAACTCCTGACCTCAGGTGCTCTGCTTGCCTCAGCCTTCCAATGTGCTGTGGTTACAGATATGAGCCACTGCACCAGGCCTGAGAAATATAATTAAAGTACAGGGAAAATTAAAAGGGAGAAGAAAGTTCACAGAGAGAGATCATGGCAAATGATAAATACAAAATCCTGCCTTGTTTCCCAGATTCCCTGTGTCTTAGGTGCCCTGTATTTTACCTCCCCTTGAACCACTCTTGTCCCTTTGTAATGGTACTCCAAGCAGCACTGCTGTACACCAATTCCAGAGCTTCCCTGCTCCTTGAGCCTAGGAATAGCTATGCTTCTAATTCCTCTTCATTTGCTCATCATTGGAGTAACAGCTGAACCACACAATTGGAATAAGTAACCTGACGTCATTTTTAGTACCAATCTTCCATTTCTTCCTTAAGTATAAAAGTGACCCTCACAGAGAAACTAACTACCTAGAGCTATAGGTCCAGAGTAGAGCTCTAGCTTTGATTTTCCTTTTGCAGCTATGGTCTGAGAGCTTGGATGCAATCCACTGCAATTTGATATCAGTGACAGGGTAGGGATGCTCAGGGAATCTGTTGAGCCACCAAGGAAGCCTCACTTTCAGCTAATGCTTACATGGGGCTGTGGAAGTTGTCCAGCATCCCTGAGGACAGAGTGTTTGCCCTGAAAAAGAACATTCCCTTGGCAGAAAGCATCTTGTTGGCTGGATTTTATTATAAATGTGATGAGAATACTTTTGGCCAAGTAACTGGTCGTTGGGTCATTTTGTGGTAGTCAAACCCACAAAGAAGAAAAGCCCTCACATGGTCGGGTGAGGTGGGAATGGATCAAGCACTAAGGCCAGGTCTGGTGAAGTTAGGGAGTAAGGCCAGTGTTTATGGAAAGGGATTCCTTCATGAACCCCTAAAAGATGCTTCTAAACTCTAACAGTAGGCTGATGTCTGTATTTAGAGTTGCAAACAACATGTTCTGGGAATACAGAGGAAGGCACCACTGCCTCTACCTTGGGAGTATATCACAGAGAATGAGATTTATATTTGGACTTGATGGATGAGAGATGAGTAGGAGTTTGACAGAAGAAAAGAGTGGAACTGTCTGGATGTACAATGGCAGAAGTGGCAGGAAGGACTGAGGAGAATTGGCTTCTGGGGATGTGTCAGACATAAGGGCCTGGGCACCACATAATGGAGCTTGCAATGGGGTATGTGAAAGCTTAGATGAGATGGTTTTTTTCCTGTCCTCCTGTGGGTTCATAGTGGGCTCACCTCACTCACTCCTGCTAACAACCTGCCCCTATTGATAGATAGCTGAAATGGGGTCTCTAAGCCTCCAGCAACAGCTTAGGAGCCAGCCTTGAAGTACTGGCAGCTAACACTTCCCATATAGACCCCGTAGTCCATCCTATCTTAGGAAGACAATGCACTCATGGGGATGGTAACATCCACCTCCAGACTCCAGAGGCTCCAAGGAGCCTCTCTCTCTCTTCAAGTAAAGAAATATTCACTGAGCTGTGTGTAGAGGTTTACATGGTTTGGGACCAACATGTGGCTGGGTGACTTCACTTCCATCCTCATACAGTGGTACTCGGAGATGAATGGGGGGTAGAGTGATCAAGATTTAGTTCAATGTCTACCTCCAGTGGGGCAGTGCTTGGTAGTTGACTCATTTTGGTCTCTTTTGATGTTCACAGTCACCCATTGAGGTAGGTGTGACTGTTGATCCCATTTCACAGATTAGGACAGGATAATTTGCTAGAGGTCACAGGACTAGTTGGGGGAGGGAAAGGCTGTCAGGTAGGATTTTAACCTTAGAGCTTCACGTTTTCTTAGGATCTTGCAGGGAGACCTTGAGCAAATTCCTTTCCCTCTTGGTGGGGGTGGGGGAAGTCTCCATTCCCTAAGTATAAATTAAAGAGATCTGCCAGTTTGTGATTCTCTTTACTTTAAAGTTCAACCGTATCACTTGGATAGGTGTTTTGTTTGTTTGTTTGTTTGTTTTAATGGGGATTCTGGGAACCCAAATATATTTAAGTTCAATAGGTCTGGGGTGAGGCCCAGTAATCTGCAGCTTTTAACAAATCCGGACATCAACATAACTACCTGAGAAACTCAAGCAAAATGTATGATGCATGAAAATCTTATTGTGAGCTGGTCAAAACACATATCGCTGAGCTCCATCGGTAGAGATCCTGTTTTGATACCTTTGGTTGGACTGTGGCTCGGTAATTTGCATTTCTTAGAAGTGAGTCCGTTCAGCTGGTCAACCGCCCCGCCTGTCTCTCTGTGACCCTCCCAGGGCGTCAGCGGTGCTTTTTTACTTGCATCTTGTGGGAAAAGGATCCGCGCAGGCAGCCCCCTTTTAGCACCGTCCTGAGTACACAAGCCAAGCGCTTAAATACCTCACTCAGCCCTGGATTTGCAGTTACTCAGGGCAGGCGAAGGCGCGTTTCCGCGTTTGGTATATTCCCGCGTGCTGCCAGCTGATGGCGCCAGAGAACTAACCTACTGGAATAGGGAGGAGAAAAGAAGCAGGGAAGAAAAGCGGGAGGTGAAGATTAAGGCCAATGGTAGCTTCCGTTCTTGGACTCGAAGATTCCCTTAATGGGTTGACATCAATGAAAGCCAATGGTAGCTTCCATGAAAGCCAAAGCTGACCACCCCCCCAAGCTTCCCATTCTCTTAGGAGGCTGCATTTTGGGTGCTAAATGGAGGGATGGGCGTGGGAGATGCTGGGACATGTGTTGGCTGAAGATACACCTGTTAGTCCAAGGTTGCTTCGGCTCATAGTGGCTCAACCCTCTTTGTCAATTAACCTTCTCAGTTAACTAAGGCTGCCTCACCTGTCTTTAGGCAAACCTACCCCCCGTCACGCTGGGTTTTTAGAGTTTTTAAAAGCGTCACGGTGTAAGGCCAGCGTTGCTTTTCGTATTCTTAGCGGGTATTTCTGGTGCTGACAGCGGGGAGCTGCCGGGCGGGAGTAGGAGTGGAGAGAGAATAGGGAGAGAGATAACAGGTGTGAAGCGTCTCTCAATGCCAGGCATCCTGCTTTCGCACCTTCCATAGGTTTTTTCGCAATCGTCTTTCTATTTAATCATTTTCTGTTTCATAGATTAGGAAACCTCAACTAAGTTGCCCAAGGACAGCCCTTGAATAATTTTATCTTCTGTCAGACACCAAAGCCTAAGGTCTCTTATTTTGCAGAGGCTGCTTTGTCAGGATTTCAATGCATGCATGTCCTGCGAATCACTGCTCCTCACTCACTGATCCATCCTGCTGTCCACGCGTTCATTCACTCATTCATTTCTTAGGGGTCATCTACAAGGCATGGGGCTAGTTGCAACTAAAAATACAAAAGAAAAGGGACTCTGCTGTAAAGCAGAGGAGGTTTTTTTAAATGATTTACACAGAATTCCGGTGCTCCGCATGGTTTCGATCTCCCCCCACCCCCCAAAATACTACTGATACCTATTTTGTTCCACACAATTCGATGGACTCTGAAAATACAGAGAGGGGTGAAATCTATCCTTGCCTTTCAGGAGCTTATTGCCGTACGCAAGAGTAATCTCTGAGCTTTAATTTTACATACCAAATTTTTAACAAATTGAGCATCAACTATATATGTATGTGTGTGTATATATATATATTCTGTTGTAATTAACATGTTAAATAAATATTAGGCACACTTAATTTCTTATTTTTTAGATGAAGATGAATCTAAATGCTGGTTCAAGTATGTCCTTTGTTCACCCTAGTGGACCATCTTGGGTGATTCCTGGAGTGCTTTCTCAGACTGCAACCCTAACCCGCTGGTATGTGCTTGGCTCTGTTCCTTCTTTCTGCAGCTGTCTGTCAAATGCCAGTCTTTTGTGGAGGCCCGTCCTAACCCCTTCCTGTTTCCTCTCCTTTTTGTCTGCTCGTATCTGAGGCCTCTTTTCCTATTTATTTGTTGTTCTTTCTCCCTCCATCATCTTCTGTCGTCAAATCATGTGTTGTTTTTCATATACTACACCTGAGTTTATAGGAAATATGTTTACTGTTTTTGTTTTTTTAATTTTTGGTTTAGTTTCTGCCTCCCTGCTCCAGAATGTAAGCTTCAAGAGGGGCAGTGAGGAGTTCTTAACACCCCACACTGACTGAGAAACGGTTGGGAGTGGAGGGAGACAGCTTTGCCCTGTACATCCTGAAATCCCCTGAGGTGGGGGTGGGAGTGGAGGGAAGATCAGGGAATGTCCATTCATTTTATGAACTTGAAGTTGGGTTGAACCCTATTATATCCTGTGATGTTGGTTGTTAATCTCAACCTGAAGCCCTCATCGCTAGTCATCCACTTCTTATTAGCTTTGTGACCTTGAATGAAGGTTCAAGGTTACCTTCTTTCTTTGCACCTCAGTTTCCTTATGTATAAAATGGAAAAAATTAAATTTGGTCATCCTAAAATGTGGATTCATAGGGCATCAGTCCCCTGAGTGTAAAAGAAAAAATATTTGCGTATTTATAAGGCTGCAGAAATTATATTCTTCTGAGGGTCAAATAAATATATTTGTGGTTTTGAAAGTCTTCACATATTATATCAGTAGCATATTTACATCCAGGAAATATTGGAGAAAGAATTTTATTTTATTTTTTTTAAGATGGAGTCTTGCACTGTCGCCCAGGTTGAAGTGCAGTGGCGCGATCTCGGCTCACTGCAAGCTCCACCTCCCAGGTTCACGCCATTCTCCTGCCTGAGCCTCCGGAGTAACTGGGACTACAGGCATCCCACAACGCCCGGCTAATTTTTTGTATTTTTAGTAGAGGCGGGGTTTCCCAGTGTTAGCCAGGATGGTCTCGATCTCCTGACCTTCGTGATCTGCCCGCCTCGGTCTCCGAAAGTGCTGGGATTACAGGCGTCAGTCACTGCACCCGGCCTAGAGAAAGAATTTTAACTAATCAAATAGGAACAGAGATCTCAGATAAGAGCAGATAAAAAAAAAAAAAAGAGGAAACAATAGTGAGTTAAAAACAATCTGGCCAATTTTATGTAGAAAGTTAACTCTAAATGGACAATGTTAGGCTCTCCAGGAAGTGTAATAAAAGCTTTAAAGAAGGGTTCTTTAAATAGAAGAGACACACTGCAAGGGAAATTCTGACCATCTGGAACTAAAACAGCCAGAGATTGGTCTCAGGGGGATGAATGGTAGAAGAATAAAAACATTTGTCTCACTTAGCACACTCATCTGGATGTGAGGAGGCAGCAGAACAGGGAAATGAATCTATTGGAAGATGTCGTCTTATTGGGGTACAGGAGAAAATGGAGAATAACTGGTACTTTATTTTATATAATAGTAAAGAAATTTGTGTTCAATTATGAGCATTAGAAACAAATACTAGTGATTGAATAAAAATTACTAAGGGAATATTATGGATAATTAAGTTAATAAGAGAACTTGATGGATAAGTGAATTAATAAGACTCCATAGTGGAGGCAATTTCCTCTTTTAAAAAGCAGTATCTCTTGAATATATACAGGATATCCTTTTCAAAAGAAAAAAATGTATATGGGGAAACAATTTTCACTCATTTTCTAGGCAATCAATACTTTTCCAGGGATAATCTATGGCTATACAAGAATAATAATTCCTTTTCAATATATTTTCCAAGCAACTAAAAAGTTCAGTGTTTGTAACTGTAATAAGAAGAGTGCTGATCTAGCATGAAATGAAAAGTTTTACCTTAGATATATGTTTCATAAATAGTTTTTATGAAGTCAGGGAATATGCTTACAAAGGGATTACCAAGGCCCTATAACACATGAGTTTGGGGGCACAGGGAGATCAAGATTTAGAATAAAGTTAGGTGAGATCTAGGGCCAAAGGATAGCAGGAGGATGTGTGTGTGTGTGCATTTATGTGTGTGTGTGCGTCCGTGTGTGTGTTGGTTGGGGCAGGTGGGAAGCCTTTGGAGATGGCTGCTAGTGGGGTGCTGTGATCTCTAGGCCTTGGTAGGTCCTTGTGAAGACACACAGTTCTAAAAGGTTGGCACCCTTATAGGTTTTTAAATATTTTTGTTATCCACAGGGGTGACCTTGGACATCATTACAAAAATATAAAAATTTCACCCCTGGGCATGCAGGTTACCCTTCTCATGGTGGCATGGCAAGGCTTGATTTATAAGAGTTTCTTTTGGACTGTCCCCAATTTTTTCCTTTAAAAATGGGAGCTCCTTCAGGGTGAGGAAGGAAGGAGGAAATCATCCCTTCTAACCTACTTTCTCTTCTTCATTCCAAGGACTCTAGAAAGGCACAGCAGGTTTGGTTTTGAAATCTGTGGAATTTTAGTGCTGTCCATTCTCCCAAGTGGATGCCTTTACTGAAGGTAAAAGGAAAGACTGTTTGCTGTGTCAAGGGAAGTTTCATATGCAAATCCCAAGACTCAGATGTTATTTCAGAGGAGTTAGTGTCCATAGTAAAGTAAAACTGGCCCGGGTTCATCTGCCTACAAGGGCAACTGTATGAGGCAAATATGAGGGAACTGGCAGAACAGGAGGTGGAATCTTCCTTGGAGAAAGAGTAAAGAGAATTCTAGGTGGAGAGGGGATCAAGGTGTGGACCAAACACATATCTGTCTTCTTAATTCCTATATGAAACGTTGGAAAAGACTTTAGAAAAAACAGTAAATATGTCATAGCAGGAAAACAAAGAGCAGTCTGGGCCAAAATAGAAACCGTTAAAATAAAAACAAAACAAAACAAACACGTTTAAGTTTGAAAACGACAGAAGTTAAGAAGTGGAAAGTTGCCTAGGATATGCTTTTATTGCAGCCTCTCTAATAAACCCGTCCCTACTCCATCTTTGTGTCCTTGTTTGTCCTAAGCAGCATGGTGGCAGCCGTGGCATTCATCAGGCTAAAGTGACAAGATGCCATTTGGCACTTGGGCTAGAGATGGCAGGGAAGCAGCATCATTTGTCTAGGGAAATGTCAGAAGTTTGTTGTCTCACACTATGGAAATTGAAGATGTGGACGCAAAAGGAGTGGGTTTAAGAGTGGAAGTTTAATAGGCAAAAGAATGAAGAGTTTCCTCGTGCATTGAAAGGGTATCTGAGCAGGTTTCCGGGTTTGGGGCGAGTTGCGGTTAGTTTTATAGATGAGCTTGAGGAGGCAGTGTCTGATTTACATAGGGCTCAGAGGATTGGTTGTGCCAGGTGTGCCATTTAGGTGATGCATGAAGAGGCTGGCCATTCCACCCCAAACTTTTATTATGCAGATGGGGTCTCTACCTGGCAGGTGCCATGTCGCCTGCACAGGTGAAGACAGAAAAGAAAAGAGGAGGCCAGGTGCGGTAGCTCATGCCTGTAATACTCGCACTTTCGGAGGCCGCGGAGGGTGGATCACAAGGTCAGAAGTTCAAGACAAGCCTGGCCAAGTTGGTGAAACCCCATCCTACTAAAAAAATATGAAACAAATTAGCCAGGCGTGGTGGTGGGCGCCTGTAATCCCAGCTACTCAGGAGGCTGAGGCAAAGAATTGCTTGAACCTGGGAGGCAGAGTCTGCAGTGAGCCGAGATCGTGCCACTGCATTCCAGCCTGGGTGACAGAGCCAGACTCCTTCAAAAAAAAAAAAAAGAGGAAACCTCCATGTTGAATATGCCTGGCTTCCAGGTATCCCTTTTCTATTGGCATAGGTGCCGGCATTTACTTATGCAAGCTTTTGGCTTGCTTATCTATGCTTGAGGCTTGATTTTTCAGGCTGATTTTGGTTAGAAAATGAATTATATGGGGGCTGGTTTTTTATTAAAAGAAAAATCTTACCGAAAACTCCCTTACCCACATTAACTGCCTAAATGATTTCTTTTTAGCTTCTATATCAGCAGTGCTGGCCCCTGATAGGTGATGATCATGATGGGGACCAGGAGCCTCTAGACTTAGAGACAAGATGCCAGCACTCTGAGATTGCAGCCATCAACAAGCTGAGAAAAGAGGAATGAGAAGGAAACTTACCTTGCTAGATCTTTGTCATGTCCCTTCCCAGGTTCCAGAAAAGTGAGAAATCAATTTCTGTTGTGTAAGCCACTCAGTCTATGAAATTTTGTTATGATGGCCAGATTAATGCATGCTTCTTGGACTTTGTTTTTAACTCAATGTGAAAAACATATATTTTAATAAGAAAATTACCCCATTCATTTGTATTGTGTTTACTGATAATTTTGGACTTACCTTGTGCTCTATTTAAAAAATCCTCCTTCCTCTTTCCCACGCTTTCTTGTTGTTTTTCTAATCCAAGTGCATGTTAAGGTTTGGGAATCACTATCGTAACAGGGCCATGAAGTGCTACGTAAGGGAAGCTGGCTTGCATTCAGGGAAGGGACAGAGGAGGGAAGCTGCCAGCTGGACAGTGCTAAGATGACCTGAGTCCCACACCCTGGATGAACATCCTCTTCTGGATACAGGACCTGCCCGAGGCACCATTTTGAAACAGGCAAATTTTATTCGCTTTGTCTTCTTTTGTCATCTGTATTATCTGTATTAGCTTTTGCATGTTGAGTGAAAAATATAGCTGTTTTCACATTACCCCAAGTTCCCGAGTTTATTTTTTACGTAAGAATTTTCCACCCTTTGAAATTCCAAATGACATGTTTCTTCTCTTTTTCAGACCATGCTTTCATTTCAGTCAATGTACCAAATCAGCCAGGTCTTAGTTTAGAAATCTGATTTGTCCAATTCATACTAAGATGTAACAGATCTACCACAGCCTTCTAAGATGAATTGGAGTTTTTTTTAAAGCTCCATGACCTACACAATTCCTTAATTGCTGGAACTGCACACTTTAAAATCACATCAAATATAAACATTCAATTTTGTGGAGGCTTACTTTTTATGGAGAGATGAGGATAGGTGTTGGTTAATACTGGTAGACTTTACTCCCAAAGCCAACTCCATTAAGATTTCCTTTGTTTTTTTAAATCTAGATTATCAGAAAGAATGAAAATGCTTTTTTTTTTTTTTTTTGCTATAGCTGCAATGTTCACAGTAATCCAAGTTCCAATGGCAGGGTGACAGAGCAGAGCCAAAGGAAGCCACATTTTGTTCGTGAAGTGTAATTCTTTTTTAAGATCAGGGATTCAGAATTGTAATATAAGTATTTAATTAGAAAGTTCTTATGATAGTGCTTGGCACGTGTCCTTTCCATCATCTGAATTTTCTGCTTTTTTTATCTGGCTCACTCCTACTCACTCTCCAGTCCTCACCTTAGTAGTCACTTCTCCCAGGAATGCCCCTGACCCCTTAAGATAGCAGTGCTGCAAACACCAAGCGCTGAACTTATAACCATACTTGCAGGCAACACCTTGCCCTGTGCTGTGCTTCACTAATGACGAGGAAGTAAGAAAGAGTAGGAGAAAGGAGGCACAACAAGTGTCATTTCCATAGCAGAGGCCACAAGGCCAGCCCACTTGATTCTCTGGAGATTCTTTTCTGCATAACAATGATGAAAGGTAGCCTAGGAAAGCCATTTGTCTTAGGCTTTAACTTTAATACCTAGCTAGTCACTAAAATAAGAGGCTGATTCCATTTATGAGCCATTGCCTCATAAATCCATAAACAGGGGTATTTATTTAAAATAAAGTATCCATATAGATTAGGTGTACTTTATTGACAATTTTATTAAAGTCCTTCATTTATCTTCCAGATAGTAGATTCTATCATCCAAGTTTCATAAAGAGTTCTGATTCCCAGAGGTAAGAACTGAGCCTGGCTTTCTAGTTACATGTTTACTGGTAACCCCTTCCTTCCCTACAACACTTATGCATATTCAAAGACTATATCCCCTGCTTCCCACCTCCAGCCTGGATTGTAAGTTCCTCAATAGCATGGCTGTGTTTTTTAACATCAAGTCTCCATGTGAGAATAGTTCCTGGCATATAATAAATGCTCAATCAACATTTGTAAGTGAAGAAAGCTATTCAGTGGTGTCTGCTTTAATATTAAGAGGTGGCTTGCCCAAGATTGAAAAGCACCTTCATTGTCTAAAATGGAACTAGATTCTGTGGGTAGCAGGTCCATTGGTGCCACTCACAGGTGGCCACAAAGGAACCGACCTTCACCAGAAATGTGTGGGTGCCTTTATTTACCTCCAGCACAGAGAGGTAAAATGGAATATTCTTATGACGCAGATATTTCGTGAATCTCATGTTCACCTATGTTATGTTGCCTCTCCTTCGGTATTTTTTCATGCTGTAGGCCATTCCTACTTCACAAGAAGAGTCCATGGTTATCCATGAGACCAGGGCCCCCTGTGGACCCAGGATACAGGCTGCTGGCATGGCTCCTATGCAGCGCTTGATGTAAGGAAGGCTCCTCTCATTCTTCCCTCGCCTCCAGTTGTCATTTACCAGCCCAGAATAAGAGACACCCAGCTTGGCATATTTAAAATTGGGAGTTTTACTATAGAAAACAAAAAGAAGAGATCCCAGGCACTCCTCTTGTTTGAAGACCTACCATTGCAAAGTTGCGTATTTTGACCATTGACAACCTTTATTCATCACAAGAAAGGAATTCATCCTCTCTTTATTCCAAAACTGATTAATGTGAATTACAAAAAAGTACAAGGAATAGCAATTATAAATGATAAGCACCTGTTTTTGTACCTCTCAAATTCATCATCTGGGTGGCCTATCTCATCCCTACTTCCAAGCTTGCTTTTATTGCAGGCATTGAGCTTCAGGATATCTTCCATAATACAGAGGAATGCTCTTGAATGCTCTACCTTCACTGACTTTGAAAATGCAGCTGCTCTTATCCCCTCACCTAAACTTTCTTGAAGACCTGGGAAGAAAGGCAAGAAAGCAATATTGTCAGACGTGATGTTCTCGACTTACACTGCTCCCACATGATTAATCATCAATGCTTAATAATTCTCAGACTTGAGTTTACACCACAATCAGATGGAGTCCTTGTCACACCACAGATTGTTCTACCTCTCCCATCCCCCAGAGTTTCTGTGAATTTACATTCCCAATGTAATGATATTGCTAATGGTATTAGTTGAATGCTAATTCAACTAATGAATGAATGAATGGATGCTAATGGTATTAGCTGAAGACTCAATTTGAGAAGCACTACTGCTAGCCCATTTCTTCAGACTCCTCCAAGGGAGTATCTGTTTCCAGTTTATGATTTCACAATTTTTCAAAACTTCTTGTGATTTTTGAGGAGCTTTGGAGAATATATGATATACATTTGTGTAAGAATCCATGTTGTCAGTCATATCCTGTATAGGATGGTGAAAGATCAGATCATTCCCTTGAACTTTTTCTTCACCTCCCACTGATTGCAATTATCAGAAAAATGAAAATTCAAAAGAAAATTTTAACAGTGGCCTACGATGGCTGCAGTTGGGCACATGGATAATAAAACCTAGGCCTATAAGCTACTGCTGACCACTTGCCTGTGTAACTGGAGTTTGTTAAATGTTTCACTGACAGATACTGGTTATAAACCTACTTATTAGATAAAGAACAAAGACAGGATGAAATTAGTCACCCTCCACCAGGCCTTAAGATGCCTCACCTTTCTTTCTACCCACTCAACTGCACATTTACCTTATTTTATATACAGCATCACCGAGCACCCAGCACAATCAAGATTGCAACAATTGCTTCTCTCCCTGCTTCTCTCACCTCTTGGGCCACACATATCCCCTGTTATATATACTGTGCCCCACGTAACCTCCTGTGGGACACATTCTGGGTTATACTGAGTCTGTGTTGCTAGGATTAAATTTTTAAACTTGGCTCAAAGTAAATTTAACTGTGATTTCTCTAATTTTTAGTGCCTACTGTTTCACCAGACACCTAGAATCTGTAGTGTCCTAGAGGGTGGAGGGAAAGGGGCTGGGTTAGAAAACTACTTATTGGGTACTATGCTCACTACCAGTGTGATGGGATCTGTCCATCCAGGGCTTGGGCAAGATACTTTAGTGAATACCAACATTAATGAGACATTGCCTTTTCCCAAGGCTACAGGATATCAGCCTACTCAAATAGTGACAATGTCTTTACAGCCAGAAGCCCACAAAATAGAACGAAGTAACTAAATTTTTGGTAGCATTCTGGGTAATTTATGTAGTGTTAGACTCATGGGTTTGAAAGAAAGAGACTTGTGATCCCATTCTGGTAAGCCACAAACTTCATGGCAAGATCAGTATGTGTTTCTCAGGGGAAATATAAACAATAAGTGTGAGAGGTTTAGCAGTGAATGTATTAATATTATGTTGGAAATTGTGTTGTTAAAGAGTAAAAGAAAAAATGGTGTAACTAATTTTAAAGAAACCTTCAAGAATTTGAGGGTGCTTTTATAAATGCAAGTTCCTGAATATGGCCAAAACCAAAATCTCAGTGAATTTAAAAGAGTAGATGTTTTAAAAGACTCAATTTTAAAGGAGTGACCGAAAATGGCCAAGTAAATATTCAAAGAATTATAAAAAGAATATCAAAGTAAACTAGTAAAAAACAAATGGAGCTATTTATAAAAATGAAAGCTATAAATAATGAAATGGAGAACAAGACATAGTGCAAAGGATATATAAAGCCAAAAGTTCATTTTTAAATGGCAAAAGAGAGAGAGAAGAAGAGAGAGAGGGACATACTTCTGGTAAGTCATTTTAAGGAAATACAAGAGAAAAAGGAAAAAGCAAAAATAAAAAAATAAGCACAGAGTATGAGAGATGAGAACGGAAACAGAGAAAAGAAAAAAATAATTATAATAGAAGATTATATACTACTCCAAGGCAACATATTTACTGATAAAAGAAATGGATGTTATCCCTCAAGAATAAACTATCAAAATTGACTTTCAAAAAAACAGAAAACCTCAACAAACTAATAGAAAATATTGGAAATTAAATGAAATATCTACCCTTTAAAAAGTGGACAAGTATTATGGCCTCCTGCTCCATCCATATTGCTACAAAGAACAATATTTTATTCTTTTCTATTGCTGCATGGTATTCCATAGGAATATATGTACCAAGTATTTTTTTAATCCAATCTACTATTGATGGGCACCTCGGTTGATTTCATTTCTTTCCTATTGTGAACAGTGCAGCAATGAACATACAACAGGATGTGTCATTTTGGTAGATTGAGTCATTTTCTTTTGGCTATTTACCTAGTAATGGCATTGCTGGGTTAAATGGTAACTCTGTTTTAAGTTCTCTAAGAAATTTCCAGACTACTTTCCACAGTGCAATAATCCTAAGCAAATTAATGCTGTAACAGAAAACTAAATATCACATGTTCTCACTCATAACTGGGAACTAAGCTTTGACCATACATGGACATAAATGTAGGAACAATAGACACTGTGGACTACTAGAGGGTGGAGGGAAAGGGGCTGGGTTAGAAAACTAACTATTGGGTATATGCTCACTACCAGGGTGATGAGATCTGTCCGTACTCCAAGACTCATCAACGTGTAATATTCCCATGTAACAAATCTGCACATGTAACCCCTGTATCTAAAAGGAAAGTTGAAATTAAAAAATAAAAAGTAGCCAAAATCAGATTATTTTATATTTAAATTCTACATAAGCCAAAAACAAACACATAATTTTAATACTAGACTTTGGTAACAGATGAAAAGCTCCTAATGCCAAATCTGGCAAGGAAATAACAAAAAGAGAATTATTGCCCATATTCCCTTATGAATACAGATACAAAAATTCTGAATAAAATATTCGGTAGTATATCAAAAGGATGTGAACATGAACAGTTTGTTTTAGAAAGGCCAGAATGGCTTTGATCGGAAGATCTTTTAGTGTAATAAATTAAAGGAGGAAAAATTTCATGACTATATAAATTGCCAAAAAAAAAGACAAAAATGAAATAAGATAAAATTTACCCTCCATTCTAAATATAAGTTCTATGAATGTAGGAACAAGAGGAAAATGCTCTAAACCTGTAAAGACAGAATCAAATGTAATTCAGATGTAAGTTGTTACAGCTATTTCATTAAAATCAGGAATGAGACAAGAATAGAACTATTATTTTTGTTAGTTGATATTGTTTTCTTAGGTTGTACATTATGCAATAAGGCAAGAAACTAAAAACCCATATAAATATTGGCAAAGAAGCAGCAAATTACTTTGTTTGCAGAGTACAGTATTACGTGTTTAGAAAATCCAAGAGACTTTGAAAAAACACAAAAACAAATAACACCCCCACACACACAAAAAAACAGGTTTTAAAGAACAGTGTGACATATTTGGAAATCAAGAATATAAATAAAAAGCAATAACAAAATAATAATGCTCAGAAATAGAAATGGAAAAATAATTTAATATTCTTCACAAATAGTATAAAATACTTAAGGGTAAACTTAATGGAAAATCACATAGTTTACCACAGGAAAACAATAAAATTTTGCCAGATGGCATAGAACAAAAACTGAAAAAAGTGAAAAAAAAGAGCATATTTGTAGATGAAAAGATTTAGTATCACAAAAAAATTAATCCTTCCACAATTGTCTAAAAAAGCTCCTCCAACAACAATCACAATTGCAATAGTTAGTTGGGGTAGTTGGTGGGGAACTGGAAAAATTACTTGATGTTCATATAGTTCTTAAATTTATAAGAAAAAGGAAAGTAAGAAAAACTTTCTTAGGTTGTACATTATGCAATTGTGTACATTGCATAATGTACAATGTATGCAATTGCATACATTGCATAATGTACATATATTGCATAATGTACAATGGTGAACTCTCCCCTTGGTGAAGGGTGATTTGCTTTATTAGATATTAAAATTTATCACAAAAACAATGAAATAGCATGAGAAAAGACTAGAAACAAATACAGAAATAGATACAAAAATATATAAACATGTTATATGACAAAATAGAGATTTATGTTTCAGTAGTGGAATCACTTAATAAATAGTACTAATGTAATTAGCCAGCCATAAGGAAGAAAAGTATAAAAGAATGTTAATTCATGCTATTCAAAAATATATTCCAAGTAGAATGAATATTGATATGTCAAAAGTAAAAATTAACTCACTGTAAGATTAAATAAGAAAACACTTGTATGATCTTGGAGTAGGAAAAATCTTCCTAATTATTAATAAAAAAAACAAAAACTCAGAGGACATAGTGAAAAAGATAATACATTTGATTACATGAAAATTCAAAATTTCTTCATGTCAAAATCTCCATCAATCAAGTAGAAAATAATTCTAAATTGGGCAACAAATTTGTAGCATACACCTTGTGTTAGTATCCCTAGTATCCAAAACACTTACAGAATTTTAAGAATGACACAAAACCCCAGTGTAAAAATGGTCAAACAACATAAACAGTTCAGAAGTAAACCCCAAATGACTGATAAACATATGAAAATATAATATGTTGAATATTAATAGGGAAATGCAAATTAAATCTACAATAAGATGCCATCTTTCACCCACCAGTTTGGCATAAATTGAAAAGGGACAACATTCAGTGCTGGTGAGAATGTGAGGAAACAATTCTTCCACACATTGCTAATGGAAATAAAACTGTGGAATCCTTTGAGAAGATAATCTGGCAGTGCCTACTTAGGATAAGGTAAACTCTGACTTGGAGATATCCCTTTTGGAAATCAATTGTATTGAGAAAAGTTTCCAGGATGTAAAGACATGTATACAAGGATGTTTATTGAAGCATTGTTTTTAGTGGCAAAGAAGTATGAACAATTTGAACCCAACAGCAAGAGAATGACTGCCTAAATAGCATTGCATTGACTCTATGGAATGCCACAGTTATTAAAATGAATATGTTAATGCTGCATTGATTCACCCGAAGGGATGTCCATATGTGAAAGGCAAATTAAAAAGTGATGACAGAAGAGATCATCAGTGATTATCCCTTTGTGTGTTAATATGGGCAAGGACACTGATTACCCCAAGGGGTAGAAAAGGAGGAGAGGAGAGGAGGGGGAGGAGAGAAGTTATTAACTTCTTAAAATCATGTTGGATTTTTCCACTTGTATAATCAGCATATATTATCTTTGAGATTAAAAACCAATTAAGAAAAAGTTACTTTTTTTCTATATAAATTCTCCTGCATCCCACCCTGAAAAGTTTTACTCAAAATTGAATTGACTTTCAATACTGAAAGAAACGTGGTATACTATGGAATCAGACTAGATGAATGTATTTCCAAGTAAATTGCAGTATATTTCATTATTTCCATTTCTTTGGTCATATATGTGTGGCATTCAACTTTTATATTTTCATATTTTTGTTTATTGACTAACTTTATAAAAACTAGCCTTGTTCAAAGCAATGCATATGTGAAGTTATGGTTTGGTGCTATAGTTACGTTGGTAAAATACACATAATAACTACAAAGTTACTGAAATAAAAAGAACTACTTGACCTCCTACAATTATTTAGAATATCACACTTTTAAGAAATTGGACCATGGATTAAATAAACTAAGCATTAACCTTTGATCCCAAATTATCAGGAAGCCAGGAGATCAAACAAACATCCCTAGGGAAGGTGTTAGGCTCAGCCTGGTTCCCATCCCCTTTACCCCTTTGTTCCTCAAGCTAGGGTCATTTTGTCGCTTTCTGCATCCCAATCCTGACCCAATGTGCAAACTAGTCTTGACCTGGGGTGGCTTATTATTATTTGGAGGCTCAGTGTCTATACCCACATGAAGCTGGGCTGGCCATGAGGCTTCAGTTCACTAACCAGATATGCATAAAACACACACAAAAAAGGGGGAGTCTTTAGGACAAAAAAATAGACCTAGGTTTGTATTACTATTTCAGCTTAATCATGTATTCCTTGTATGTCCTCAGCCAACAATGGCCAATTCTGGTAGATACTATTTAAAATTATGTGCTATGTACTAAGTGTTTAACATACAGTATCTCATTTAAACCTTGTGTAATCCTCTGAAGAAGATCCTCTTATTTTTCCCATTTTAACAGATGATGAAACTCAGAGAAGGGCCTATGGTTATATAGCTAATAAAACTGGCAGAGTGCAATGAACTTGAATTCAGATTGGACAATGCCTTAATATCTGGTATCCAGCAGCTATGTGATTTAATATTTCTCAGTGTCATTTCCTCATCTCTAAATTGGAAATATTAATGGTCACTTAATAAGAGTGTTCTGTTGATGACATCCACTAACAAAAGACGTGCTTCCATATAGTTGACACACAGTAATTATGAGTCGTTGAGTCCCTTCCCTGATTCCTGAGAAATAACATTTTTTTTTAAGACAGGATCCCACTCTGTTGCCTAGGCTTCAGTACAGTGGTGTGATCTTGGCTCAATGCAACCTCGACCTCCTGGGGCTCAAGCCATCCTCCCACCTCAGCCTCCTGAGTAGCTAGGAGTATAAACATGTACCACCATGCCCTGCTAATTTTGTTTATTTTCTGTAGAGATGAGGTCTCACTATGTTGCACAGGCTGGTCTCAAACTCCTGGACTCAAGTGATCCTCCTGCCTTGGCCTCCCAAAGTGCTGGGATTACAGGTAGAAGACACCATGCTTGGCCCTGAGAGGTAATTTTACTGGTAGACATCTGCCTTGGTTTTTGTTTCTAAGCCACTGTTCTAATATCTCAGACACCGAACTTTTCCTGTAAATTGGCCTCCTTTCAGCCCCTGCAGGTGACCCCTGCCACCTCAAAGGGCCCTTAATCTGTGAGTGTCAGCCTTGTCCTTTTCCTCCCCTTCCCCCTCCACCCCTTTTCCCAGAAGAGTCCTGTGCTTTACAGAAAGGGTGGGAACATGTGGCACTCATGCAAGGTGCCAAGTACTGAAGGAGTGTTTTAAAATACTCACGTTTCCTTTCACCCTATAAAAGCAGCCCTGGTGTCTGAAATGGTCAGTTCCTCAGGCCCTTTGGGCCTGCCTGGCTCCACTAGTCCCTGTTTGTGTGCCTACCTGTTTTGGTGGTTGGATAATAACTATCTGATACTCGGGCCAGGAGTCCACCAGCACCTCCATGTTGAAGGGGTTCCTATGATTGATGTGATACACACAGCCATATATATGAAGGAGAGATGGAAAGGACTAGGAGAGGTTGAGATCCCTAGAGATGGGGATCTGGATGTGAAGAGGAAGAGAAAAACGGAGGTCAAAAGACAGTACTGGGACTAAGTCAGTAATGGTGAGATGAGCAGCATCTCCAGGACCATACTGATGGACGTGAAGTTACCAGCAAGCAGGCAGAACTCACAGATAGGTGTCCTTGTGATACCAAAGAGCTACTGTGCACTAGCTTGGCACTTGTCAATGCTCTTAGCACTTACATTGTATGGATTTATTCAGTGTTCACAACAATTTTAAGAGGTAGGTGCTAATATTATTCCCATTTCATTGATGAAAAGACCAAAGGTAAAGGCACAGAAAAGTAAAGAAACATGCACAAAGCCATCTGACTCTCCCACTGCCCCCTCACCTTCAGGGACTCAGGAATGCTCACGGCCAGGGATTCGTACAGGGCCAGCAGCATCTGGCAATTATTCAGCAGGATCATTTTGTGGGATGCTTCATTCCTTGAGCCCTTCAAGAAGAAACCTAAAAAGTTAATAAGTGAAAGAAAAATGTTAAGGGAACAAATGAATTTAAAATGCACTTTATACATCTCCATTCAAGTAACACTCATGATGTAGGTACTGTCAGTATCACCCTCATTCTAAATATACCAAATCTCAGAGAGATTAAGTAAATTTCTCAAGTTCTTACAGAGATAAATGTCAGTCAGATTTTGAAACCATATATGAATGGCTCCAAACCCCATGCCCTTCCTCCCTGGTGGAATGAATTAAAAGTGAATATTAAGAGTTCTGTGAGGTTCCCAAATGCCTGTAGCAGAACACTCCACCACCATCATCATAACTTTTTCCCTGTATTTTGGTCATCAGATGCCTGAGAAGTATTCTTTCATCTAGAATAGAAAATATCAGCCCTCGCATCCCTTGTAAGTTGGATTCCTAGGTATTTTATTCTCTTTGAAGCAATTGTGAATGGGAGTTCACTCATTATTTGGCTCTCTGTTTGTCTGTTATTGGTGTATAAGAATGCTTGTGATTTTTGCACATTGATTTTGTATCCTGAGACTTTGCTGAAGTTCCTTAACAGCTTAAGATTTTTCCCTGAGACAATGGGGTTTTCTAAATATACAATCATATCATCTGCAAACAGGGACAATTTGACTTCCTCTTTTCCTAATTGAATACTCTTTATTTCTTTCTCCTGCCTGACTGTCCTGGTCAGAACTTCCAATACTATGTTGAATAGGAGTGGTGAAAGAGGGCATCCATGTCTTGTGCCAGTTTTCAAAGGGAATGCTTCCAGTTTTTGCCTATTCAGTATGATAGTGGCCGTGGGTTTGTCATAAATAGCTCTTATTTTGAGATTCATCCCATCAATACCTAGTTTATTGAGAGTTTTTAGCGTGAAGGACTGTTGAATTTTGTCGAAGGCTTTTTCTGCATCTGTTGAGAAAATCATGTGGCTTTTGTCTTTGGTTGTGTTTATATGATGGATTACGTTTATTGATTTGTGCATGTTGAATCAGCCTTGCATCCCAGGGATGAAGCCCACTTGATCGTGGTGAATAAGCTTTTTGATGTGCTGCTGGATTCGGTTTGCTGGTATTTTATTGAGGATTTTTGCATCGATATTCATCTGGTATATTGGTCTAAAATTCTCTTTCTTTGTTGTGTCTCTGCCAGGCTTTGGTACCAGGATGATGATGTCCTCATAAAATGAGTTAGAGAAGATTCCCTCTTTTTTTATTGATTGGAATAGTTTCAGAAGGAATGGTACCAGCTCCTCCTTGTACCTCTGATAGAATTCAGCTGTGAATCCAGCTGGTCCTGGACATTTTTTGGTTGGTAGGCTATTGATAATTGTCTCAATTTCAGAGCCTGTTATTGGTCTATTCAGGGATTCAACTTCTTCTTGGTTTAGTCTTGGGAGGGTGTATGTGTCCAGGAATTTATCCATTTCTTCTAGATTTTCAGGTTATTTGCGTAGAGGTTTTTATAGTGTTCTCTGACGGTAGTTTGTATTTCTGTGGGATTGGTGGTGATATCCCCTTTATCATTGTTTATTGCATCTATTTGATTCTTCTTTCTTTTCTTCTTTATTAGTCTTGCTATTGGTCTATCAATTTTGTTGATCTTTTCAAAAAACCAGCTCCTGGATTCATTGATTTTTTTGAAGGAGAACTACAAACCACTGCTCAACGAAATAAAAGAGGACACAAACTAATGGAAGAACATTCCATGCTCATGGATAGAAAGAATCAATATTGTGAAAATGTCCATGTTGCCCAAGGTAATTTATAGATTCAATGCCATCCCCATAAAGCTATCAATGACTTTTTCACAGAATTGGAAAAAAATACTTTAAAGTTCATATGCAATCAAAAAAGAACCTGCATTGCCAAGACAACCCTAAGCAAAAAGAACAAAGCTGGAGGCATCACACTACCTGACTTCAAACTATACTACAAGGCTACAGTAACCAAAACAGCATGGCACCAAAACAGAGATATAGACCAATGGAACAGAACAGAGCCTTCAGAAATAATACCACACATCTACAACCATCTGATCTTTGACAAACCTAAAGGAATCCCTATTTAATAAATGGTATTGGGAAAACTGGCTAGCCATATGTAGAAAGCTGAAACTGGATCCCTTCCTTACACTTTATACAAAAATTAATTCAAGATGGATCAAATACTTAAATGTTGGACCTAAACCCATAAAAACCCTAGAAGAAAACCTAGGCAGTACCATTCAGGACATCGGCATGGGCAAGGACTTCATGACTAAAACCCCAAAAGCAATGGCAACAAAAGCCAGAATAGACAAATGGGATCTTATTAAACTAAAGAGCTTCTGCATGGCAAAAGAAACTACCATCAGAGCGAACAGGCAACCTACAGAATGGGGAAAATTTTTGCAATCTACCCATCTGACAGAGGGCTAATATCCAGAATCTACACTGAACTCAGAAAAATTTATAAGAAAAAAATCAAACAACCCCATCAAAAAGTGGGCAAAGGATATGAACAGACACTTCTCAAAAGAAGACATTTATGCAGCCAACAGACACATGAAAAAATGCACATCATCACTGGTCATCAGAGAAATGCTAATCAAAACCACAACGAGATACCATCTCACACCAGTTAGAATGGTGATCATTAAAAAGTCAGGAAACAACAGGTGCTGGACAGGATGTGGAGAAATAGGAACGCTTTTACACTGTTGGTGGGAGTGTAAACTAGTTCAGCCATTGTGGAAGACAGTGCGGTGATTCCTCAGGGATCTAGAACTAGAAATACCATTTGACTCAGCGATCCCATTACTGGGTATATACCCAAAGGATTATAAATCATGCTACTATAAAGACACATGCACACATATGTTTATTGAGGCACTATTCACAATAGCAAAGACTTGGAATCAACCCAAATGTCCATGGACTGGATTAAGAAAATGTGGCACATATACACCATGGAATACTATGCAGCCATTAAAAAGGATGAGTTCATGTCCTTTGTAGGGACATTGATGAAGCTGGAAACCATCATTCTGAACAAACTATCACAAGGACAGAAAACCAAACACCACATGTTCTCACTCATAGGTGGGAATTGAACAATGAGAACACTTGGGCACAGGGCGGGGAACATCACACACTGGGGCCTGTCGTGGGGTGGAGGGAGGGCGGAGGGATGGCATTAAGAGAAATAACTATTGTAAATGATGAGTTAATGGGTGCAGCACACCAACATGGCACATGTATACATATGTAACAAACCTGCACATTGTGCACATGTTCCCTACAACTTAAAGTATAATAATAAAAAAAAATCAGCCTTCTAAAAACAGTTTTGACTGGAAAGCTTAGAATAGGAGTTGGCACAGATTTTCTTTAGTTTCTTAGGGCCAAATATTTCAGACCTATGGCCATTTTGGAACTTGTCCCAGTTTCATTACAAAAATTAAAAAAAAATGAATAATTTTGACACATATCTGTAAACTTCCGTTGAAATAACATTCAGAATTCTTAGAAATGTGCCAATTATTAACAATAACTTGGAGAAGGTTATCATCACAACTGATAGTTTCAAAGCTTAGGCTGGTTCCAAATTTCAGTTCTGTCTCCTACTTCTTTTTTAAGTTGTTTAATGAATCAGAACCTCAAAGTGTTTTCTGACCACTTTGGAACTGGAAATTAGAATGCATGTTTTCCAGAGGAATGAGATTACACAATGTAATACATATGAAATGCATACCTGGCATGAAGTAAGAACAATATTTAACATATGTTAGTTTTTTTAATTGACTTCATAATAATCAACATGTCATATATAGATTTAACAATTAAATCCAATGATGTAAAAATAATTAAAAATGTGAAGAACTTACAACAAACTTAGTTAATGTAAGAGAAGTAAACCATGGATTAGATATTTGAAACAATCATTAGCAAATTAGTTAATACAGATGTTTGAAATTTTTTATCTTTGAAGGTTAAATAGTTAACTAATATGTCTTAAGTAATAGGCAAGGTGAAACATTTTGTCTTGTCTGAGGTCAAAGTCCTCAAAGTTAAACTACGTTCTGTAGCTAGGTGAAGCAATGTTTAAACAAAGGCATCCTTTTGCAAGAGCTCAGAATTTCAGAATGTTTGAATACTCAAGGAAATTTTAGTAAATAGAACTGGATCTCTGACATGAGTCTATCCCCTGTTTGACTCTGCTGTTTTTGTAGTTGTAAAACAAACAAACAAACAAACAAAAAACCTGGTCTTTTTTTTTCCCACCTCCAACAGAGCTTTCTTTGCTGTTTCTCACCTGATTTAACTAAAATTACCCATACACTTGTGTTTTACTATTGTCTTCTCCTTTAAAGTTTTGGTAAAAATTTTGTAAGTTTTAATTCAAGATCTACCATGCTGTATCACACCCCACAAAAAACTTGTGTTCCATCTGTCTTGAGAATATTGTAGCCTTGGCTGATACATGAGAACAACCCCCACACTAATCAGCTGCCACATCTTTGTCCAAATACCTCTCCTATCCATTCCCTACTCCATCCCCTTGCAATGACCTTAGTTCAGGGCCTCCTCCTCCTCATACTTAATATTGCTCTTATGACCCCATCCTGGCCTCAGCTTCTAACATCTACCCAAATAAAAGTGTTCTCTACCCATATTCTTAACATCAACATTTCTTTTTTAAATTAGGAAGCTGCTAAAATCCTGGGTAGACCCCTCCCCATACTCTTTAAGAAACTGTTGGCCGGGCACGGTGGCTCACGCCTGTAATCCCCGCACTTTGGGAGGCCGAGGTGGGCGGATCACGAGGTCAGGAGATCGAGACTATCCTGGCTAACATGGTGAAACCCCGTCTCTACTAAAAATACAAAAAATTAGCTGGGCAAGGTGGCGGGCACCTGCACTCCCGGCTACTTGGGAGGCTGAGGCAGGAGAATGGCATGAGCCCGGGAGGCGGAGCTTGCAGTGAGCCGAGATCGCGCCACTGCACTACAGCCTGGAAGACAGAGCAAGACTCTGTCTCCAAAGAAAAAAAAAAAAAAAAACAAGGAAAAAAAGAAATTGTTGTAAAGTACACATAACACAAAACTGTTTAACCGTATAATTCACATTCACAACGTACATTCACAATGCTCTACAAGCATCACCCCCATCCATTTCCAGAATGTTTTTGTCATCTCAAACAGAAACTGTACCCATTAAAACACAATTACTCGTTCCCTGTATCTAGCCACTGGTAACTTTTATTTTACTTTATGACTCTAGGAATTTGCCTATTCTAGGTACTTAATATAAATGGAATCCTATAATATTTATACTTTTGGGTCTGGGTTATTTCACATATGTTGTATTACGTGTCAGAATTTCATTCCTTAACTGGAATAATTTTGCTTTATATATGAAACATAAGTTTAAAGTACACTGAAGAGAAATAATAAATTTGTGAATGACAGTTAGTAAATATGAGTTGCACACAGACAATTGTCACTGTGAAGACTATAGAAAAGCAATTATAATGAATGATGGGTAAAAAAAGCAAAATATATAACGTGTATATATCTTCCCAAAATATGCATGCACATGGACAAGGACTTGAAGGGAATAAATAAACATGAAAATTGTTTTGGGTAGTGAAAGAATGTGTGATTTATTTCTTATTTTAGAATTTTCTGTAGTACCATTCACATGTTTTTTATTTTTATGCAAGATTGAAAAAAAAAATGGAAGGGACTGGAACCATAGTTAAAGATGAGAATTATGAAAACAGAATAAATGCTATTTTTCTTTATTTTTTTTCCCCAGCAGTCCCACCAGCTATCAAGTTTCCCCTTTTATAAGGTAGAGGAAAAACCTCCCCATGTCCCATGATTGTTTACATGCCTAATCCTGTCACCCACAGCCATCAACAAAGAGTGCAAGGCAGATTATTCTAAAGAGAATAACAGTTGACACCCTGTACTGCCCAACTCATTCTTAGCCAAAAGGGACTTTACTGAGGACCCTCATTTTTAAATGTACTTCAATGCATTGTTGTTCATTTGAAATGTTCCACTCTAAGTTATCTTTAGTAAGATTTTGCCATTTCTGTAAGACTTCACTGCCTCACAGGCCTAATGTATAAACCAGAAGGAACTCAGTTTTCCAGAAATTCAGGATTCCATTTTTACCTAAAATACTGGCTTTACTCTCAGGTTCTCCTAGCCAGTGATTTTTCCTACCCAGGTGCACAGGAAAAATGAAACAAAGGGGTACACCAAAATCCCTGTGAATTTTCAAAAGCCAAATTTTATAAATTCTGCAACATTACTGCTTATTACCAGTTCTTTTCTGACCCAGTCAGCTGTTAGAGGCCTCTAAGGGGATCGAAGCCAGCTAATTCTTAGATCAAATTCATTCCTAGACCTAGTCCATTTTCTGTTGCAACTCCAAACCCAGTTTCGATCACAAATTTGCTCAAGGAAATTCAGAGAGCTCAAAACACAAATGTGTGAAGATCCAAAATGCGAGAGGGAGCTTACCTATGATCCTCAGCCACTCTGAGAGATCAATGGACACAAGTGGATCCTGCATGTAGCATCCTTGTTCACTTAGCGCTCCTGGGGATACTAGAAGCTCCACTTCAGATCCTGCTTCTGGCACAGTCTGATAAAAGAAAAACTTCAGCTGAATTAAATTTAAAGGAGTTTAATTGAGCAATGAAGAATTCCGGAATCTGGCAGCCTTCAGGATAACAGCAGATTCACAGAGGCTCCAGGGGTGACTTGTGGTCAAAACAAATTTATAGGCAAAAAAAGTAAAGTGATGTAAAGGAACAGGAAGTGAAGTACAGAAACTGAGATTGGTTACAACTGGGTGTTTGCCTTGTATGAACACAGTTTGAACATTCAGCAGTCTATCAGTGGTTGAAGTATGGCTGCTGGGATTGGCCAACATTCAAGTATAGTTACAGGTGCACACTACTAAATTAGGTTTTCAATTTTGTCTGACTATTAAGGTAGGTTACCGTTCACCCAAAAGGACTGAAATGTAGAAGTACAGAGTCCTTCTCAGACTGTATTTAGTTTGCTTTAACACTTTGTAGCAAAATTTACTGAAACTATTGTCTATACATGCTATCTCCAATTCCCCTCCTAATCTTATCTAATTGGGATTTTGCTGCTACCATTCTACTGAAACACTTTTTAAAGCCATCAGTGATCTCTATGTTATTAAATCACATGATCAATTATTGCTTCTCATCTTAATAGATCATTCTTTAATGGACTTTCTTCACTGGGTTTCCAAGACAGCACACTCTCTTGGTTTTCCTTTAACTTCACTTGTTACTTCTTCGCAGTCTCCTCTGTGGACCCTTCTTTTCTCCCCAATTTCTTAATTTTGCATCACTTCAAAGATCAATCATTGGCTCTCATTTGTATCCACACCTTCCCCCTGGTGATCCCATCTGGTCCCATGACTTTAAAATCATTCTACCAGAGGGAGTGGAGCCAAGATGGCTGAAAAGGAACAGCTCCAGTCTACAGCTCCCAGTGTGAGCGACACAGAAGATGGATGATTTCTGCATTTCCAACTGAGGTACTGGGTTCATCTCACTGGGGAGTGCTGTATAGCGGGTGCAGCACACCATACATGAGCCAAAGCAGGGCGAGGCATCGCCTCACCTGGGAAGCACAAGAGGTCAGGGAATTCCCGTTCCTAGTCAAAGAAAGGGGTGACAGATGGCACCTGGAAAATCGGGTTACTCCCACCCTAATACTGTGCTTTTCCAACAGGCTTATCAAACGGCACACCAGGAGATTATATCCTGCACAAGGCACAGAGGTCCTATGCCTACCGAGCCTCACTCATTGCTAGCACAGCCGTCTGAGATCAAACTGCAAGGCAGCAGCAAGGCTGGGGGAGGGGCGCCTGCCATTGCTCAGACTTGAGTAGGTAAACAAAGTGGCCTGGAAGCTCGAACTGGGTGGAGCCCACCACAGCTCAAGGAGGCCTGCCTGCCTCTGTAGGCTCTACCTCTGAGGGCAGGACACAGAAAAACAAAAGACAGCAATAACCTCTGCAGACTTAAATGTCCTTGTCTGACAGCTTGGAAGAGAGTAATGGTTCTCCCAGCATGCAGCTTGAGATCTGAGAACGGGCAGACTGCCTCCTCAAGTGGGCCCCTGACCCCCAAGTAGCCTAACTGGGAGGCACCCCCCAGTAGGGGCGGACAGACACCTCACACAGCCAGGTACTCCTCTGAGACAAAACTTCCAGAGGAATGATCAGGCAGCAGCATTTGTGGTTCACTAATATCCGCTGTTCTGCAGCCACCACTGCTGATACCTAGGCAAACAGGGTCTGGAGTAGACCTCCAGTAAACTCCAACAGACCTGCAGTTGAGGGTCCTGACTGTTAGAAGGAAAACTAACAAACAGAAAGGACATCCACACCAAAAACCCATCTGTATGTCACCATCATCAAAGACCAAAGGTAGATAAAATCACAAAGATGGGGAAAAACAGAGCAGAAAAACTGGAAACTCTAAAAATCAGAGTGACTCTCCTCCTCCAAAGGAACGCAGCTCCTCACCAGCAATGGGACAAAGCTGGACGGAGAATGACTTTGATGAGTTGAGAGAGGAAGGCTTCAGAAGATCAAACTACTCCAAGCTAAAGGAGGAAGTTAGAACCAATGGCAAAGAAGTTAAAAACTTTGAAAAAACATTAGATGAACGGATAACTAGAATAACCAATGCAGAGAAGTCCTTAAAAGACCTGATGGAGCTGAAATCCATGGCACGAGAACAACGTGATGAATGCACAAGCCTCAGTAACCGATGCGATCAACTGGAAGAAAGGGTATCAGTGATGGAAGATGAAATGAATGAAATGAAGCATAAAGAGAAGTTTAGAGAAAAAAGAATAAAAAGAAATGAACAAAGCCTCCAAGAAATATGGGACTATGTGAAAAGACCAAACCTACGTCTAACTGGTGTACCTGAAAGTGACGGGGAGAATGGAACCAAGTTGGAAAACACTCTGCAGGATATTATCCAGGAGAACTTCCCCAATCCAGCAAGGCAGGCCAACATTCAGATTCAGGAAATACAGAGAATGCCACAAATATACTCCTCGAGAAGAGCAACTCCAATACACATAATTCTCAGATTCACCAAAGTTGAAATGAAGGAAAAAATGTTGAGGGCAGCCAGAGAGAAAGGTCAGGTTACACACAAAGGGAAGCCCAACAGACTAACAGCTGATCTCTTGGCAGAAACTCTACAAGCCAGAAGAGAGTGGGGGCCAATATTTAACATTCTTAAAGAAAATAATTTTCAACCCAGAATTTCATGTCCAGCCAAACTAAGCTTCATAAGTGAAGGAGAAATAAAATACTTTACAGGCAAGCAAATGCTGAGAGATTTTGTCACCACCAGGCCTGCCCTAAAAGAGCTCCTGAAGGAAGCACTAAACATGGAAAGGAACAACCAGTACCAGCCACTGCAAAAATATGCCAAATTGTAAAGACCATCAATGCTAGGAAGAAACTGCATCAACTAACAAGCAAAATAACCAGCTAACGTCATAATGACAGGATCAAATTCACACATAACAGTACTAACCTTAAATGTAAATGGGCTAAATGCTCCAATTAAAAGGCACAGACTGGCAAATTGGATAAAGAGTCAAGACCCATCAGTGTGCTGTATTCAGGAAACCCATCTCACGTGCAGAGACACACATAGGCCCAAAATAAAGGGATGGAGGAAGATCTACCAAGCAAATGGAAAACAAAAAAAGGCAAGGGTTGTAATCCTAGTCTCTGATAAAACAGACTTTAAACCAACAAAGATCAAAAGAGACAAAGAAGGCCATTACATAATGGTAAAGGGATCAATTCAACAAGAAGAACTAACTATCCTAAATATATATGCACCCAATATAGGAGCACCCAGATTCATAAAGCAAGTCCTTAGTGACCTACAAAGAGACTTAGACTCCCACACATTAATAATGGGAGACTTTAACACCCCACTGTCAACATTAGACAGATCAACGAGACAGAAAGTCAACAAGGATACCCAGGAATTGAACTCAGCTCTGCACCAAGCAGACTTAATAGACATCTACAGAACTCTCCATCCAAAATCAACAGAATATACATTCTTTTCAGCACCACACTACAACTACTACAAAATTGACCACATAGTTGGAAGTAAAGAACTCCTCAGCAAATGTAAAAGAACAGAAATTATAACAAACTGTTTCTCAGACCACAGTGCAATCAAACTAGAACTCAGGATTAAGAAACTCACTCAAAACCACACAACTACATGGAAACTGAACAACCTGCTCCTGAATGACTACTGGGTACACAACGAAATGAAGGCAGAAATAAAGATGTTCTTTGAAACCAATGAGAACAAAGACACAACATTCCAGAATCTCTGGGACACATTCAAAGCAGTGTGTAGAGGGAAATTTATAGCACTAAATGCCCATAAGAGAAAGCAGGAAAGATCAAAAATTGACACCCTAACATCACAATTAAAAGAACTAGAGAAGCAAAAGCAAACACATTCAAAAGCTAGCAGAAGGCAAGAAATAACTAAGATCAGAGCAGAACTGAAGGAAATAGAGACACAAAAAGCCTTCAAAAAATCACTGAATCCAGGAGCTGGTTTTTTGAAAAGGTCAACAAAATTGATAGACCACTAGCAAGACTAATAAGAAGAAAAGAGAGGAGAATCAAATAGATGCAATAAAAAAATGACAAAGGGGATAGATATCACCACCGATCCCACAGAAATACAAACTACCATCAAGAATACTATAAACACCTCTACACAAATAAACTATAAAATCTAGAAGAAATGGATAAATTCCTCGACACATACACTCTCCCAAGACTAAACCGGGAAGAAGTTGAATCTCTCAATAGACCAATAACACCCTCTGAAATTGAGGCAATAATTAATAGCTTACCAACCAAAAAAAGTCCAGGACCAGATGGATTCACAGCCGAATTCTACCAGAAGTACAAGGAGGAGCTGGTACCATTCCTTCTGAAATTATTCCAATCAATAAAAAAACAGAGAATCCTCCCTAACTCATTTTATGAGGCCAGCATCATCCTGATACCAAAGCCTGGCAGAGACACAACAAAAAAAGAGAATTTTAGACCAATATCCTTGATGAACATTGATGCAAAAATCCTCAATAAAATACTGGCAAACTGAATCCAGCAACAGATCAAAAAGCTTATCCACCATGATCAAGTGGGCTTCATCCCTGGGATGCAAGGCTGGTTCAACATACTCAAATCAATAAACGTAATCCAGTATATAAACAGAACCAAAGACAAAAATCACATGATTATCTCAATAGATGCAGAAAAGGCCTTTGACAAAATTCAACAGCCCTTCATGCTAAAAACTATCAATAAAATAGGTATTGATAGAATGTATCTCAAAATAATAAGAGCTATCTATGACAAGCCCACAGCCAATATCATACTGAAAGGACAAAAACTGGAAGCATTCCCTTTGAAAACTGGCACAAGACAGGGATGCCCTCTTTCACCACTCCTATTCAACATAGTGTTGGAAGTTCTGGCCAGGGCATTCAGGCAGGAGAAGGAAATAAAGGGTATTCAATTAGGAAAAGAGGAAGTCAAATTGTCCCTGTTTGCACATTACATGATTGTATATTTAGAAAACCCCATCGTCTCAGCCCCAAATCTCCTTAATCTGATAAACAACTTCAGCAAAGTCTCAGGATACAAAATCAATGTGCAAAAATCACAAGCATTCTTATGCACCAATAACAGACAAACGGAGAGCCAAATCATGAGTGAAATCACATTCACAATTGCTTCAAAGAGAATAAAATACCTAGGAATCCAACTTACAAGGGATGTGAAGGACCTCTTCAAGGAGAACTACAAACCACTGCTCAAGGAAATAAAAGAGGATACAAACGAATGGAAGAACATTCCATGCTAATGGGTAGGGACAATCAATATCGTGAAAATGGCCGTACTGCCCAAGGTAATTTATAGATTCAATGCCATCCCTATCAAGCTACCAATGACTTTCTTCACAGAATTGGAAAAAACTACTTGAAAGTTCATATGGAACCAAAAAAGAGCCCGCATCTCCAAGTCAATCCTAAGCCAAAAGAACAAAGCTGGAGGCATCATGCTACCTGACTTCAAACTATACTACAAGGCTACAGTAACCAAAACAGCACGGTGCTGGCACCAAAACAGAGACATAGATCAATGGAACAGAACAGAGCCCTCAGAAATAATGATGCATATCTACAGCTATCTGATCTTTGACAAACCTGACAAGAACAAGCAATGGGGAAAGAATTCCCTATTTCATAAATGGTGCTGGGAAAACTGGCTAGCCATATGTAGAAAGCTGAAACTGGATCTCTTCCTTACACCTTATACAAAAATCAATTCAAGATGGATTAAAGACTTACATGTTATACCTAAAACCATAAAAACCCTAGAAGAAAACCTAGGGAATACCATTCAGGACATAGGCATGGGCAAGGACTTCATGTCTAAAACACCAAAAGCAATGGCAACGAAAGCCAAAATTGACAAATGGGATCTAATTAAACTAAAGAGCTTCTGCACAGCAAAAGAAACCACCATCAGAGTGAACAGGCAACCTACAGAATGGGAGAAAATTTTCGCAACCTACTCATCTGACAAAGGGCTAATATCCAGAATCTACAATGAACTCAAACAAATTTACAAGAAAACAAACAAACAACCCCATCAAAAAATGGGTGAAGGATATGAACAGACAATTCTCAAAAGAAGACATTTATGCAGCCAAAAACACATGAAAAAATGCTCATCATCACTGGCCATCAGAGAAATGCAAATCAAAACCACAATGAGATACCATTTCACACCAGTTAGAATGGTGATCATTAAAAAGTCAGGAAACAACAGGTGCTGGAGAGGATGTGGAGAAATAGGAACACTTTTACACCGCTGGTGGGACTGTCAACTAGTTCAACCATTGTGGAAGACAGTGTGGCAATTCCTCAGGCATCTAGAACTAGAAATACCAATTGACCCAGCCATCCCATTACTGGGTATATACCCAAAGGATTATAAATCATGCTGCTATAAAGACACATGCACACATATGTTTATTGCAGCACTATTCACAATAGCAAAGACTTGGAACCAACCCAAATGTCCATCAATGATAGACTGGATTAAGAAAATGTGGCACATATACACCATGGAATACTATGCAGCCATAAAAAAGGATGAGTTCATGTCGTTTTTAGGGACATGGATGAAGCTGGAAACCATCATTCTCAGCAAACTATCACAAGGACAAAAAACCAAACACTGCATGTTCTCACTCATAGGTGGGAATTGAACAATGAGAACACATGGACACAGGAAGGGGAACATCACACACCGGGGCCTGTTGTGGGGTGGGGGAGGGGGGAGGGATAGCACTAGGTGATATACCTAATGCTAAATGATGAGTTAATGGGTGCAGCACACCAACATGGCACATGTATACATATGTAGCAAACCTGCACGTTGTGCACATGTACCCTAAAACTTAAAGTATAATAATAATAAATAAATAAATAAATAAAATAAAATAAAATCATTCTACCTCCCAATGACTAATAAATTTATATTATTACTCAAACTCTTTTCCAAACTCAAGACATATGTATCTAATGGCCTGTTTGACATCTGTTGAATTCCATCCAATAGCTATCTCAAATTCATTATGTCTCAGATCAAACTCCTTATCCACCCTCTCCACCCATCCTGCTTCACCTGTAGTCTTTCTCAACTTAGTTGATGGTAAATCTATCTTTTTACCTATTCAAATAAAAACTCTTGGAGTTATTCTTAAGTATCTTTTCCCCTCCCTCTTTAAATCCAATCCATTATGACATGCTGTTCATTCTGGTTGGGAGACAATTCTTCATGGCCTCTCACATTTCTGCATATCTTATGAGCAGAGACTTTGAGAGTCTTTGCTCCTGAGTATCTTCTCAAGGATGCTTGTAAAGAGGACAGCTTGGAAGCTAGAGATATTGCTTTCTTCTGAAGCAGAGGGCAGGTTTGCTGCAACACACGTCTATTGCATATGCAACATTAATCTGCCTTCCTGTATTTCCTCTGTAGGACTTGTGGAGCAAGGAGGACTGACAGAAACAAGTAAATCGTTCTGCCTGTTGAAGGAGTCATAAAATCCTGCCTTTACCCAGGAGGCTTGTGTCATCTGCCAGCATTTGTAAAACTGTGCCCCAAGTAGGGTAAACTTTTAGATGCTTCACAGTTCTTGGCAGTCTTTTCTGGATGGAGAATGTCTTTAGTCTTTTCTCAATGGAAAACCAGAATGCTCCTTTTAAAAGAAAAGCTAGATTTTGTCATTCTTTTGTGCAACTCCTGCAATAACTCCCAATCTCATTCAAAGAAAGAGATATAAAAGCCTTATAAGAGCCCTCTAAGTTCTCCATGACTTAGACTCCAGTCACCTCCCTGAAATCCCTCCAGTCACATCCCTGACCTCCATCTCTTTAGCCTCTCTGCTTCAAGCACGTAGCTGTCCTTTTTCTTCTGCATGCATTCTGTTTTATCATTAGACCTATAGAAAACTCTATTACCTTCTTTAAGTCTTCACCTAAAAGCCACCTGCTCAATGAGGTCTCCTTTGACCATCCTATTAAAAATTACAACTGTTCCCCTAGTCTCTCTGCAATGCTCCTGTGCCCCATTGTCATTCTCTGCCTGTAATTTTTTTTTTTACAGGGTCTCCCTCTGTCACCCAGGCTAGAGTGCAGTGGCTGGATCATAACTCACTGCAGCCTTGACCTTTCAGGCTCAAGCAATCTTCCCACCTCAGTCTCCGGATTAGCTGGGACTACAGGCATGAATCACTATGCCCAGCTAATTGTTTTATTTTCATTTTATAGAGATGCAGGCGGGGGTCTTTGTTTTTCAGGCTGGTCTCAAACTCCTGGTTATAGTTTTATAACCTTCTGTGCTAAACTCTGGTACCTTAAAATATCTAGCAGAGACAAATATAAAACCCAGACAAAAATGTATGCTGACAATTCTGAAGACATTTCTATTTTTATTTTACAATAATTTTAATGCTATCTTGCTAAAGATTTACTTAAGTAACATGAACATGAAAAATACTTTGTACTTATTTACTTAATCTCTGAGTGCTCTTTTATTTTTAAGCCAATTTGGTAGTCACAACATATAAGGTAACACATGTGCATACACATAAACACATCTAGATGCATATACACACAAAGATCCAATAGCTTTTAACTTGGAACTCTAGCCACGAGATAGTAATACAGTCTCACCAGTCTGAAAACATGTTCACATGGCTGAACTTTGTTAGCCTTGATAGGTAAACCAGTGAAGGCTGTGAACCAAAATTTTGGGTAAAGCAGTTTCCATGGCAGTTTGATTTTTAAAGGCCAAACCTCCCCAGACTCCAAAGAACACTGTTGTCAAACAGCACCATGTGAGAACATCACATAGTAACCTGGCCCGACCCTGCTTAGAACAGCAGCACAAAAACCCACTTTCCCACTCAACAGCAAACTCCAGATTCCAAACTATACTGGAGCCAAACAGTGTTATAAAAGAATATCGGTTTATCAAATTCTAATTTCCCGTGACTATATCAGACACATGCGAACAGTCACTAGAACACAATCCAACTTCTGCAGCATCAGTCAAGCCCCAAAAGTGTACAAACTCAATGAGTTGGGGTGCTTCCTCTCCATTGGTTGGGCTCAATTAAACTGCAAATAAAAATTCCTACAGAATTTCTCAAATGGAGAGGAGCTGATCCCACCATCTGGTACCCACAAAAGACACTCACTTGCCTGGACACACACAAAATGACGAACAACTCCCCAAGAGTGTCCATACTGAAACAATCAGGGTACTTCCCTCTCTTCATCAGTTGGGCTTGTTTAACCCACAAGTGGAAAATCCTTTAAAAATTTCCCAAATTTAGAGGAGCAGAGCCTTCTGTCTGGGCCCACAAATGACAGTCACCTATCTGGATGCAGATGTCAAATTTCAAAAGCAGTTCTTCCAAGGTAATCAGGAACATGGTTAAGGCCAGCTGCGGCTGGCCCCAAAGAGAGGGAACTCATCTCCAGCCAAAATTGGGTAAGCAGCTGCTTAGGAGGGCTTTGAGACTCCTGGGCCATGGCCGCCAAGCCAAAGTGTTCCTGGTCAGAGAACCAAAATCTGTTACTGAAATACCAGGGGTGTGGTCTAGGTCCTGCTCTTCACTGCACAGAAAACCAATCAATATCACCAATTATTGCCAAGAAAGACAGCTGAATTGGATGCTGTAGCATAGGAGATGCAAGTTCGGTCTCAAATCCATCTCCCTGACCAACTAAAATTATGAGTTTACATAGCAGGGAAGAAATGTAACAATGTGTAGAAAAACAGGAACTCAGGAGACCTAAGGAAGCAATCATGATTTATGAGATGCCTGGTGTCCCATTGTCTGGATGGGATCATCTGGTGAGTTTCGATTCTTTGATGCTTTTTGAGGTACCTATGGCTCCTTTACTAAGGAAGAAATTCATATAAAACAAATGAAAGTATCAAGCTCTAAGACCAGAGGGTCAACTTCTATGTTTATACAAAAATCTATCTATGGGACTACAGGGGAGGTTTCAATTCCAGTGCCAGTGCTAGCTGCAATCTGCCTCAAGTCTGCCTATGCTTCTGGCAAACTCTGTATCAGGACTTTGGCCAGGAGAATGGCTTCCTCTCCCATCTGTAGGCTCCTCTCCCATCTGTAGGGCTGCTGAGCTTGCCAGTTTCTTAGACCACTTCAGTTCCCGAGGAGACTCCTTTGCATCAGGCTTTCGGACCAGCTCTGGAGTGTCTCTAAAACTCAGCCCGTGCTTATGGGATGCAGTGGGGTAAGGCTGGAACTAGGCCCCTATGCCTTCCTCCCAGAAACACATGCCATCTGACAGAGTGGTTACTCTGCAGGACTCCAGCAGGGGATTCTCCAAGTCCACTTCTCTGATATATCTAGTCTGTGGTTCAAAACCGAAAGGTTTAGCCTTATGTGTCACGGCCTTGAGGCTATCTCTGCCTAGCTCAGTTTTGATATCAGTCCCATCATACTCAGTATTAGTCATAAGTGACTTCCCAAAACACTCATGGCAGCTTAGATTCTGGCATGAACATGGGATCTCTGAATGGAAGCAATGAATTCTGGTTTCACAGGTGTTGAGATTATGCTAATCAGCTTTAGGCTTTTCAGGCTGTGTGAGGGACCTCTGATTCTAGGTCTCTCCAGCTGGCTAGTCTTGAATGTTCTTCCATCTTTTGGGACTCTACAGGTCCATCATGGGGTCATGGTGGAGTAAACACCTATGAGAGCCATTTGGGCATTGACCCACTTTCACAAAGTGTCCCAAATTTGAGATTCTAATGTTATCACCCAATGGTACAGAAACTCAGACAGAATGGAGAGAACATATTCACCATAAATTACACGCTGCCAAGAGTCCACCCTGAATTAATGCTTTATAATTCCTGTACTGATCTTGTGAGTAGAACAATTGTATTGCATGGTATTTTTGTTGTTGTAAGCATACATTTATAAAATATACACATTTTAAATCTATTATATTATCTATGTGTTGGCCTATCTTTATGTGTTGGCATACTTCATACTACAAAGAGTGGCAATGAGCTGGCCATCTTTGAATCCCTATGAGGCCCTAAAACTCTTGCTCATGGCAGGGAATGGGAACCGCATGGCTGAGTGTCTGTGGGAGGCTGGTGGAGCCCCACCCTCTGCATACTCTCACAATGTGTCAAGGGCCTCTGGGCTGCTTCTTTCATATCAATATCCTTCATTATCCTTTAGCAATGTGAAGCTGGAATGCAGCAGCCATCTTAGGAAGACATCTGATAGCCATTGGCACCTATCCATAACATCTGAAAACTTCCTAGGATTCTGAGGACACTTGCCTTTGCAAGATCTTTTGGAGGACTTTGGAGACACCTAAAGGTCAAAGAATCACCCTATCCCAATCTAACTTATAATAAATTCTTTTAAAGTTACCTTGAGGCAGTGACTAGATGCCTGTGCACCTCTTCTGTGTAGTAGTACATTCCTGATCGATCTCTGTTCAACAGGGAACTGACCAAGAGACTCTCAGACTCTCAAATCTTGGAGAAATGTTTTTTCACCAGTAGTCCTTCTAGGGAAAAAGATTTCTTTACTGGCTTCTAAGATGACAGGTGGACACTGGGACCTAGGATTCCCCTGAAATACTTGCTGTATCTCAGAATTCCTAATGAAGTTCCTCCTGAAGGCCCAAAGGAGCTTCCTAACTCTTAATTCAGGAGCTTTGGTGATTGAGCAGATTCTTCACACCTGGACACTCAGGGAGGGGTTGTTCATCCAGTCAGAAGACCTTGAAATGATGGTGGCTTTAGATGTGGTTGCATCTTTCTGTAGCAAAAGAAAGCTGTTTTAACTGACTGGTGGCTGGTGGGAAGGCATAGAGGAGCCAAGTAAACACAGGTACTTTTGGGTCAAAAAGATAGCACCAATTAAATGGATCCCAGAAAAGAATGAGAGTTTCTGGAGTTTGAGATAAATAACAATCTGACTCTGTTGAAAAACTTGACACCAAAGTGGAATCTTGAAGCTTTTACAGAGGAAGAAAGGGGATGTTTAGGTACTTCATGGAGAGGACAAGTAATGCCAAACTGTTCTGGGTTGGTGATGAGGTTTCAATGCCTCCAGAGAAATCAGGAAGTGGTATATGGTTTTAGCTAGATCAGGGATTTGGGAAAGTGTGGGATCCACAGGACATGCTTTCTTGGCTGGGGGCATCCGAGAACATTTTAAAGCTCTGAAGCTCTCTGATGTGTTCTAGTGCTCTTAGAGTCTAAAGAAGAGAAAATCAGAAACTTTGGCTATACTACAAAGTAATAGGGGACTCCTTTTATTGCTCCTAAATATTTTCTTTGTCTTTCTTTCATCTTTTGTTCACCATTTTTCTACCCCAAATTTAGCTTTCATTATTTGCTTAGTCCCTGCTAATGCGTTCTCTAAAGTCATGTCCTAAAACAGTGGTTAAGAAAGACACCTGCCTTCTTCCTTCATCCTTTGTGACCAAAAAGTGCATCTGAGCACCTGCCTAACTTTCTGAAAGAGAGGAAAATCAGATAGGAGGTTTATTAGAGATTGTCTAGTCTCAAGAAACTAAGTCCTGGAAACTGGACACATGATTGCATATGCAAAACTGAGACAAGAACCCAGACGTTCTGAATCCCAAGCCGTTGTTCTTTGTTTTGGAAAATGCTGGTTTCCATTTTGTGATAAATACTGCATTTTGTGGCTCCAAATATCTCACCATGAGTCTCTTCCTCTTGAGGCTTTAGTTGAATTAGTTTACACAAATATTTGATCTGGAAACTTTTCTCTCCTTCTAGCCTGGTACTGGCTTGAATATCTTGAACAACAAGTCCTATTTTGTTAAGGAAAAATTTGATTGATTCATCCTCAAATATGTATTTTTGTCTTTTCTAGCCCAACATATTATTTCTCTTATTATACTTATCATCAGAAAATCTGGAAGATTCAGTAACCATCAGAAATCTGAAATACAAGTCACACTTCATGAAGAAAGAGGCCAACAGTAGTTTTCCTCTATTGCGTTTAACTTTCCTTTTTTTTGCAGAACTACTTTATTGTGGTATGACTGACATAGAAAAAGCTGTATGTGTTTCATGTGTAAACCTTGATGAAGATAGAGATGAATACATACTCATGAAACCATCAACACAACCTATGCCATAAACATATTCATCACCTCCAAAAGTTTTGTCTGCTCTATTTATTGTTATTATTGTGTGTATATATGTGTGTGTTTGATAAGATCACTTAACATAAGATCTGCCATCGTTCTTTCCAAATTAGCAGGAGTACTGCCTCTGATGCTGCTGAGGCACTTTGAAAATCATTATTTAGAAATCTGACTGGATGCTGTGCAACTAGACATCAGCAAAATGTCAGAATGGGACTTTCTAACACTTATCCTCAGAAAAACATCAATTTAAACAACTATCTATGCACAAGAATACCTTAACAAGAACTAAGGATACCAGGTGAAAGATAACAGAATCTTCGTGTAGCAGAGAAATAAGAAAAGATGAATTGAAGAGCATAGGAAGAACAAGTTTACATTACCTGTGTCACCCCACCCACAGGCATGGAACCAGGTACCAGAGCAGCAGAGCACACAGACAGGCAACCTTTGTGTTGAAGAAGAAAAGGGAAGTGAGCACTGAACTTTGGTTTGGACCAAAAACACAGAGCCTGCTTCAGTGAAATACAGTAATAGGTATGCCCCTATGGCCCCACACTCCAGGCTGGTACCTGCAGACTGAGCCAAACCAGATCTCACAGGACAGGCTCCAGGCTTGCCTGGTGGACTTGGTTTCTGGGTACATCTTAATTTAATGCCAGATCTACCCCAGTGCCATAGGTGTCAGATGGTCCCTGGGACCAGGCCAGCCCTAGTGGCTTCATGCTCCAGACTGCTCCCAGAATCATGATGGCCTCCACAACTCAAGGTTTCAGACCAGCCCCAGAACAAGGCTGGCCCCTGCAACTTTAGTCACCAGGCCAGTGTCCATAGATCCAACCTCCAGGCTGACCCCTGTGGATACAGATTCTAGGACTGCCTAGCGCCAGGCTAGCCCCCGTGGTCACAGACTCCAAGTCCACCCTAGGTGCCAGACTAGCCCAAAACTAGGTTGGCTCACAAAAATCCAGGATTCAGGCCAACCCCAGTTCCAGGTTGGCAGCCCTAGCCTTATCTCTTAGCTAGGTATCTGGCAAGCATCTGCAGACTCAGGCTCCAGGCCTGCCTAGGGCTAGGCCAGTTTCTGCCACCCTACTCTCCAGGGCCAGTTCCTATGTTCCCATCCTCCAGCAGACCCAGGGTTCAGGCTCATCACAGTTGACTCCAGTATTGGGCTAGTGCCCACAGACCCAGTATCTAGGACAGTTTCTGTAGACCTCGGTTCCAGAGCAGTTCCTACAGTCCTAGGACCCAGGCAAGCCTTTGTGGACCTAGTCTCCATGCCAGCCCTGAAGACCTAGGTTCTAGGCCAGAACTCATACACCCAACCTCCAGGCCATTCCCCAGCTTCTAGGCCAGCCTCTGTGGCTACAGGCACCAGTCTACCACCTATGGTCTCAGGCTCTAGACTGGCCCCACCCCATCCCAGCCCTAGGCCAGCTTCAGGCTTCAGGCTGGTTTTTGTGACCCAGGATCCAATAAACTCAGGGTCCAGCTGTGCTCTAGCAAACCCAGCATACAGGCTGAGTTCAGTAGATCCTGATGCTAGGCTGGCCATCATGGATGAAGGCTCTAGGACCATCTCTGAAGACTCAGGCTCAAGGTCAGCCCCCATCTACCAATATCCTAGGTCCATTTCTCCAGTTGCAGGCTCTAATCCTGCACCAGTTCCAGGCCAGTCCCCATGGACTCAGATTCCAGGCTCATCCCAGTAGGCCCAGACATTAGACCCATTCCAGAACCTAGCTAGCACCTGCAGACACAGGATCAATGCCCACATCAGAGCTGTGTCAGCCCCTGTGGACCCATGCTTCAGTCCAGCCCCTATTGGTACAGGCTGCATGCCTGCCTTTATAGACATTGGTTTTATGTTCATCCCCACATATGCATAATATCCACCCAGTGGATCCAGGATTTAGGCCCCACTCTACAGACCCAGGAACCAAGCCTACCACCAGCTGACACAGGCACCAGGCTAGCCTGCCTGAAGACTTCAGCAACAAGTTCACCTGCAGACCACAACAGACACCCTACCAAGAATTGCTGGATGACTGGGAAAGGGTGTTTCCAGATAAAGCCAGTATACAAAGACTAGAATAACTTTCCTGTTTTTCAAATGTGCAGACACCAATGCACAGCCTAAATATCAAGAACTATCAGAGAAAAATGATACCACCATAGAAAAAAAAAAGAATAACCAATAGCTGACCCTAAAGAAATAAAGGCTTATGAACTTTCTGACAATGAATCTAAAATAATTGTCTTTAAAATACACAGTGAGCTTCAAGAGAACACAGATAGATGACTAAAAAGAATCAGAGAAATAATACATGAACAAAATAGAAAGTTCAACAAAGAGAAATCATAAAAAAGAAATGCTGGACATAAAGGACACAATGGTTGAACTGAAAATTTCATAGAGTTCTTTGAAAGCAGATTTGATCGACTAGAATAAAGAATCAATGAGCTCAAAGACAGATCATTTGAAATTACTGAGTCAGAGACACAAAAGGAAAAAAATGAGAAAAAGTGAATAAATCCTATGGTAATTATGGAATATCAGTAAGAGATCCAATGTACATATCATGTGTGTCCCAGAAAGAGAACAGAAACAGATAAGAAGAGAAATCTTATCTGATGAAATAATAGCAGAATACTTTCCAAGTCTGGGGAAAGAGAAATATACAGGTATAGGAACATTAAAAGTGTTTGATAAGATTCAATCCCTTCAAGAATACAAGATATATTTTAATTAAACTATCAAAAATCAAAGGAAAGGAAGATTCTGAAAACAAAAGGAGAAAAGAAGCAAATAACATATAAGGGAGTTCCAATAAGGCTAACAGCAGATTTATGAGCAGAAGCTTATCGGCTGAGAGCATGGAATGATATATTCAATGTTCTATACAAAAACAGTGTCAACCAAAAATACTGTTCCCAACAAAATCTGTTTTTTTTTGTTTGTTTGTTTGTTTTTGCAAATAATGGAGAGATTAAAAACTTTGCCAGGCAAACAAAAATTGAGGGAGTTTATCACCATCAGAGCTGTCTTACAGGAAATGCTAGAGAACAAATGTTAGGACACAAAGCATGTCATAATAAATTTAAGAATACTGAAATCATATTATTTATCATTCCAGATAACAATGGCATGAAAATAGAAATTAATAACTGGATACATTTTAGAAAATTCACAAATACATGAAAATTAAACAGCATGCTTCTGAACAACAGATGGATTAAAGAGGAAATTAAAATGGAAATTAAAATTTATGCTGAGACCAGCAAAAATGGAAACTCAACATACCAAAACTTGTAAGATGCTTCAAAACATTTACATTGAAAAAAAAGAAAGATCTTAAACAACCAAATGTTACACTTCACGGAACTATAAAAAGAACAAACTAAGCCCATAGTTAATAGAATGAAGGAAAAAATAAAGATCAGAGCAGTTAAATTAAATAGAAACTATAAAAACATTAAAGAAAAACCCTGAAATTTGATCTTTTGAAAAGATAAAGAAGATTGACAAACCTTTATCCAGACGAGGGGAAAAAAAGAAAAAAAGATAAAAATAAAATCATACATAAAAAGGAGACATTACAACTTATATCACAAAGGATCAGAATAGACTATTATGACCAATTATATGCCAACAAATTGGAATAATCTAGAATAAATGAGTAAATTCCTAGATGCATAAAACCCACCAAGATGAAGAAATTGAAAATCTAAACAAACCAATAATGAGTAAGGACGTTAAATAAGTAAAAAAAATATTCCATCAAAGAGAAGCCCAGGACCTTATGGCTTCACTGCTGAATTCCACCAAACATTTAAAGAAGAACTAATGTCAATCTTTCTAAAACCCTTCCAAGAAATCGAACAAGAGGGAATACTTCCAAAGTTATTTTACAAAGTTGTTGTTAACCCTGATAACAAAGATAGGGACACTTCAACAAATGAAAATAATAGGCAATAGCACTGATGAACATAGGTGCATCAATAAAATATTAATACTAGCAAACTAATCTCAACAGCATGTCAAAAAGGTCATTAATCATGATACAGTGGGCTTTAACATAGGGATGCAAAGATAGTTCAACGTACAGTTCTATAAATGTGAAATCCCACATTAACAGAATAAAAAACAAAATCCAATGATCACTTGATAGATGCAGAAAAAGCATTTGATAAAGCTCACCATGATTTCCTGATTATGAACTCTCAACAAATGAGGTATAGAAGAAATGTAGCTCATACAATAAAGACAATATATGATAAACCCACAGCTAACATTACACTTAATGGTGAAAAGTGAAAAACATTTTTCTAAGATTAAGGACAAGGCAAGGATGCTCACCCTCACGACTTCTATTCAATGCATTAATGGAAGTTCTACTCAGAGCAATTAGGCAAGAGAAAAAAATAAAAAGCATCCAAATTGGAAAGGAAGTAGCTAAATATATTCCTGTTTGCATATAGCATGGTCCTACATATAAAACATCCTAAAGACTGCAGCAAACTAGGTTAAAACTAGTAAGCAATTCAGTAATGTGGCAAGATACAAAATGAACATACATAAATCAGTGGTGATTCTATACACTAACAGTGAAAGATCTGACAAAGAAAATCATCCTGTTTGCATAGATACAAAACATAAATACTTAGGAGTAAACTTAAACAAGGTGGTAAAAGACTTATATAGTGGAAATTATTAAACATAAATGAAGGAAGTGAAGAAAACACAAATAAATAGAAAAATATTCCTTATTTACAGATTGGGAGAATTAATACTGTCAAAATGACAATAATGGCCCAAGTGATTTACAGATTCAATGCAATTCCTATCTAAATACCAATGACATTCTTCAAAGGAATATAAAACACCAAAAAATGTATGTGTAATCACAAAAGATCCCTAAGAACAAAATCAATCATAAGCAACAAGAACAAAGCTGCAGATATCACACTACCTAACTTCAAAATGTACTATGAAGCAATAGTAATGAAAACAGGATGGTACTAGCATAAAAACAGAAACATGAAGTAATGGAACAGAATAGAACATCCAGAAATAAATCCATGCATTTAAGGTGATTGATTTTTGACAAAGTTGCCAAGAACACATGAATGAGGAGTGAACAGTCTCTTTAATAAATGCTGTTGAAAAAACTGCATATCCACATTTGGAAAATTGAAATTAGACCTTATCTCACACCATGTATAAAAATCAACCAAAAATGGTTTAAGGACTTAAAGGTAGGACCTGAGACTGCAAAACCACTAGAAAAAAACACAGGAGAAAAGCTTCCTGATATTAGTTGGGGCAATGATTTTTGGATGGAATTCCTAAAGCACAGATAACGAAGGCCAAAATAGACAAATGGGATTACATCAAACTAGAATAGTTTCTATACAGCAAAGGAAACAATCGACAGGAAGAAGAGGCAACCTATGGAATGGAAGAAAATCTTTGCAAACCATACATCTGAAAAGAGGTTAATATTTAAAATAATAAGAAACATAATAGCAAGAAAACAAATAATCCAAATTAAAAATGGGCAAAGGCCCTGAATAGATCTTTCTCTCTCTCTCTCTCTGAGTTTTTTTTTCTTTTTGCTAGTTTATAATAATCTTAAAAACTCTATCACACCCATAAACCACACAGGTGAGAGGATGAGAGAGAGAGAGAATGAATGCTACAATATGTGGACAGAGTGGGGAATCCAGGTATTCCCTAGGGTAGTGTGGAATGGAGGCAGGGAGTGTGAATAGGAGGCTGTAGCTAGGATCCTTATTGATGGATGGGGGTAGGCTAGCAGAGGAGAGAGGGACTCAAGTTGAACTAGGAAATAGGGAACATCTCACACCAAAGGCAGTGGCAGTTGGGGGCCAGGGGGATTGCAGTACATTTTCTCCACAGACTACAGGTGTGAGTGAGAGCTTCAGAGACTTCCACCCCTACACAGGAAGAAATGGGTTAGAGGTTTTTGACTTAAAGCTCCCAAATTAGTATCTGGTCCAATTTCCTAAAATGGCAGCTCACCATTCAGGGAGAGGTACTGAGAAGGAAAGTATAGCAAGAATATCTGGTTTGGAGATCAAATGAGGGATAAGGGGAGACAGTGATGCTCTCTAAATCTGACTCAGAAAAGCAAGAATTGGAAGAGGACCTTGGGTGAAATGGTGGCCAACACTTTGGGAAACGACATTGCACCAGAAGCTGTAGGTATTCCTGAGGAATCAGGGACACGGAAGTTCACATTAGGCAGGAAAACAACCAAGAACAATAAATTAGGACTTCATGTTGCTGTAATCTGGCATAATATAAATCAGGTAACTTTTTTTCCTTTTTAAATATAAGGCAACTTGTCAACACAAAATTTAAAAGCTGGTCTTCAGCCACATTGCTTCAGATCACTAGAGAATTCTTGGCTAAAGAGTAGTGGATAGTAAATAAAACTCAACATCTTAAGAACCATCAGCTCACATTGCCCAGAGACAAGTGGAAAGGGAAGGGCTTATTTGATCCAATTTTTTTTTTTTTTAAAAAAGCCCAATTCTTCATCTTTAACAGAAGAAAGGTGTAAAAATTTATAACAAAGCATTATCTAAATTTAAAGTTACAGAAAAGTGTTAAATTTCTAGCTAACTTATCATCAGTTGGGAGTGAGACCATTGGGAATGGAGTGAATAAAGGGGTTCCCTAAGAATAAACACAGGGCAAGAGGGGCTGTTTCCAAAGTAGGCTCATCTCCAGTTGTCAGAACCATGCTCATTAGGAAAAGGAAGCACTCAAGGAACTTAAAGCTTTGTGGAGTTTTTTTCCCCCACTTTCTTCTTTAAACTGAGGGGCTGCACTTGAAGGTACTTGTGGAGCCACTCACACACAATGCTACTCAAACGCACGCTACATTCACACAGACACATGACATTAAAATTTATACTGTACAGCAATATTCTTATCCAGTGTAGAGAAAACAAGTGTGTTTTAAATGTTTTCTTTCCTTGTATGTTTTAAAGCCCAAACTCCAATGTGATCCATCATTCCTTGCCTACCTAATTCCTCAAGTAAGATATTTTTTGTTTGTTTGTTTTGCTTGTTTTTTTTTTTTTTTTTTTTTTTTTGGAGGGGAAAAGAGTAGGGAATGAGGGTAGCAGGTAAGTCAGGAGACAGGCAACAGTGAGAAAGGGATCTTGGTTATGCTGAATGGTCACTGTGCTTATCTAGATTTGGAAAGGGGAGTCTGGAGTCAAGATGCAAATACAAAGACAGATTTTAGAGCAAGGAAAAAAATTGGAAGGAAATTAAAAGTGCTAGTCCAGTGACAACATGAATGATGAAAGAGCAAAATGGCCTTATTGCTGTTTTGGAGAAACAGCAATAAGACATCAACACAACCTGGGGTAGTGGTTCACGCGTGTGTCCTGGAAAGGAGGTGAAGTTCACTCTGTAGCACTAGTGGTAACGGTTCCCGCTCTGGGCTCTGCAAGCATGGGGCAGCTCAGCCCACTCGCCCCGCCCCAGGGGGATGAGTGAGAAGGATGAGAAAAGGCTTCTCCAGGTCTAGGCAGTGGGAGGAGGAGGAGGCTGTTCCAGGTCCCAGAATCACCCAGGGAAGCTCTCTGTGGTGTACAGACACCCCTCCCCAGCCAGCTGCCGCTAGCTCCCCACTGCCATCTTGAATAGACATTTCTCAAAAGAAGACATAAAAATAATTAATGGGTTTTTTTCTTAATGCTCAACAGTACTCATTATCAAGAAAAGGCAAATTAAAGTCACAGTATCACCTCACACATTTTAGAATTGCTATTATCAAGAAGATGAAAGATAACTGTTGGAGAGGATGTGAGGAGAGGAGAACCCTTGTGCACTGTTGGTGGGAATGTAAATCAGTGTAGCCTTATGCAAAACAGTACAGAGATTCCTCAAAAAGCTAAAAATAGAGCTATCATATGATCCAGCAATCCCTACTGCATATATGTTTAAAGGAAATTAAATCAGTACAGGCACACCTTATTTTATTGCATTTCACTTTATTGTACTTCACAGGTACTGTAGTTTTACAAATATAAAAAGTTTGTGTCAACCCTGCATCAAGCAAGTCTACTGGCACCATTTTTCCAACAAATGTGCTCCCTTCCTGTCTTTATTACATTTTAGTCATTCCCAATATATTCAGACTTTTTCTTTGTTATTGTGTCTGTTAAGGTGATCTGTGATCAGTGAGTTTTGATGGTGCTATTTTAGCTGTTCTGGAGCACCACAAACTGCACCCATATAAGACAGCAAACTTAATTGATAACTGTTGTGTGTGTTCTGACTGCCTCACCTAATGACCGTTCCCAGACTCTCTCCCTCTCCTCTAGCCTCACTATTCCCTGAGACACAACAACATTTAAATTACGCCAGTTATAAACCATACAATGATCTGTAAGTATTCAAGTGAAGGAAAGAGTCATGAGTCTTTCATTTTAAACAAAAAGCGAAAAATGATTAAGCATAGGGAGGAAGGCAGGTCAAAATCCAAGACAGTCCAAAAGCTAGGTCTTTTGCACCAAACAGTTAGCCAAGTTGTGAATGCAAGGAAAAATCTTTGAAGGAAATTAAAAGTGCTAATCCAGTGAGCACATCAATGATAAGAAAGCAAAATGGCCTTATTGCTGTTTTGAAGCAAGTTTTAGTGCTCTGGATAGAAAATTAAACTAGCCACAACATTCATAAACAAAAGCTTAATCCTGAGCAAGACTCTAAATCTTTTAAGTTATTTGAAAATAACTAAGAGAGGTGAGGAAGCTGCAGAAAAAAAGTTGGAAGCTATCAGAGGTTGGTTCATGAGGTTTAAGGAAAGAAGCCATTTTCTTTTTCTTTTTTTTTTCTTTTAGACAGAGTTTCACTCTGTTGCTCAGGCTGGAATGCAGTGGTGCAGCGATCAGGGCTCACTGCAACCTGTGCCTCCTGGGCTCAAGCGATTCTCCTCCCTCAGCCTCCTGAGTCACTGGGATTATAGGCACCCACTAACACACCTGGCTGATTTTTTTTATTTTTATTTTTAGTAGAGATGGGGTTTCACCATGTTGGTCAGGCTGGTCTCAAACTCCTGACCTCAGGTGATCCACCAAACTCAGCCTCCCAAAGAGCTGGGATTACAGGCATGAGCCACCACACCTGGCCCATTTTCATAACATAAAAGTGCAAAGGGAAGCAGCAAATGCTGATGTAGAAATTGTAAAAGATTATCCAGAAGATCTAGCTAAGATAATTGTTGAAGGTGGCTACACCAAACAACAAATTCCCCATGTAGATGACACAGGTTTCTTTTGGAAGAAGATGCCATCAAGGACTTTCAGAGCTGGAAAGGGGAAGACAATGCCTAACTTCAAAGCTGCAAAGGACAGGCTGACTTTCTCATTAGAGTTTATGCAGCTGGTTATTTTAAGTTGAAGCCAATGCTCACTTACCATTCCAAAAATCCTGGGGTCCTTAAGAATTATGCTAAATAGAGTTTGCCTATTCTCTACAAATGGAAGAACAAAACCTAGATTGCAGCACCATCTATTTACAGCGTGGTTTACTGAATATTTTAAGCCTACAATTGAGACCTAATGCTCACGAAAAATATATTCTTATAAAAATATTACTGCTCATTGAAAAAGCACCTATTCATTCAAGAGCTCTGATGGAGATGTACAAGGACATTAATTTTTTTTCATGCTTGCTAACATACATCCATTCTGCAGCTCATAGATCAAGGAGTAATTTCAACTTTACAAGTCTTATTATTTATCATTCTCTAAGGCTATAGCTGCAATACATTGTGATTTCTCTGATGGATCAGGGCAAAGTAAATTGAAAATCTCTTGGAAGGATTTTCCATTCCATATGCCATTTAAAACATTCATGATCCATGGGAGGAGATCAAGCTATCAACATCAACAGGAATTTGGAAGAAGGTGATTCCAATCCTTGCAGATAACTTTGAAGTGTTCAAGATTTAAATGGAGGAAGTAACTGCAGATGTGGTGGAAATAACAAGAGAACTAAAATTAGAAGTAGAGCCTGAAGTTCTGACTGAATTGCTACAATCTCATGATAAAACCTGAATGGATAAGAAATTGCTTCTTATGGATGAGCAAAGAAAGTGACCTCTTAAAATAGAAACTACTCGTGGTGAAGATTTTGTGAACATTGCTGAAATGATAACAAAGGATTTCTAATGTTATGTAAATCTATTTGATAAAGCTGTAGCGAGGGTTGAAAGGGTTGATTCCAATTTTGAATGAAGTTTTACTGTGGGTAAAATGCTACCAAATAGCATTTTGATTTCAGACAAATCTTTTCTGAAAGGAAGAGTTAATCAATGCAACAAGCTTATTTGTTGTCTTATTTTTAGAAATTGCCTTAGCTACCTTAATCTTCAGGAAGTCCCACCCTGGTCAGCAGCCATCAACACTAAAATAAGACCTTGCACCAGCAAAAAAGATTGCAACTCTTTGAAAGCTCAGATTATCCTTAGCATTTTTAGCAGTAAATTATTTTAAAATTACTATAGGTACTTTTTAAAGACATAATGCAATTGGACACCTAATAGACTACAGTATAGAGTGAACATAACTTTTATATGCACTGGGAAACCATAAACTTCGTGTGACTTGCTTTACTGGAATACCCACTTTATTGCAGTGGTCTGGAACTAAACCCTCCATATCTCTGAGGCAGGCATGTATGTTAAACAGATATCTGCACTTCTATGTACATTGTAGAATTATTCACAATAGCCAAGACATAGAGTCAACCTAAGTGTCTATCAACAGATTAATGAACATTAAAAATGTGGTATATATGCACAATAGAATACTAATCAGCTTTTAAAAAGAAGGAAATTCGGTCATTTGAAACCACATAGATGAACTTGGAGTACATTATGTTAAGTAAAATAAACCAGGCACAGAAAGACAAATATCACATTATCTACCTTATATGTGAAATCTGAAAAAGTTAAATTCATAGAAGCAGAGAGTATAATGGTGGTTACCAGACATTGGAGGAGGTGGTAGGGACTGGGGAGATGGTCACAGGATACAAAATTTCAGTTAGATAGTAGGAGCAGTCCAATAAATCTATTGTGCAGCATGGTGACTATACTTAAATATACTATTTTATGAAAATTGTTATTAGAATACATTTTAAGTGTTCTCACCAAAACCTTAAAAGTATATGATAGTGCATATATTAATTAGCTCTATTGTGCCATTTTACAATGTATACATACTTTAAAACATCATGTTGTACTCAATAAATATATACAATTTTCATTTGTAAATAAATAGTTAATAATTAGAAAACGTATTCACTACGAAAAAAATATAAGGACATAGATTTGTTTCAGAGTCCCAATTTTGAAAACCAAAAATTAAATATTCATTTCTTTTTCTCCTGGCCGTGATTTTCTAAAAGGTGTCAGAGCCCACCCAAACATATGATACTTCCAGTTGATACTACAGTCGTCCCTCAGTATCCTGGAGGAATTGGTTCCAGGACCCCCAGTGATACTAAAATCCACTCATGCTCAAGTTCTGCAATTGGCTCTGTGGAACCTGCAGATAGGAAAAGTCAGCCTTCTGTGTACACAGGTTTTGAATCCTGCAAATACTTTATTTTTGATCTGTATTTGGTTGCAGATGTGGAACCTACCAATATGGAGGATTGACTGTTTTTATTGAAAAAGATCCAACCATAAGTGGACCCATGCAGTTCACACCTATGTTGTTCAAGGGTCAATTGTGTTTGTCAGGATATTTAATAATTATAAATATTCGTATTGCCCCAAATCCTTCAAACAATCTTGGGGTCAGTATAATTGTCTATACTTTATAGATAAAGGAAACGTTACTTAGATGAATTCATCTAAAGTCACACAGGTGATTAAATGGCAGTGGTAAAACTATGTTTGAATAAATGACTAAATGATTCTTGATTACACGTGCAAATCAAAGAAACACCAAATAAATGAATACCAAATATATTGCTATGATATAGAGATACTTTACTCATTAGCATTGTTGGTTACAAGCACTTCACTGGCTGACTTAGGCAAAAAAGAATTCATTATTGAGGAAAGACCTTAGCACTCAGCTTGGGAACAGAGAGCAACTCTTAAGGACCATATTGTGTTCCCTCAAAATTCACATGTTGAAGGCTTAACCCCCAATGTGACTGTATTTGGAGACAGAGCCTTTAGGGAAGTAGTTAACGATTAAAGAGACTTCTAGATCAACAAGGAAACTGGCAGATAATATGGTCTCAAATAGCTGATGGCAATTAGAAGAAGAATATTTGTCTGTACATCTCACTTGAGAGCTCTTGGCAAAGGTTCTGTGGCCTTAATCCTGGATCGGCTATTTTCATTTCATGTAATTTTGAGCAAGCTATTTACCCTATCTCTATCTCAATTTCCTGCTCCATAAAATGTGGATAATAGTAATGATTACCTCATAGAGTTGTTGTGAGGACCAAATGAAACAATATACTAAGAAGTTTGAATGTACCTGGCATATTGTTAATTTCTCAATAAATGTAGGTCATTGTTATTCAAAACGTATAGTCAGGCAATTTGGAAACATCACTGAATTTCTGTTAGTTACATTCTCAGTGTCCTTTAATTGAATGTCCATAGCAGCTTTAAAAGACTTTCCTGGTAATAGCAAATTCTTCTTCCTGAAGCATGAGGAAAAACTGGAGATGGGGTTGGGTATCTAATAGCCCCTACTGCAGAATTTTTATTGAGACTCATACGATCTCATGGAAAGAGGGTTAAGGGAACTGAGTTTAGAAGGAGTGAGCCTATGAAAGTTCTGCCAGAAGTAAACACATTCATAAATATAGTCATTTGGTTTCACAGTCATGAAAATATCTTAATGAAGACTTTAAGCAAATTATCATCTACCAATTTACATATTATTTCCATTCAAAGAATTAAAATTATTGATGCTTCTAGTGGATCAATCCAGAAACTCAGATGCCAGCCTTCTCACTCTTTCTCAATCAATGACCAAATTCTGCAAACTCTACCTTTGAATTATCTCAAATCTATGGATCTCTTCTCGTCTCAGTAGGCTATCATGCTAGCTCAGGTGGCAATCATCCCTTGTGTGTATCCCACTAACAGACATCTTCCTCCCAACCATGTTTTTCCAGTCCTAACTTTCCAGTGGCTTGCCATCTCCCCTGTGATGATTTAGAAACTCTTTAACATTACTTATGAATCTTTTCCCACATGTCACCCACCTATTTCTGTAGTTCTACAGAAGTGAGGAAGATACACCCAGGAACCATATAATAGTAATCATGTCTCTCAGATGTCTGGAGTTTCTGGCAGTGTCCAAATATTATGTAATACAATTCTTTGGAAGAAGGCCAACTCAATTGTCTATCTTTTTTGTTTTTTTAATTCTTTTTAATATTTAATTTTTGTGGGTACAGAGTATGTGCATATACTGATGCAAAAATCCTCAACAAAATACTAGCAAACCAAATTCAACAATAACATTAGAAAGATTATTCATCATGACCAACTGGGATGTATCCCTAGGATGCAAGGATAGTTCAAAATATGCAAATCAACCAGTGCGATACACCATATCAACAGAATGAAAGATAAAATCCATATAATCATCTCAATGGATGCTAAAAAGGGTAGTGGCCAGCCCCACAGGGTCTGTGCGTTTTTCTCCACATGTGCAGAGATGAGAGATCATAGAAATAAAGACACAAGACAAAGAGATAAAAGAAAAGACAACTGGGCCCGGGGGACCACTACCACCAAGATGCGGAGACCAGTAGTGGCCCCGAATGCCTGGCTGCACTGTTATTTATTGGATACAAGGCAAAAGGGGCAGGGTAAAGAGTGTGAGTCATCTCCAATGATTGATAAGGTCACGTGAGTCACGTGTCCACCAGACAGGGGGCCCTTCCCTGTTTGGCAGCCAAGGCAGAGAGAGTACAGCTTATGCCATTATTTATTCTATGCTCTTTTCAGAAAGATCAAAGACTTTAATACTTTCACTAATTTTGCTACTGCTATCTAGAGGGCAGAGCCAGGTGCCCAGAGTAGAACATGAAAGTGAAACAGGAGCATGACCGCTGAAGCACAGCATCACAGGGAGATGGTTAGGCCTCCAGATAACTGTGGGTGGGCCTGACTGATGTCAGGCCCTCCACAAGAGTGGTGGAGCAGAGTCTTCTCTAAACTCCCCTGGGGAAAGGGAGACTCCCTTTCCTGGTCTGCTAAGTAGCAGGTGCTTTTCCTTGGCACTGATGCTACCGCTAGACCATGTCCACTTGGTAATGGGCATCTTCCCAGATGCTGGCATTACTGCTAGACCAAGGAGCCATCTAGTGGCCCTGTCTGGGCATGACAGAGGGCTCACACTCTCGTCTTCTGGTCACTTCTCACCATGCCCCTTCAGCTCCTATCTCTGTATGGCCTGGTTTTTCCTGGGTTATGATTGTAGAGTGAAGATTATTATAATATTGGAATAAAGAGTAATTGCTACAAATTAATGATTAATGATATTCATATATAATCATATCTATGATCTATATCTAGTATAACTCTTGTTATTTTATATATTTATCACACTGGAACAGCTCGTGCCCTCGGTCTCTTGCCTCAGGTGGCTTACCGCCCACAAAAAAGCATTTGATAAGATTCAACATCCCTTCATAATAAAACCTCTGAACAAACTGGGAATAGAAGAAACATGCCTCAACAGGTTAAAAGCTATATATGACAGACCTACAGCTAGTATCACACTGAATGGGGAAAAGCTGAAAGCCTTTTTTCCAATAGCTGGAACACAACAAAGATGCCCACTTTTACCAGGGTTTGCTAGTATTTTGATGAGGATTTTTGCATCAATATTCATCAGAAATATTGGACTGTAGTTTTCTGTGTTTTGATGTGTCTTCGGTTTTGGTATCAGGATAATATTTGCCTCATAGAATGAGTTTGGAAGTATTCCCTTCTCTATTTTTTTCACTTTTCCTGTTTTTCTATTGGAATTGTTTATCTTTTTTTAATTATACTTTAAGTTCTGGGATACATGTGCTGAACGTGCAGCTTTGTTCCATAGGTATAAGCGAGCTATGGTAGTTTGCTGCACCCATCAACCTGTCATCTACATTAGGTATTTCTCCTAATACTATCCCTCTCCCAGGCCCCCACCTACCAGCAGGCTCCAGTGTATGATGTTCCCCTCCCTTTGTCCATGTGTTCTCATTGTTCAACTCCCACTTATAAGTGAGAACATGCGGTGTTTGGTTTTCTGTTCTTGTGTTAGTTTGCTGCCTTCTCCTGCATTTTTCAGAACAGTTTGAGTAGGATTGATATTCTTCTTTAAATGTTTGGTAGAATTCAGCAGTGAAGCTGTCAGATCCTGGGCTTTTCTTTACTGAGAGACTTTAGTATAGCTTCAGTCTTGTGTCTTGCTATTGGTCTGTTCAGGTTTTGGATTTTGACCTCGTTCAATCTTGGTGGATCATATGTGTCTAGAAATTTGTCATTTTTTTTAGGTTTTCCAATTTATTGATATATAGGCCAGGTGTGGTGGCTCATGCCTGTAATCCTAGCACTTTGGGAGGCCAAGGTAGGTGGATTGCTTGAGCTCAGGTGTTTCTATTTAGGATAAAAGTAGTTTATACACCACAGTTAACAGCGTTATAATATTCTGTCTGTTCGTGTGTACTTATTATTACCTGTGAGTTTTAAAACTTCTGGTGATTATTTATTGCTCACTAATGTTCCTTTCTTTCTCAATGTTCTGTTCTTTCTTTAGCATTTCTTGTAGGAAAGGTCTGATATTGATGAAATCCCTCAGCTCTTGTCTGGGAAAGTATTCTTCCTTCATTTTTGAAGAATATTTTTGTGAGATAATATTCTAGGGTAAAAGGTATTTTTCCTTCAGCACTTTAAGTGTGTCATGCCACTGTCTCCTAGGTTTCCACTGAAAAATCTGCTGTCAGATGTATTGTATCTCCATTGTATGTTATTTATTTCTTTTCTCTTGCTGCTTTTATGTTTCTTTCTCCTTGACCTTTGGGAGTTTGATTTTAAATGCCTTGAGATAGTCTTTGGGTTAAATCTGCTTGGTGTTCTACAACTTTCCTGTACTCAGATACTGATATCTTTCTCTGGTATGGGGAAGTTCTCTGTTATTATTTCTTTAAATAAACTTTCTACCCCATCTCCATCTCTACCTTCTCTTTAAGGCCAATAATTCTTAGATTTGCCCTTTCAAGGCTATTTTCTATAACCTGTAGATGTGTTTTGTTGTTTTTTAATTTTTTTATTTTGTATCTTTTGAAAGCGCATTTTTAAATAGCCTGTCTTCAAGCTCACTAATTCTTTTTTCTGCTTTGTTAATTCTGCGAATAAAGGTCCCTGATAGATTCTTCAGTATGACAATTGCATTTTTCAGCTCCAGAATTTCTGATTCTTTTTAACTATTTCAATCTGTCTGTTAAATGTATCTGATAGAATTCTGCATTTCTTCTCTGTGTTATCTTAAGTTTCTTTGAGTTTCCTCAACACAGGTATTCTGAATTCTCTCTCTGAAGGGTCACATATCTCCATTTCTCCAGGATTGGTCCCAGGTGTCTTATTAAGTTGATTTGGTGAGGTCCCATTCTTCTCAATGCTGTAGATGCTAGTAGATGTTCTTCAGTGTCTGAGCACTGAAGAGTTAGGTGTTTGCTCTAGTCTTCACTGTCTGGGCTTATTTGTAGCCATCCTTGTTGGAAAGGCTTTCCAGATATTTGAAAAGATGTAGGTATCATGATTTAAGCTGTCTCTACTTCAGAGAGCATCCCAAGCCCAGTAATACTGTGGTTTTTGAAGACTCATAAAGGTACCGCCTCAATAGTCTTGGAGAAGATATGGGAGAATTCTCTGGATTACCAGGCAGAGACTGTTCTGTTTTCTTCCCTTACTTTCTCAAAAAAAAAAAAAAAAAAAAAAAGCCTCTCTCTCTGTTCTGAGCCAACTAAAATTGGGGGTGGAGTGACATAAGCACTCCTGTGGCCACCGCCATTATGACTGTGCTAGATCAGGCCTGAGGTCCGCACAGCACTGCATCTTGACCAAGGCCTGCTGTAATCACTCCTTGGCTACTGCCTATGTTCACTTAAGGCTCTGGAACTCTACAATCAGAAGGTAGCAAAGCCAGCAAGGCCTGTGTGCTTCCCATCAGGGCAGTGAGATTCCTCAGGCCCTGAGATACAGATGTGCTGTCCAGAAGTCAAGGACTAGAGTCAAAAACATTAGAGGGCTACCTGGTGTTCTATTATATTGCAGTTGAGCTGAGGTTCAAACCACAAGATGAAGTTCTTCCCACTTTTGCCTTTTCTTTCCAAAGACAGAGGAGTCTCACCACATAGTCACCCCTACCCACTGGTTGCCAGACTACCAACCAGTGTTCTCTTAAGGCCTAAGGGCTCTTAAATCAGCTTGTAGTAAAGTCTACCTGGCCTGGGACTCACCTTTCCGGGCAGTGGGCTTCCTTCTGGCCCAGGGAAGGTCCAGAAATGCTGTTCAAGAGCTAAGTCCTGCAATTGGGGATGTCAAGAGCCCACTTGCTGCTCTACCATGCTGTGGCTGTGCTGGCACCTAAGGTGCAAAACAAAGTCTCTTTACTTCTCCTTCCACATTTCTGAAGCAGAAGGAATCTTGCCCCAGAGCTGCCACAGCTGGAAATGTGCTGAGTCTCACCTGAAACCTGCTATCCTCAGATGCTCACGCAAGGTCCTCAATGTACTAATAGTACATGGGTACTGCTGTAGGTTATTCAGGGCTCAGGGTATCTTCTACCAGGTGATGAATGCTGTGAGGACTGGATCCTTTTTTTCAATGCAGAGAGTTCCCTTCCAGCCCAGCAAATGTCTAGAAATGTTGTCTGGGAGCTGGGGCCTGGAACGGGGGCCTCACAACTCTATTTGGTGCCTTATCCTGTTGTGGCTGAGCTGATATCCAAGATGCAAGATGAAGTTCGCCTTACTGTTTCTTTTTCATTCCTCAAGCAGAGGGAAGGAGTCTCTTTAGCAGCTGTGAGCTATGCAGCCTGGGGTTAGGGAAGAGGTGATACCAGCTCTCCTTTGACTGACCCAGCTGGTGTCTCAGTATGTCAAGTGTCCCCCCAGTCCACAATTTCTGAGCCTAATTCAGCACTAGGACTCACTTAAGAGTTGCAGTCCTTATGGTTTACACTGCCTTTCACGTTTACTTGGAAACACAGAGAACTTTAGGCCCTCTGTGGTGAGGTTTTCAGTCACTGAAGTTTTGACTGCTGGGATTGGTGATTCCCCTCGGGTTAGGACTGGTTTAAATGCTCCCTCTGCCTCCATGGGCAGGTGTCAGCTGAGTTTGGTCTAGTTTTCCTTTGTGTCTAACATGACAGCAATGAGTTCAATGCCTCATAATTGCTGTGTTCTTTCTACCCCCGTGCCCAGAGATATACTGTGCACCACACTACTGCTACTGAGGTTGGGAGGGATGGGGATTGGTGATTCAAGACTGTTTTTTACTGTCTCTTCAGTGCCTCTTTCAGGGATATGAAGTCAAAACCAGGTACTATGAGTGCTCACTTGATTTTTGGCTCTCATGAAGGTATTTTTTTCTGTGTAGTTGTTAAGTTGGTGCCTTGTGGGGTATGGGGAAATGATTAGTGGAGCCTTCTATTCTGCCACTTGCTTTGCTTCTCCTCCCCATTATAAACTATATAAAAAAAATTTAATGGCTCAAGAAATTACTTAAGTAATACTCAGTATAGAAAAAAAATATGTGTTCTCTCAACTATCCACAGTTTGCTGTCAATTATGGAATAAAACATATGTATTGACTAGTTGAAATGGACCATTTTTTAAAAAGGATGATTAGTTTACTGTATAACTCTATAAACTTTGATATGTATTTAACAAAATAATCGTTTACAATTATGAATATGTAAAATTCTTTGATAGATTATGTGAACCACTTTTGGTTCAAAAAGTAGAGTAACTAAAACTATAAAACTCAATGCCTTACATAGCAAGAATGTGTAGATAGTATTAAATTATCACTGATAATTTTTATATGTCATCTGGAGTAGATGATTTAGGTTTGTAAGAAGATATAAACTGCCTAAGGGTAGAGAATCACTCTCTATGGAATCATAGTGTCATTAAAATAATTCGATATTTGGCCTCATGTTCCAGACATTGCCACTGGTTAGTTTTGTGACCTGGGGGAAGACATTTATTTTTTTCTCAGCAACAGCTTCCTTATTTGTGTAAAAATAACTCTTGCTTTTCTCATGCTATAAATGATTACAATTTGTGAAGTTTCTTTCACTTCCAGAAAGTGGGTGAATTTTTTTTTAATTAGAGATAGTATCTCACCCTGTTCCCCAGGCTGAAGTGCAGTGGTGAAATAGCTTACTGCGATCTCAAGTTTCTGGGCTCACGTAATCTTTCCATCTCAGTCTGCTGAGTAGTTGGGACTATAGACACATGCCACTACATCTGGCTAATTAAAAACCAAAATTTTAAAGACTGGGGTTTTATTAGGTCGCCCTGGCTTGTATCAAGTTTTTGCCCTCAAGCGACCCTCCTGCCTGAGCTTCCCAAGTAGTTGGTATTACCGATGTGAGCCACTGCACCCAGTATAAAAATTTTATAACTTATATTTTCCCATGTTTTAATCTCAATGTCTTCAAAATGTAATGTTGATCAGATTCTTTTAGATAGCTTTTTATAACATACAGATTGCCAGGCACTCTGGGAGCCTCTGATTTACCTGATCTGGAAAAGTTCTTGTATTGTTAACAAACAAGCCTAATTGATCTTGAAGGAGGTGGTGTGAGGAACACACTTTGAAAAACAATGTTTGTCTCTATTCCACTACAAAGCTAATTCCAGTCCCCCTGAAACTTTTCTCCAGTAATTGATTTTTCTTCTTAAACTTACAATGCCCCTCCCTGTTGCTCCACTTTAGACAACCAGAGGACAAGGTATATGAAACTGAGTTCTCATTATTACAGTAACTTCCTTGAGGCATTTTTGGCTTTTTCCAAGCCACAAATGGTTGAAAGTATTAAGCCAAGTATTTTGCATTGAAATCAAACTTTCCAACTCTTTGTTTGCTCTACTGACATCATTTAAATAAGGCTGCAGCTGTGCTATTTTTGCCAACAATGGAAAATTGACTTAATATTGTTCTAGAATAGCCTTTCAGCTACAAGAGGTTATATATAAATCAAAAGCTTCTTGAGTAAAACTTCTTAGAATTGTAGAAGCTGCTCAATATGGAACATATTCTCAGTCCTCCTCTGGTCTACAAAGCCTGTGATTTCTTGTCTATGGACAGAACGTCTGGTTTAATCTACAGGAACCCATAACTTCCTGAAGCTTTATGCTTAACAGTGACAACGTGAGTCAGTTGAATTTTATTGTGTTTCAGTCCGTAGAGTATTAGCTACAGAAACCTTTCCATTGCCATACTGAGAAACTGCAGCAGGCAGTGTGCCTACAGGTCTACAAAGAAACTTCAGGTAAGCAGAATTATTTAGAACAGCCTTTTTATCTTGGCAGTTCAATTAATTTGGATTCTTGTTCTAAATCATTTGTATTTGTTAATTTATTTCTTTTCCCCTGCAAACCCTTGGAAAGAGCACTCCCCAGGGTCTCAATGTTGAGAATGAATTCTTCAAAACCTTTTAGGTACCTGAAACTGGAAATACTTCAGAAAAAGCCAGTGCGTATCCTTTTGAATTTGTAAAATGTCCAAATGCTTTCCTTGAATTATAAGTTATCAATATGCTTGTACCTTTCTCTGACACCCTCTAGATCTCCATAGTAATACTGTTAGCAGAAAAAAAAAATCAATATTCTCCTTGCCTCCAATCCTGCTTCTAAAGTATTAGTGGTTTATTTGCATAGAAAAATCTTCCTTCTTCCTTCTGTGTCATGTGGCTAGAATAAAACAATGCTTTTCTGTTGCCCTCTGCCAAATTTCTCTCCATTCATTGAAACATTTGGCAACTGGTATCCTAATGTTTCTCTCCAACAAACTTCTGCTACATCCTATTCATGTCTGTGGTACCTGAAACTCCCATTCCCTTCTTGGCTCCTACTCTGTTGACTTGGAGTTGAAGCCAACAGCCCTACATCCCAAACTGATCTACCTCTGAGTGCCTCTGACATCTTAACCTCTAATAGTCTAATATCTGATCCCAATCTCCTATTTTTAAGTACATTTTTCCCTGTCTATTAACATTGCTATTCTTTGACTTCATCAAGTACTTTCTTCCATGGCTTTTTCTATATTTTCTTACTTTATTGGTCTCCAACCTACTTTACTTTTTCTCTTCTCTCTCCTGGATGCTACAGTTTGTAAGTTTCAATCTCTCATTTCTATATATTCAAATGCTTTGTACCTTATCTTTTTTGCTACACCAGCCCTGAAAAAACCAACCTTGGTTTGTTTTAATTTGTCTTCTCTGCTTCTACTCTCAGGGAGCTGAGCTCAATATATTGTTGAGTAACACTTCCAAATCATAGTGTCCATCTTTACATTATCCTAAGCATGCTTGCTAGTCCTTGCTAATTCTAGTCCACTCTTTCTCCCATTAACATCAAAAGCCATTTAAACCCTAACTGTTTCCCATAAAATCCTACTTCTTTTTCTCGACACTTTCTTGGCATACTCCCTCACCCACTTACTGCTAAAAAGTGATTTTGGAAATAGGAAAAAATTTTACCTCTTCCAGGAAACAGACATTCAAAAATAACTTGCCAACTCTCTGCTCTTTTTTTCTAACCCTGTGTACTCCCATATAAAATTAGTCCTCACTTAACATTGTCAATAGGTTCTTGGAAACTGCAATTTCAAATGAAACAACATATAACAAAATTAATTTTACCATAAGCTAATTAGTATAAAGAAGAGTTAAGTTCCTACAGCATATTTCTGGTCACAAAAACATCACCAAACTTATAAATAAAGAACCCAAACACTTCTAATATAAAACAATGAACTAAATGGAAACTGCGTATACATTTAATAAATATTAATAAAAACAAGATAATTATTTACCTAATTTTTGGTGAGTCTGTGTGATGGTGGTCACAGTAGTGGTGGGTTAAATTGAGAAATAAATGTTTGCAAAGCAAAAGTTGTAAGGAGCACCTCTTGCCTCTATGAAGTTAAAATTCAATCACAAATATGGTGGCCTCACTGAGTCCTTTGGCACAGCATTGTTTATTGTCATTCATTTGTATGATTATCATAGACTTCATGAATTTTTGTTTTATTATGAATGTTTCATTCATTCATTCATTCATTCATTCATTTTTCAACTGGCTTTTTCCAGTTCAGGGGAGCAAGTGACTGAAGCCTGTCCTGGTAGCTCAGAGCACAAGGCAGGAACCCACCCCAGACTGGACACCTTTCCATCACAGGGCGCACACACACACACACACACACACACACACACACACACACACACAGAGTCTCACTCATCCTGGGACAATTTAGACAGAGAAAATCCATGCAGACATGAGGAGAACAGGCAAACTGCACATAGACAGTAGTCCAGCCAGGAATTGATGTTTTTCTCTTCACCATTGTAATGAAAAGATATTGAACAAAATGACATTATTTGATGACCTGCTGTATACGTACATACATACACCTGCATCTGCATCCATCCTAATTTTTTTTCTGACTTTTCACTGAAAGAAGTATTCTTCCAGTCCAAAACTTAATTTCACAAGTATGCTGAGAATTATCATTGACGATTACATGAATTAATCAACATAAAGAAGCTGAAATAGGGTTGGCATTTTGTATATAAGGTCAATGAATTTCTGTCACCTTTCTATGTCCTGTTTACACATTGGCCTATTAATGACTTACATCTTACCTCTTGTAGTTAGTATAGGTATGCTTAACTCTCATCTAATAAGAGAAATGCCTTTTTTGAGCTCTTGTACCTCTCCTCTGTCCTTCGATATTCTCATGTTCTTCTTCCTTTCCTGGTCAAGCTCTTTGAAAAAGTTACCTTCACTTCCTCACGTTTCATTCCACATCTCTTACCAAGTCAGTAATCAACTCCTAACTCCAAAATGCACTGCCATCTTTAGTACTCATATCTTTTAGCTTCTCAGCAGCCTTTGACTGCTTTGGTCGCTCTTTCCTTGAAGTTGATTGCTCTCCTTTGTGGAATATGCTACCAAAGCCTGCAGAATGGGCAGAATGCTGTGCCATTTGGTTAGTGCACCCATCATCCTAGACAGTGACAGAAACACATTAGCTTTTTCTAGATCTGTGGTTTGCCTCAAAATATCTATTTTGTGTCAATAGATTTATTCAAGCAAGTTACATGTAGTCCATCTTTGAAGTTGCAGTTTTCTTCATTTATGTTTCTGTCCGGTGGAATGGTCACCTTCACTGGATTAGAGGTCTTTAAAATGTCCTTCAGAACCTTGTATATACACAAATTACCACCATGCTAAACACTTCACATACCTTTTCTGGCAATGAAATCCTCATGACAACCTACAAAGTAGATATTACTATCCCCATTTTATAGATAATGCAACTGAGGCAGAGACTCAAATAATTTGACTTACCTAAGGTGACCCAGATAGCCAGAGGAGGAGCCAGGGGTGGAGTTTTGGTTTGTTTAATTCCAAAGCCCATGTTGTTAACCACTGTGCTTCCTTTTGTATTGATTATGGCTATACACTTACATATATACATGCATACATAGATGTCATATTTACTGAGTTTTCTAGGATTGCAAAAAATATTAATGGCTTCCTTGCAAACCATCAAAATAGTGTAGAAAATTTTCTATTTGTTGGTTCTTGGAAAATATGGCCATTCTTATATATTGTCTTCAAGTATCATATGAGGTATTACATATTTATATATATTGTCAGCCGTGTATATGGCTGGAAGAAAGTTCAAAAGTTCATATTTATATCTTATTTATATACTACTTTGTTTCAGAAAGACTTTCAGGTGGGTATATGCAAATGTACATATACACAGATAACCATTCACCTATGCATCTTTATATTATTATTTTTTTAATTTTTATTTTATTTTATTTTATTTTATTTTATTTTATTTTATTTTTTGAGATAGAGTCTCACACTGTCACCCAGGCTGGAATGCAGTGGTGCGATATCAGATCACTGCAACCTCCTCTTCCTTGGTTCAAGCAATTCTCCTGCCTCAGCCTCCTGAGTAGCTGGGACTACTGACACTCACCACCACACCCAGGTAGTTTTTTGTATTTTTAGAAGAGACGGGGTTTCACTATGTTGGCCAGGCTGATCTCAAACTCCTGACCTTGTGATCTGCCCGCCTTGGCCTCCCAAAGTGCTGGGATTACAGGCTGAGCCACTGCACCTGGCCTGCATCTTTATATTATTAATTGGGATTACATCATATGTTTTCCTGACTTTGTAACACAGACGTTTTCCTATGTCATTAAACACTCTTCAAAGACATCATTTTGATAGTTGCCTGGTAATCTATTATTTGGATACACCATCATTAACTTGATCATTTCTTCATAATGAATTTTGTATTATATCTTATATACAGTATATTATAATAAATTTTCTTATGTTTACATCCTTAAACATATCTATTATTATTTCCTTGGGATGAGTTTCAGGATGTGGAATTACTGAATAAAAGAGTTTGGTCTATTTTTAAGGTTGCTAACATATAATTCCAATTCCTAGATCTTGCCAATTTCTACTTGGTGGTATCATCACTAATCAACAATTTTTTCTTCCTATGGTTTTGTTCCTTAGGAGAAAAGGGACTACACACAATATAGTCTGCAAGATTTTTTTTTCAGAAGATTATATTCTTTCTTGATAGCTGAAAATAGTACCCATGCTATGGGAACATTAGAGCAAGTGTTTCAATGCTTGGGGGTGGTGGGCTCTCCAGAGGGACAATCCCTGAAGAGATGCATTATTTTTTATTTGTGCCTGGACAGCTGAAGGCATTCACTCTCCATATTCTTTTACTGGTTTGAATCAAATGAGCATGGGAGATATATTTTGCCAGATATGTTAATGTACTTTTTAAGTGGAATTGTATGGAGATTACTAAGGAGCCCTGAGGTCTAGTTACACCTCTGAGCTTTAATTTCTCATTTGTAAACTGAAAAGTTTGGACTAGATAATTTCTAAAGCCCATCACTGCTAATAGTGTATGATGTCCCTGGTGACTTCTCCTTCCTCTTCTTTCTGGACACCTATCATATCTCTCTAGGTATTTTTGTTTTTGTGTTTATTTCCTTAGATCATCTTCTTGAGGGAAAGAAGCTGAAGTGCTACATAAGATGCTTGTGCTTCATAACTCTCAGAAGCTGCAGATTCTGTATAAATCCTTAGAAAAGAGCATCCCTGAATCCATAAAGGTAACGGAGTAGGAGGAGATCAAAGGAGAGAGAGGGTTGAGTTGAGAGGAGGACAGATTCAGGATTCATAACCTTAATGGGGAGATGGGAATGCAAGTCTAAAGTGAGAATCTGTGCAAAGATTACTTTAATATCAATATCCAGTCAATCACCCACTTTGCTTCCTTTTTGTGACCTCTTAAACATCTTTTGAATTTATCCTTCTGCTATCTTTGGTGTACTTTGTCATCTCTTCCAGGTAATTGCAATACCTCCTTGTCTCCAATCTTAACAGCCTAGTTACAACTTTGTGATGAGAGTCATCTATATGACACATATAGGGTCATATCACTCCCTGGTTTTAAAATTTGCCATAGCAAATTTGCAGAGTCCATCTCCAAGGCTTAATTGGGTTACAGGGCTTATCCCAAAATTCTCCAGCCTTTTTTATTTTGCCTCTCAACATTCTCCTGCCATATACCACTTGCTACAAATATTGAGCCCCTCACAGTTCAGTAGGCATGATATCATCTGCCATACTCTTAATCATTTCACTCATGCTTTTTCTCCTACTTGTAATAACTTGCTCTCATTCTCTATTTTGCCAGAAAAAGGCATAACATATTCATCAAGACCCAGTTCAGATATTGCTTCTGATATTGTAAGTTTCCTTATCACTTCCTAGACAGGTAGTGCTTTTCCTCCTTGGGATCCTACACCACCATATACATATATCTCTCAGACCACGTGTCCTACGATGGTTGAACTATGTACTCTCTATCCTTCTAAACTTAACTTTAGGGTTGTAGCCATATCATATTCACCTTTGAGTTTTTCATGCTTAAGACAGACCTGATACATAATAGATGCCAAATAAATAGTGTGTTATGAAATAAAGAAAAAAACTGAGAAAATGGCATGAATTTTTTAGAAATGAATGAATATCAGGGAAGCCAGTTCCTAATGACTCAGGTATTAACTTGGATTTTTGTGGATGCTTTTTGGGCCGTCTAGCAGCATAACTCTCAATGAGTAGCCCAATGAGCCATCCTGGAAGCACTGGCCCATCCTAAGTCCTCCTATACTTCTTGTCCTTATTTCTCATGTCATGTCTTATTTCTCCACATATAAGACTCTATATTGGAGAAGAACTTCATCCTCTCCTGCTTTGTTCTGTTGCATCGTAGGTATATGGCGCCATTTTCAACATAAAAGATAAAAACCCTTTCAACATGGAGGTGCTGGTAGATGCCTGGCCAGATTACCAGATCGTCATTACCCGGCCTCAGAAACAGGTAGGAGCAATAGTTACTGAATATGAGGGTAGTCACTCTCCAGACGTTCTCTGCATGGCAATGAGGGAACTGAAACTGAGGAGTGGTGAGAAGAACATTGACACTGTTGATGTATGCAGGTTTTGGAAGGGCTGTTTGGGAGACAGGGTAGGGCAGTGAGATAAGGCTTGAACTTAGATCCAGTGATCAGTAATCCAGGATGTGTAAATAAAATTAGGATTCCACCCAGTCAATCTATTCCATCAAGATTCTGATCATAGGAATACATCCCAACCTAGACTTCTATGGCTGAAAGTGATTAAGAAGTGTTTTCACCTGCAAGGACTCCCAAGGGGAAGTGTCAACAGCAGAGGGTAGGCAGGCATATGGAGGCAGACTGAGCTGTCTATTCTAGGTACTACTCTGGCTCTGGAATGATGGTTCTTTCCAAAACTTCATCTATTCACATGCACACCAAGAGCCAATCACTGAGCCAGCCCCCTGGGTCAGGATTAGCTCAGGTGACACCTTGTCAAAAACCTGGAGCCTTGCCAAACCTGTTCTTTATATTTCTTTCCATACCTTAGGCACCTTCACTTTTAAATGCTTAACATACACCATTTAGGGTACACTTCCCATTCTAGACAATGGAGTTATTTACTCACCCTCTCAAGGGCAGCTCACTTTAGTGCCCTAAAAGAAAGCAACTATCTTCAGTGTATCAAGAGTGAGTTATTCTTGAAGTGACTCCAAGGCCATTTTCTACACCTGTCTCAGAAAAACAGAATATTTCAAACAATTGAATCTCTAGCACTCTAGACCTATGCAAGAACATTTTGTAAATTGTAGCGCTATGTAAATATAATTGATATTTGTTATATCAGGAGATGAAAGATGACCAGGATCATTATACCAACACTTACCACATCTTCACCAAAGCTCCTGACAAATTAGAGGAAGTCCTGTCATACTCCAATGTAATCAGCTGGGAGCAAACTTTGCAGATCCAAGGTAACTAGTCTGAGTTAAAAGAAAAAGATCCATGGTTTATTCCTAGCCGATATGGAAGGCATAAAGTGGTACTTGTCTTTCTCCTTTCTCCAGGTTGCCAAGAGGGCTTGGATGAAGCAATAAGAAAGGTTGCAACTTCAAAATCAGTGCAGGTAGATTACATGAAAACCATCCTCTTTATACCGGAATTACCAAAGAAACACAAGACCTCAAGTAATGACAAGATGGAGTTATTTGAAGTGGATGATGATAACAAGTGAGATTTTACCTTTTGCTTCCCAAATTCCTTGATAGAATTACTGAGTTGCCACAAAGGCTGTACTTGGAAATGTAGGATTTGAGACTAAATTATGATGGGCTACACAATTGCATGGGTAAAGAAAGGGAGTTATGTTAGCAACTGTGTACTGAGCATGGACATAGCCTTCATTAGACAAGGTCTTTATGCATATTATTTCACTTAGGGCTCACAACGTCCTTCTGAGAGGGTAATGGACATCATGGTGACATCAAAACATGTTTACTGAAACTATTTATGTCTTACAAAATGCTGCATGCTTATAGAAAATACATAAGTATATAAAATAAAAAATAAAATCTGTCCACTTGGGTTCCCTTGCTAGGTGTAAATAATTTTGACACTGATATGTATGCTTTTAGTACTCTATATGAGTTATGTATTTATTTTTACAACACATACACACTTTACTGCAACTTCTGCAATGAATATCATCATAAATAGATCATTGCACAGTTGTGTAAATATATCTGAAAGATGAATTACTAGAATTAAAATTGTTGAGTCAAATAATATGCATACTAAATAAATGATGTTAACAAACTGGATGGCAAGATTTTCATGAATTTAATGTGTGATATCATAACTTATGAAACAACCTAAACATCCAGTAATGGGGAAATGGATAAATTTATTATGGGACATTGAAACATTAGAATACTATGCAGCCATTAAAAAGAATGAAGTAGCTCTACACGACAGATTATAAAATATTTCCAAAATAGATTGCTACATGAAAAAAAATAAGGTGGATAGAACAATGTATATAATATGCTACCATTTGTGTAAATAAACAAATGTACATATACATCTAGAATTGCAGAGAATAACTGGAAAGTTGTAAAAAATATGTTGGCATTAGTGGTTGCTTCTAGACAAAGTAACTGGGTAATATGAGATCAGAGAAAGAAGAGAGATTTGCTTTCCTCTAGTAATCCATTTATGCTTTATATTTGTATTACTAATTGAAAAAATAAATAGAATTTAAACACACACTCACAGATACATTTGATTTAGCCAGAAAAGTCAACACTCTTCAAATCCTGCTTTGCCCCACCAGTGTTCATATGAGACACTTAAGGGGAACATATACACAGGGAAAATGATAAATGGGGATTAAATAATATTTAGTAGTATAACTCTGGAAATCTGGCATGAAATACCTGCCCTAAGGTGATTCCTCTAAGCCTACATGGATATCTTGGTATCTTGCCACTCTAGGTTTGGCTATCCACAGGAGAGGGTACAGGAAAGGGTACTTGAGATCTTTCAGGAAGCAAGTCCAGGATCAGGTGAAGTGAGCAAAAACAAAGCATCGCCCGTAGAAAACTTAGCGTTCTGTTACCCACCCACTGGCAAACATGAAGTGACTCTGAAACTGACAAACTTCTCAAAACTCTTTCTCCCTGGAGAGGGGCTAAACTTCCTGGAGATCTTCTCTCTTCCACCATCCCCATATTTACAGATGATATTACTGTAATTTCACAAGCAAGAAAACCAAGTAAACAAGAGAACATAACCTTTCCAAAAGAAAATAATCAGGATTAGAATCCCAATGGTTAGCACCAAAAATGTAGTATTCTTTTTCTTATATTGCAGCTTCTTAAACTGCGTTTCTGGGTATGTGATGAAGGGCTTTGGGACACATGAAGATGTAAGATCAGCATTGTTCTCATCTTCCTGTAAAATATGTTTTATTGGAATATCTGTTCAATGAAATACTATCTTGTATATTTAGATATCTTGTGATGCAGAACTCAAAATGCACATGGTTTCATACATGCATCTTTCAAGTAAATTCAGCCATGTGGAGGGCTTCTCTGGCCTATATTCACACTCTTTTAGGGACATGTGTTCATTTTCTTCCTTAGGGCACTTAGTGGGATATTTTGAGATGTCCTATAACATATCATGCTGTCTCTCTGCTATTAAATGGGCCGTAAAACACACAGTGTTCCCCCATCAACTATTTGGAAACATTTTGAAGCGGAAATAGAAAAGGTAGTTGTTATGCATCTATTGCCTCCTCCAGGCTGTAGGGTCCTTAAGGAAAGGAATGGTGTTATATTTATTTTTTGAAATTCCAGTGTTTGGTAATATTGGCTGAATAAATGTAAAATTCTTTTTCTTCACAGGGAAGGAAACTTTTCAAACATGTTCTTAGATGCTTCACATGCAGGTCTTGTGAATGAACACTGGGCCTTTGGGAAAAATGAGAGGAGCTTGAAATATATTGAACGCTGCCTCCAGGATTTTCTAGGATTTGGTGTGCTGGGTCCAGAGGGCCAGCTTGTCTCTTGGATTGTGATGGAACAGTCCTGTGAGTTGAGAATGGGTTATACTGTCCCCAAATACAGACACCAAGGCAACATGTTGCAAATTGGTTATCATCTTGAAAAGTATCTTTCTCAGAAAGAAATCCCATTTTATTTCCATGTGGCAGATAATAATGAGAAAAGCCTACAGGCACTGAACAATTTGGGGTTTAAGATTTGTCCTTGTGGCTGGCATCAGTGGAAATGCACCCCCAAGAAATATTGTTGATTGATTCCACTGTCCATTTCAAATCTTTCTTATCAGTAAAAAAACATTAATTCAAACACAAGCATTGTGATCTACATTAGCACAAAATGCAACTGATTATCTAGGATCTGTGTATTACTTAAGCTCACCCTTAACAGTTTTACCTTCCTTCTCCTCTGTATTCTTACAGAAAATTAGAAGCTCAATTTTATGGTCTCATAATTTCCTTTATGACAGACATCTCAGAATTAAAATCACCCAAAGCCAATCATTAGTGCCAAGATAACCCTTTAACGGCAACACTTTCTTAAATGAAGACTATTTCTTTCATGAAAAAATTCACTTTTATGACTTTCTTGTTAAAATAAAAAGTCTGCTTTTAAAAGTGTCTCCTCTGGTATTCTTCCCTTCCTTCTAAAAAGTTATCCCAAGGACTTTTAAAAAGCCCTCAGCATCATTGCTTTTTATTCGGAGTACCCTCTGAGGAGCTTTGAGATGCTCCGCTAAATTAAATTTTGTGGCCATGAGTGAAAATTTGGTTTTCTTACTTGCTTTTTATCACAAGGGGTTGCTAGGTTGAGTTGCAAATTTAAAGCTTAACTTTAAATTTTCAAGATAATTTTTATGTCTATGATGTATTAGTTTTGCCATTATAACAAATTATGATAAATATTATGACTTAAAGCAACACAATTTGTTATCTTATATTTATGGCAATCAGAAGTTCAGAATAGGATTTATGAGGCTAAACCCAACATGTTGGCAGGTACAGTTCCTTCTGGAGGTTATACGGGTAAATCAACTCCCTTGCCTTTTCCAGATCATACAGGCTGTCCTCACTCCTTAGCTTGTGTCTCTGTATCACATCATCTTTTATCTCTCTACTTTGATCATCATCGCATCACTTTCTTCTCTTCTACACTCAAATCTCCCTCTGCCTCCCTCTTAGAAGGACACTTGCATATACATAGGACCAACCTGGATAATCCAGGATAATCTCCCCATCTCAAGATTGTTAATTTAATCACACTTGTGAAATCTCTTTTGCCATATAACACTCAAAGCTTCTAGGGATTAGGACCTTAATATTTTTGGAGAGGCATTATTCGGCCACCCCTTATGTGTACAAGTGTATGTTTTTTCCTGAGCAAAGTTACCTCATACTTTCAGAATTTAAGTGTTCTCAGTCCAAGTCTGGTCATGATTTCTATATTCCAGGTCCATGTTGATGGAAAACTGAACTTACTCTAGCTTGACACCTTATCTATCTCAAATCCTATCAGCTATGACTTAAGGGTAAAGATCATTTAAAAAAATTGGTAGTTGGCCGAGCACGGTGGCTCACACCTGTAATCCCAGCACATTGGGAGGCCAAGGCTGGCAGATCGCGAGGTCCCGAGATGGAGACCAACCTGGCCAACAGGGTAAAACCCAGTCTCTACTAAAAATACAAAAATTAGCCAGGTGTGGTGGCAGGTGCCTGTAGTCTCAGCTACTCAGGAGGCTGAGGCAGGGGAGTCGCTTGAACCAGGGAGTCGGAGGTTGCAGTGAGCCAAGACTGTGCCACTGTAGTCCAGCCTGGCAACAGAGCAAGACCTCGTCTCAAAAAAAAGAAAAAAGAAAAAGTAATCAGAGCACATTCATAGAAGGGATTTGGGGGCGAAGACACCATAGATAAAAGGTTTAGTTAAATTTAGGCAAAATAGAATCAACATCTTCATCTTCAAAATATCCTTTTTGCTTGAAGATAGGTGCCTACCAAGGCTGGTAGAGATGATACAGTCAACCCACAACAGGGGACCACAGTCTGAAAATCCCTGTCATTCTCTGAAAAGAGAGAAGCTCCCAGGCACTCTGCCTTTACAGTGAGCCAGGAACTTAAGGACTTGGCTTCTCTCCAGACTCCACTTTTCCTATCCTAATTTACATTTTAGGACTTGGTCCTTATGATCAAACCTTCCAGCAGCCATGACACACCTTGGCTGTATAACTTAAAGTAGAAAGTGCTGACTCAAGATAGTATCGAAGTAATCACAGAGATGCAATAAAGTGAGTGAGAAATGTTCACACAATGATAAGACCTTACATTTTAGATAGCACTTAGATTCCAGGCAGCATTCCAAGTGTTTCACACATTTTAACACCTTTAGTACTCACAACTATCCCAAGAGGTAAGCAGGCATTGTCATTACAGAAGAGAAAACCACACTAGAGAGCATTTACATCCCTCCTCCAAGGCCATCTAATGAATAAGTGGCCAATTCAGGAAGTGAACTCAGCATGGCTTCCAAGATAGTACTCAACTTCTGAGATATAACTAGTGACAGAAGGCTAAGGCTTAATAAACATTAGCAAATTAAATTATGAATAATTGCATTTTAGCAATATCAGACTCTGGACAACAACATTCTCTTGTTGACTATGATCCATCATGTAATTTTGTACCAGAATCCTCCCAATTTCTAATAAAAAGACCCAGGGAGTCAGCCAACATACTTTATACCCCTTTTACTAATCAATTCTGATTGATCCTAGAGATAACATTAGCTCTAGAAACTCTTGCACAACTTTCAAGTCCTCACCTCAATGCCTCTGGCTGGATTTTTGTTGGCTGGATGACTTCACACAAGGGGTGCTCACACCAAATATTGAACCCAGAGATAGAGTATTTCATAGAAATATTTCTGCTATTGTGGGATCATTCTAATGTCCACAATCCTACCTAAAGCTAAGCCTAGAAGATGATTCAAACTTTGCTCCTCTAGGCAACACAAGGTAAGTGAAGTGTGAACGTTGCTTTGTGCTGCACTTGGCCAGCCTCTGGACTCTAGCTTTATTAAGAGAAGATGACAGTTGCCAAAAAAGTAACTTGTTGCTAAAAATTTACCAAAGTTGGTTAGTTAAGATTGGGTTCAAGTAGCAATGATCAACTTGAGTTACTCTGAGCATGAACAAAGTGTTTTATTTATTTGAATATAAATTAAAAATATAAAGATATGGATTCTCAAATACAAGAATATAGATTGACCCCCAGGAAAAAGGATAGACCCTGGAAATGGAAAACTACCAGGGGCTCTGGGACCACTTTTTCTCCATGCTTGTTTTCTCTGGACAGACAGGCTTAAAAAGTACACACACACACACACACACACACACACACACACACACACACACACAGTGGTAAAATATATATAACATAATATTTATTATTCTAACCACGGTAAGTACAATGCAGCGGTATTAAATATATCCACAATATTATATAACCATTCTCATTGTTTCAGAGGCGCAGACTGCAGAGCCGCCCAGGTCCTGAGCCTGGGAGGGCGGTTGCAGCTGCACCTCTGGGAGCTCTCGCCCTGCCAATACGCAAGAGGCAGGGCTCCCGCTTGTCCCCTGCTCCCCTGGCTCCCTGTAGCTTGCAGCCCCCGGGATGCCTCCGAAATGGGAACGGGCGCTGACAGCGGAGAGAAGCCACGCAGTGGGAGCAGGCACTTCCGAGCCTGTGGGAGGCAGAGGGGTCTTCCTGGGCCCCCAAGAACACAGAGACGCGTGATCCCGAGAGCCGAGAGCCGTGGCAGGGCGGCTGCAGGGGCACCCAGGGAGGGCGGGGCTCCTGCCGGCTCCGTGGAGCGTTATAGCTCTGGCCAGAGCCTCTCCGCGGTATCCTGTGTCTTGATAGCGGCGGCTCTAGATGGGCAGCTGTTTCCGTCACTATTACGTACACCTAAAACTTTTTCATCATCTCCAGCATGAACTCTGTACCCATTAAACAACTCCTCATACTCCCCTCCCTCCCAGATCCTGGTAACCTCTATTCTATGGTCTCCATGAATTTCTCTACTTTGGGCATGTCACAAAAGTGGATTCATACAATATGTATATATCATTTTGTATCTGACTTATTACACTTAGCATAACGTCATCAAGGTCCATTAATATTGTAGCATATATCAAAATTTAGCTTTTTTGTGGCTGAATAATATTCTACTGTATATATACACCATATTTTGTTTTTCCATTCATCTGTTGATGGACATTTGTGTTGTTTTCACCTTTGGCTATTGTGAATAACGTTGCTATGAATGTGAGTATACAAATATGTTTGAGGCCTTACTTTCAGTTCTTTGAGGTATATGTCTAGGAGTGAAGCTGCTGAATTACATGGTAGTTCTATGTTTAGCTTTTGGAGGAACTGCCAAACTGTTTTCCACAGTGGTTGCACTCTTTCTTTCCTTCCAGCAAAGCACAAGCGTTCCCTTTTCACTCCACATCCTTGTCAATAACTGTTATTTATCCCCTTTAAAAGAATTATAGCCATTCTAGTAAATGTAAAATGATATTTCATTGTGGTTTTGGTTTGCATTTCCCTAATGACTCATAATATTGAACATTTTTTATGTGCTTATTGGCCATTTGTGCAGATAGGCTCTTGAATTACAGCTCTAAATTTTTGCATTTCTGCCATTCAAATGACTCACTCAGATAGATACTTAACTTTCTTAGTCACAACTCCAAATTCATCAGTGACTACACCACTACACCTAAATGCAGCAGCCAGGTGCCCACTCCTGGCCCAGTCAGTTATGGCAAGTTCTGTGGCCCAAATACTATATCAAATAGTACCTCCTGGTGTCCCTTTGGGTGGAACAGAAGTGGGCAAGGGAAAGAAGTTAGCAGGAAAGGAATTACTTTTATCTGGAAATACCAAAAACTGACAACATTTCTCTTTTATTTATTTTATTTTACTTGGATTAGGATAAAACCACTGAACACAATAACTACACAATATTTGGCAAAAAATCCTCAATAAACTAAAGAAATAAGCTGAGTATTTTCTATGCAGAAAGCAGTATGTTCAGCTGAACTTGCTTCTCTTTTAGTTTTCTGATGGCCAAGCCCTAGTAGAACATTTAGGAATCAACTTTTCTCCTTATTTTTTTTTTTTTATAACTTTGGCATGTCTCTGTTCTGCCAGCCCCAAGTTGGCCCGTCCCTGTTACAGAGAAAGAAGACAAGGAACCTGCTGTCTTCTGTAGTTCCCAACATTTTATGCTTTTCTTCTTTAATCTTTTAGAAACTTTCTCCAAGGTAGAAAGATTTTTGAGGTGGCTCTTTAGGAAAGATTAAGAAAGCATTGGCAGGCATATTGGTGGCTTGGTGTGGAGAGCCAGTGGGAAAGCTTCAGTAAATTGCGTAGATCAGAACCACTTTTCACAGAAACTTTCCTTACTTATATGACATTTCCAAAAGGGAGTGGCAATACAACATACAATAACCTAAACAGTGGCCTATAAAGTGATATACTGTCACATCTAACTCAGGATGTGGTACACTGTAAGGGATGACGAGTTGAGGCTCAGAGACTAGGTTCAAGTTTTAGTTCTCTCTCTTGCTAGCTATGTGATCCATAGTAAGACCCTTCAACTCTCTGAGCCTCAGTTTCCTCATCTGTGGAATGGGGTAATTATGCCAATTTGGAATTGGCTTATTTATTGTATGTATAATATATAATATTGTAATGATCAAATGCAATAAAATAAAGAGTTTCTAGTATATAGGACATGCTGAAAAAATGGTTGTTTGATGATAATGTTGTTATAGTAGATATTTAATAAGTATTAGTACCTCTTTGATCCCCACTAGTCCCTCAAATTCTTTCTTAGCAGCCATTTTGACCCTGAAACTTTGAGACATGTCTCAGTTAATTTAGAATGTTTATTTTGCCAAGGTTGAGGACACATGCCGATGACACAGCCTCAGTAGGCCATGACAACATGTGCCCAAGGTAGTCAGAGCATAGTTCGGTTTTATACATTTTAGGGAGACATGAGACATCAATAATCAACATATGTAAGATGAACATAGGTTCGGTCTGGAAAGGCGGGACAACTTGAAGCAAAGGTGAGACAACACAAAGTGGGAGGGGGCTTGCAGGTCATAGGTAGATAAGAGACAAATGGTTGCATTCTTCTGAGTTTCTGATTAACCTCTCCAAAGGAAGCAAATAGATATGCATTTATCTCATTGAGCAGAGGGTTGACTTTGAATAGAATGAGAAACAGGTTGGCCCTCAGGAGTTCCCAGCTTGACTTTTTCCTTTAGATTAGTGATTTTGGGGGCCCAAGATGTTTTCCTTTCACATTTCCTCCCTTTTCTTTTTAAAAATCTTTTGGATAAATTATTTTAGAAGAAAATGACTCTCTGGTCCCAGGTTTTGTCTCATCTCTCATGGCTAAGATGGTTTATTCCTAGACAGGTAAGTCCTACATTATTAGGAAGGCTCATTTTTAGAAGGTTGTGAAGTCTCTTGTCCTATGAAGAGAAAATATGTGGAGAAAGGGAAAAAAAACAACAACAACAAGCAAAAGAACAATCCTGGAAAATCACTATAGGCCACATTACTCTGAAGTCCATATATCAGTAGGAAGGTATGAAAGTGGCTTATTTATATAAATAGGTTGCTATTATTTTCTTCTGAAGATTAAGTTATCTAGCTTCAGTTTGCAGGGCTTTACAAAGTCACAGCTTAGTTTTCTGTGACTCCAAATTAGGAAAAATACAAGAAAAAAGAAGGAGGCCGGGTGCGGTGGGTCACGCCTCTAATCCCAGCACTTTGGGAGGCCGAGACGGGCAGATCACGACGTCAGGAGATCAAGACCATCCTGGCTAACACGGTGAAACCCCGTCTCTACTAAAAATATAAAAAAAAATTAACCAGGCTTGGTGGCAGGCACCTGCAGTCCCAGCTACTCAGGAGGCTGAGGCAGGAGAATGGCATGAACCCGGAAGGTGGAGCTTGCAGTGAGCTGAGATCGTGCCACTGCACTCCAGCCTGGGTGACAGAGTGAGACTCCATCTCAAAATAAATAATTAATTAAATAAATAAAAATTTTAAAAAGAAGGAAAAAAATTGAACATTATTTTGAAAACTTGTAGCAAAGAAAAATTAGAATTCAGTCCAAAATGTAGAAAATAATAACAATGGAAAAATATTAGGCAAGACTAGAATCTAACAACAGGTATACTATAGTTTTTAAAACATAATTTTTCTGTCTCCACTTTCTCATATTTGCTAAAGACAAAAATCATGGTAAGACTGGTTTGCTTTATTATACTTGGCCTAATTATTTGTATACAGTATGGCAAGAATAATTATTTTTATATAGGCTTTTAAATTGGCTTTGATGGAACTTTGTTCCATAGAAGGAACTTCAGATAAGACTTTTTTTAAAGCTGAGCTCAGCCATGGATTTGTGTCATCAAATACCTATGAGTTGGGTGATCCTCCTCACTTGAGGTTCCAAGATATACTTGGGGCTCCTGGGACTGTCAGAAAGTGATATTCTTTACTCATCACAGATCAGGAACCCTGAACAGGGGCTGTGCAGAAAAAGATATGAGGACAGTTTTTCCAAGGGGCTTTTTTTGGCTCCATAAGTCAAGTTTGATTCCTTAAAGGAAAGTACACCATTCCAGTCAAAGCCTTGGGAAAATAACCAGTTTCTCCAATTTGTGTCCTGTTACAAATGAAAACAGATTCTTATTGCACTTGTGATAATAATTGTATTGTCATAAATTAAGAATTCTCACAAATAGTTTCCAAATTCTAGAGAAATCAGGTAGAGAGAAACAAATATGCTCCAAATTTTGTTCATATGAGTATACTTTACTCAATTGATAAAATCTGCAAATAGCTTAAAAGTTTTCTTGACTCTGAAAAACAAAGCTAAGAAGATTGCTTTAGTCTTCAATTAGTTCAGTTCACAAAGTTAACTCCTGTTCTCCTTGATATTCATGAACATTTCAGCTCTCCATGAGAGTGCTAAAAGTTTTTTCCTTTATTCTAATGTTACAATCTCCAAAGTTGTCATAAACCTGCATTCAAGAACACCTGTTTAAGTTCTGTAGTTGATTATAAAATCACCTGCTAAGGAGGATTTAAATGAGACAAAAATTGTCTGTGGATGACAAAAGGTTTTAGGGCAGCCATAGTCAAAGGCACAATTGACAAATCTTTTATCTATGTGTCACACAATAATTTGACATGACAATTTTAATTATTGCTGATAATGTACACTAAGTCATGGCAGAATTATATGAGTTTCCCATGATTTTGGAACACATACCAATAATATATTTATACAAATACAGCCTAAAAAACCCAAACACTATTTCATATTTGACAATGTTTTCTGTATAATTTTTATAGCAAATAAGCCAAATTATTTCATTTTTGGACTTTAGGAAACCTAATATCTTAAAGGATTAATTACATCAGAAGAAAACGATTTAGCATTTGATTTTGGAAAGTCCGTGATATATCAAAGGTTTAAAACACTTGATATCATGGATCATTGTAAAATAAGTCTTTCATCTGACCAAAGTGATAACTCAAGGACTTCAATAAAGAAGGCAAAAACCTTCATTTTTTGAGAGAGGAGACTTAAATTTCCAAATAATAAGCCCTAATAAAAACAGCATGAAGCCAATTAAATGTTTTTTTTTCAAAATTTTACAATCTATAAAATTTTAATCTTGATCATAAGATACAACTTCCATAACACTTTTATAACCTTTACAACCTTTATTTAGGAGTCAGTTAATGCTTCAAGAAAACCCTTGACACAGGGGCCCATATGCTGATCTTGCATATGTGTGCCTCTCACATTAATCATTAATTTATAGATAAACTGAATTTACTTTATCTCTCAAAATCAGCCCTTACAATCTCACATGTCCACCTTTTCCATGATAATCCCTGGGCCTTGAGGAGTTGAATAGGTTTAATTTCTGGAATGCAGTTTATTTTGATTGGCATCTTGTACCAGGCCTGAAGATGGGGTTTTAATTCCTGTTACTGTTTAGAATTTAGCAGGACTTGGTGTCCTTTTTAGACCCAGGATTCAAAGCCCTGTAACCAATGTCCAAGTACTTTAAAAGTGCATGCAGAAGCCATAAAAAAAGAATGAGTTCATGTCCTTTGCAGGGACATGGATAAAGCTGGAAGTCATCATTCTCAGCAAACTAACACAGAAATAGAAAACCAAACATGACATGTTCTCACTCATAAGTGGGATTTAAACAATGAGAACACGTGGACACAGGGAGGGGAACATCACACACCAGGGCCTGTCGGGGGCTGGGGGGCAAGGGGAAGGAAAGCATTAGGACAAACACCTAATGCATGTAGGGCTTAAAACATAGATGACGGGTTGATAGATGCAGCACACCACCATGACACATGCATATGTATGTAACAAACCTACATGTTCTGTACATGTATCCCAGAACTTAAAGTAGGAAAAAAAAAGAAGAAAAAGAAACATATAAAAGGTGGGACAAATAGAACTAAAGACTAAGATTCTAAAAATAAAATAAACTAAAATCCATCAATTAAACAGACATGTTGTGTAAAAAAAAAGAAAACGTATGTTAATTTGACATTAAAGAAAATATAATCACTGTTAATGTTAGAAATAAAGCTCTTGAAAACCCTCACAGTAAAGGTGAAGTCATTCTATAGGCTCACATAATTCGCAGTGTTTATGTAAAGATGTGGATTGTTATAGCTCTCATTAATTAATTACATAGGTTTGCATCTCTAGTCTTAGTCTTAAATATATGGTGTTAACACCAGTAACTTACCTGATAAGTAGAAGAAACTTAAGATATTCTATTTAGTTAAGCTTGAGATAAGATAATAATTCAAAAATTATGCATAAACTAAAATGTTATATTTATATTATATTTCGCACTCTGATAAAATCAGAGAGAGAATATACAGCTATCTCTTTTGCCAAAATCTATAATGTATTGTGTATGCATGAACTTGAAATGTGGATTTTTATATAATTCTTCTGTATTTATTTTTACTAAAGTAATATTGAAATCTTTACATTTTACCTAAATTTTTAACACAGAAGGGTGTTTTGTAAAGTCATCTTCTGACTACTAATTGGTGGCTAAATGACGATTTACAATTCTTTTTTCCTTGTAATTCAACATTAGGAATTCCATGTTATTAAACTAACATTTGCATTTTTTCCTTTTTCTGGTCCAGGGGCTTTTTAGAGAGAACTGTAACTTAATATTAAAAAACAGGAATGTTTTTCACAGTTCTATTAATGACTTGGTTGTTTATACATAGTTTAAATTTTTTTAATTTTATGCTAATTAGGGTAATATAAAGCTTTATTTTTATCATCTTAACCATTTTGAAGTTTGTAGTTATAGATGTTAAGTATATTCACATTGTTTTGAAAGATATATACTTTTTTGTTTTGAGGTGGAGTTGCACTCTTGTTGCCCAGGCTTGAGTGAAATGGTGTGATCTTGGCTCACTCCAACCTCCACTTCCCAGGTTCAAGTGATTTTCCTGCCTCAGCCTCCTGAGTAGCTGGGACTACAAGAGTGTGCCACCATGCTCAGCTAATTTGTGGTGGCTGATGCCTGTGATCCCAGCACTTTGGGAGGCTGAGGTGGGCGGATCATTTGAGGTCAAGGGTTTGAGACCAGCCTGACCAATCTGGTGAAACCCCATCTCTACTAAAAATACAAAAGATGTATACATTTGATGAATGTTTTAATAACTAAATTAATTTGTAAAAAGCACATGTGGAGAGATACATGGATGTAAAAACCTTAATTTTTTAAAAAAATTTTAATGTTAGTTTTTTCTGATGCAAACCAAAACTTAATAATAATGTGACAACTTGATTATATAAAAGTTTTTGCTTATTTTAACTCACTTAAAACTGCACAACTACATTGAAACTGAACAAACTGCTCCTGAATGACTACTGGGTAAATAACAATATTAAGTCAGAAATAAATAAGTTCTTTGAAACCAATGAGAACAATGACACAACATACAAGAATCTCTGGGACACAGCTAAAGCAGTGTTTAGAGGAAAATTTATAGCACCAAATATACACATAAGGAAGTGGGAAAGATCTAAAACTGCCACGCTAACATCATAGTTAAAAGAACTAGAGAAGCAAGAGCAAACAAATTCAAAAGGTAGGAAAAGATAACAAATAGCAAAGATCAGAGCATAACTGAAGGAGTCAGAAACATAAAAAACTGTTCAAAAAATCAATGAATCCAGGAGCTGGTTTTTTGAAAACATTAGCAAAATAGATAGCAAGTATATTAAAAAGTGTAAAAAATGATAAAAGGGATTCACCACTCATCCTACAGAACTGCAAGCTAACATCAGAGAATACTATAAACACCTCTACTCAAATAAACTAGAAAACCTTGAAGAAATGGATAAATTCCTGGACTCATACACCCTCCACAAACTAAACCAGGAAGAAGTTAAGTCCCTGAATAGACCAATAACAAGTTCTGAAATTGAGGCAGTAATTAATAACCTACCAACCAAAAAAAGCCCAGGACCAGAAACATTCACAGCTGAATTCTACCAGAGGTACAAAGAGGAGTGGTACCATTCCTTTTGAAACTATTCCAAACAACAAAAAAAGAGGGACCCTTCTCTAACATATTTTATGAGGCCAGCTTCATCCTAATACAAAAACCTGGTAGAGACAAAACAAAAAAAGAAAATTTCAGGCCAATATCCCTGATGAACATCGATGTGAAAATCCTCAATAACATACTGGCAAACCAAATCTAGCAGCACATCAAAAAGCTTATTCACCATAATCAAATCAGCTTCATTCCTGGGATGCAGGGCTGGTTCAACATCCACAAAACAATAAACACAATCCATCACATAAACAGAACCAATGACAAAAACCACAGGATTATCTCAGACGCAGAAAAGACCTTTGACATAATTCAACACCACTTTATGTCAAAAACACTTAATAAACTAGGTAATGATGGAACATATCTCAAAATCATAAGAGCTATTTATGACACACCCACAGCCAATATCATACTGAATGGGCAAAAGCTGGAAGCCCTCCCTTTGAAAACTGGCACAGGGTAAGAAGGCCATCTCTCACCACTCCTATTCAACATAGTATTGGAAGTTCTGACCAGGGCAATCAGGCAAGAGAAAGAAATAAAGGGTATTCAAATAGGAAGAGAGGAAGTCAAGTTGTCTCTGATTGCAGATGACATGATTGTATATTTAGAAAACCTCATCGCCTCAGCACAAAATCTCCTTAAACTGATAACCAACTTCAGCAAAGTCTCAGGATACAAAATCAATTTGCAAAAACCACAGACATTCCTATACACCAATAATAGACAAACAGAGAGCAAATTATGAGTGAACTCCCATTCACAATTGCTACTAACAGAATAAAATACCTAGGAATAAAACTTACAAAGGATGTGAGGGACCTTTTCTTCATATATATATATATATATATTTATTTATTTATTATTATACTTAAAGTTCTAGGGTACATGTGCACAATGTGCACGTTTGTTACATATGTATACATGTGCCATGTTGGTGTGCTGCACCCATTAACTTGTCATTTACATTAGGTATATCTCCTAATGGTATCCCTCCCGCCTCCCTCTAACCCACAACAGGCCCCAGGGTGTGATGATCCCCTTCCTGTGTCCAAGTGTTCTCATTGTTCAATTCCCACCTTTGAGTGAGAACATGCGGTGTTTGGTTTTTTGTCCTTGTGATAGTTTGCTGAGAATGATGGTTTCCAGCTTCATCCATGTCCCTACAAAGGACATGAACCCACCCTTTTTATGGCTGAATAGTATTCCATGGTGTATATGTACCACATTTTCTTAATCCAGTCTATCATTGATGGATATTTGGGTTGGTTCCAAGTCTTTGCTATTGTTAATAGTGCTGCAATAAACATACGTGTGCATGTGTCTTTATAGCATCATGACTTATAATCCTTTGGGTATATACCCAGTAATGGGATGGCTGGGTCAAATGGTATTTCTAGTTATAGATCCCTGAGAAATTGACACACTGTCTTCCACAATGATTGAACTAGCTTACAGTCCCACCAACAGTGTAAAAGTATTCCTATTTCTCCACATCCTCTCCAGCATCTGTCGTTTCCTGACTTTTTAATGATCACCATTCTAACTGGTGTGAAATGGTATCTCATTGTGGTTTTGATTTGCATTTCTCTGATGGCCAGTGATGATGAGCATTTTTTCATGTGTCTTTTGGCTGCATAAATGTCTTCTTTTGAGAAGTGTCTGTTCATATCCTTCGCCCACATTTTGATGGGGTTGTTTGTTTTCTTGTAAATTTGTTTGAGTTCATTGTAGATTCTGGATATTAGCCCTTTGTCAGATGAGTAGGTTGTGAAAATTTTCTCCCATTCTGTAGGTTGCCTGTTCACTCTGATGGTAGTCTCTTTTGCTGGACAGAAGCTCCTTAGTTTAATTAGATCCCATTCATCAATTTTGGCTTTCATTGCCATTGCTTTTGGTGTTTTAGACATGAAGTCCTTGCCCATGCCTATGTCCTGAATGGTAATGCCTAGGTTTTCTTCTAGAGTTTTTATGGTTTTAGGTCTAACATTTAAGTCTTTAATCCATCTTGAATTAATTTTTGTATAAGGTCTAAGGAAAGGATCCAGTTTCAGCTTTCTACATATGGCTAGCCAGTTTTCCCAGCACCATTTGTTAAATAGGGAATCCTTTCCCCATTTATTGCTTTTGACAGGTTTGTCAAAGATCAAATGGTTGTAGATGTGTGGTATTATTTCTGAGGCCTCTGTTCTATTCCATTGGTCTATATCTGTGTTTGGTACCAGTACCATGCTGTTTTGGTTACTGTAACCTTGTAATATAGTTTGAAGTCAGGTAGCATGATTCCTCCAGCTTTGTTATTTTGGCTTAGGATTGACTTGGCAATGCAGGCTCTTTTTTGGTCCCATATGAAATTTAAAGTAGTTTTTTCCAATTCTGTGAAGAAAGTCATTGGTAGCTTGATGGGGATGGCAATGAATCTATACTTGGGCAGTATGGCCATTTTTTGACAATATTGATTCTTCCTATACATGAGCATGGAATGTTTTTCCATTTGTTTGTATCCTCTTTTATTTCATTGAGCAGTGGTTCATAGTTCTCCTTGAAGAGGTCCTTCACATCCCTTGTAAGTTGGATTTCTAGGTATTTTATTCTCTTTGAAGCAATTGTGAATGGAAGTTCACTCATGATTTGGCTCTAGGTTTGTCTGTTTTTTGTGCATAAGAATGCTTGCGATTTTTGCACATTGATTTTGTATCCTAAGACTTTGCTGAAGTTGCTTATCAGCTTAAGGAGATTTTGGGCTGAGACAATGGGGTTTTCTAGATATACAATCATGCCATCTGCAAACAGGGACAATTTGACTTCCTCTTTTCCTATTGAATGCCCTTTATTTCCTTCTCCTGCCTGATTGCCCTGGCCAGAGTTTCCAGCACTATGTTGAATAGGAGTGGTGAGGGAGAGCATCCCTGTCTTGTGCCAGTTTTCAAAGGGAATGCTTCCAGTTTTTGCCCATTCAGTATGATATTGGCTATGGGTTTGTCATAAATAGCTCTTACTATTTTGAGACACGTCCCATCAATACCTAATTTATTGAGAGTTTTTAGCATGAAGGGCTGTTGAATTTTGTCAAAGGCCTTTTCTGCATCCATTGAGATAATCATGTGGTTTTTGTCTTTGGTTCTGTTTATATGCTGGATTACGTTTATTGATTTTCATATGTTGAACCAGCCTTGCATCCCAGGGATGAAGCCCACTTGATCATGGTGGATAAGCTTTCTGATGTGCTGCTGGATTTGGTTTGCCAGTATTTTATTGAGGATTTTTGCATCAATGTTCATCAAGGATATTTGTCTAAAATTCTCTTTTTTTGTTGTGTCTGTGCCAGGCTTTGGTATCAGGATGATGCTGGTCTCATAAAATGAGTTAGGGAGGATTCCCTCTTTTTCTATTGATTGGAGTAGTTTCAGAAGGAATGGTACCAGCTCCTCCTTGTACCCCTGGTAGAATTTGGCTGTGAATCCATCTGTTCCTGGACTTTTTTTGGTTGGTAAGCTATTAATTATTGCCTCAATTTCAGAGCCTGTTATTGGTCTATTCAGAGATTCAACTTCTTCCTGGTTTAGTCTTGGGAGGGTGTTTGTTTCCAGGAATTTATCCATTTCTTCTAGATTTTCTATTTTATTTGCATAGAGGTGTTCAGAGTGTTCTCTGATGGTAGTTTGAATTTTTGTGGGATCGGTGGGGATATCCCCTTTTTTTTTATTGCATCTATTTGATTCTGTCTCTTTTCTTCTTTTTTAGTCTTTCTGGCAGTCTATCAATTTTGTTGATCTTCTAAAAAAACCAGCTCCTGGATTCATTGATTTTTTGATGGGTTTTTTTGTGTCCCTATCTCCTTCAGTTCTGTTCTGATTTTAGTTATTTCTTACCTTCTGCTAGTTTTTAAATGTGTTTGCTCTTGCTTCTCTAGTTCTTTTAATTGTGATGTTAGGGTGTCAATTTTTGATCTTTCCTGCTTTCTCTTATGGGCACTTAGTGCTATAAATTTCCCTCTACACACTGCTTTCAATGTGTCCCAGAGATTCTGGTATGTTGTGTCTTTGTTCTCATTGGTTTCAAAGAACATCTTTATTTCTGCCTTCATTTCATTATGTACCCAGTAGTCATTCAGGAGCAGTTGTTCTGTTTCCATGTAGTTGAGCAGTTTTGAGTGAGTTTCTTAATCCTGAGTTCTAGTTTGATTGCACTGTGGTCTGAGAGACAGTTTGTTATAATTTCTGTTCTTTTACATTTGCTGAGGAGTGCTTTACTTCCAACTATGTGGTCAATTTTGGAATAAGTGTGGTGTGGTGCTGAGAAGAATGTATATTCTGTTGATTTGGGTGGAGAGTTCTGTAGATGTCTATTAGTTTGGCTTGGTGCAGAGCTGAGTTCAATTCCTGGATATCCTTGTTAACTTTCTGTCTCGTTGATCTATCTAATGTTGACAGTGGAGTGTTAAAGTCTCCCATTATTATTGTGTGGGAGTCTAAGTCTCTTTAAAGCAAGTCTCTAAGGACTTACTTTATGAATCTGGGTGCCCCTGTATTGGGTGCATATATATTTAGGATAGTTAGCTCTTCTTGTTGAATTGAACCCTTTACCATTATGTCATGGCCTTCTTTGTCTCTTTTGATCTTTGTTGGTTTGAAGTCTGTTTTATCAGAGACCAGGATTGCAACCCCTGCCTTTTTTTGTTTTCCATTTGCTTGGTAGATCTTCCTCCATCCCTTTATTTTGAGCCTATATGTGTCTCTGCATGTGAGATGGGTTTCCTGAATACAGCACACTGATGGGTGCTGACTCTTTATGTAATTTGCCAGTCTGTGTCTTTTAATTGGAACATTTAACCCATTTACATTTAAGGTTAATATTGTTATGTGTGAATTTGATCCTGTCATTATGATGTTAGCTGGTTATTTTGCTCATTAGTTGATGCAGTTTCTTCCTAGCATTGATGGTCTTTGCAATTTGGCATGTTTTTGCAGTGGCTGGTACTGGTTTTTCCTTGCCGTGTTTAGTGCTTCCTTCAGGAGCTCTTGTAAGGCAGGCCTGGTGGTGACAAAATCTCTCAGCATTTGCTTGTCTGTAAAGTATTTTATTTCTCCTTCACTTATGAAGCTTAGTTTGGCTGGATATGAAATTCTGGGTTGAAAATTCTTTTCTTTAAGAATGTTGAATATTGGCCCCCACTCTCTTCTGGCTTGGAGAATTTCTGCCGAGATATCAGCTATTAGTCTGATGGGCTTCCCTTTGTGGGTAACCCGACCTTTCTCTCTGGCTGCCCTTAACATTTTTTCCTCCATTTCAACTTTGGTGAATCTGACAATTATGTGTCTTGGCATTGCTCTTCTCAAGGTGTGTCTTTGTGGCTTCTCTGTATTTCCTGAATTTGAATATTGGCCTGTCTTGCTAGATTGGGAAAGTTCTCCTGGATAATATCCTGCAGAGTGTTTTCCAACTTGATTCCATTCTCCCCATCACTTTCACATACTCCAATCAGACGTAGATTTGATCTTTTCAGATAGTCCCATCTTTCTTGGATGCTTTGTTCAGTTTTTTAAATTCTTTTTTCTCTAAACTTCTCTTCTCACTTCATTTCATTCATTTGATCTTCCATCACTGATATCCTTTCTTCCAGTTGATTGAATCAGCTATTGAAGCTTGTGCTTTCATCACGTAGTTCTTGTGCCATGGTTTTCAGCTCTGTCAGGTCATTTAAGGACTTCTCTATATTGTTTATTCTAGTTAGCCATTCATCTATTCTTTTTTCAAGGTTTTTAACTTCTTTGTGATGGGTTTGAACTTCCTCCTTTAGCTTGGAGAAGGTTGGTTGTCTGAAACCTTCTTCTCTCAACTCATCAAAGTCATTCTCTGTCCAGCTTTGTTCCATTGCTGATGAGGAGCTGCGTTCCTTTGGAGGAGGAGAGGCACTCTGATTTTTAGAATTTTCATTTGTTCTGCTCTGTTTTTTCTCCATCTTTGTGGTTTTATCTACCTTTGGTCTTTGATGATGGTGATGTACAGATGGGGTTTTGGTGTGGATGTCCTTTCTGTTTGTTAGTTTTCATTCTAACAGTCGGCACCCTCAGTTGCAGATCTGTTGGAGTTTGCTGGAGGTGTATTCCAGACCTCGTTTTCCTGGGTATCAGCAGCAGAGGCTGCAGAATGGCAAATATTGCTGAACAGCATGTTGCTGCCTGATTGTTCCTCTGGAAGTTTTGTCTCAGAGGGGTACCCGGCCATGTGAGGTATCAGTATGCCCCTACTGGGGGTGCCTCCCAGTTAGGCTACTCAGTGGTCAGAGATCAATTTGAGGAGGCACTCTGTCCATTCTCAGATCTCAAACTCCATGCTGGGAGAACCACTACTCTCCTCAAAGCTGTCAGACAGAGACATTTAAGTCTGCAGAGGTTTCTGCTGCCTTTTGTTTGGCTATGCCCTGCCCCCATAGATGGAGTCTACAGAGGCAGGCAGGCCTCCTTGAGCTGCGGTGGGCTCCACTCAGTTCGAGCTTCCCAGCCACTTTAATTACCTACTCAAGCCTCAGCAATGGCAGGCACCCCTCCCCCAGCCTCAGTGCCACCTTGCAGTTTGATCTCAGACTGCTGTGCTAGCAATGAGTGAGGCTCCATGGGCATGGGACCCTCTGAGCCACGCGCAGGATATAATCTCCTGGTGTGCCATTTGCTAAGACTATTGGAAAAGCTCAGTATTAGGGTGGGAGTGACCCAATTTTCCAGGTGCCATCTGTCATAGCTTTGCTTGGCTAGGAAAAGGAATTCCCTGACCCTTTGCACATCCTGGGTGAGGTGATGCCTCATCCTTCTTCGGCTCATGCTCGGTGCACTGCTCCCACTGTCCAACAAGCCCCAGTGAGATGAACCCAGTACCTCAGTTGGAAAATGCAGAAATCACCTGTCTTCTGCATTGCTCTCGCTGGGAGCTGTAGATTGGAGCTGTTCCTATTCGGCCATCTTGGAACCGCCCCCCATGACTATGTGAGGGACCTTTCCAAGGAGAACTACAAACCACTGCTAAAGGAAATAAGAAAGGACACAAACAAATGGAAAAACATTCCATGTTCATGGATAGAAAGAATCAATACAGTGAAAAATGGCCGTAATGCCCAAAGAAATTAATAGATCCAGTGCTATTCCCATGAAGCTACCATCGACTTTCTTCACAGAATTGGAAAAAACTACTTTAAATTTCTATTTTTTTTTTTTGAGACAGAGTCTCCTTCTGTCACCCAGGCTGGAGTGCAGTGGCACAATCTTGGCTCACTGCAACCTCCGCCTCCCAGGTTCAAGCAATTCTCCTGCCTCAGCCTCCCTAGTAGCTGGGATTACAGGCACCCGCCAGCATGCCTGACTAATTTCTGTATTTTTAGTAGAGACAGGGTTTCACCATGTTGGCCAGGATGGTCTCAATCTCCTGATTTTGTGATCCGCCCACCTTGGCCTCCCAAAGTGCTGGGATTTCAGGTGTGAGCCACAGTGTCCAGACAAAAAACTACTTTAAGTTTCGTATGGAACCAAACAGGAACCTGTATAGCCAAGACAATCCTAAGCAGAAAGAATAAAGCTGGAGTCATCATGTTACCTGACCTCAAACTATACTACAAAGCTACAGTAACCAAAACAGCATGGTACTGGTACCAAAACAGATATATTGACCAATGGGACAGAATAGAGGCCTCAGAAATAACACCACACACCTACAAGCATCTGATCTTTGACAAACTTGACAAAAACAAGCAATAGGGCAAGGATTCCCTATTTTTAATAAATGGTGTTGGGAGAACTGGCTAGCCATATGCAGAAAACTGAAACCAAGCACCTTACTTACGCTTTATACAAAAATTAGCTCAAGATGGATTAAAGACTTAAATGTATGACCTTAAACTATAAAAATCCTAGAAGAAAACCTAGGCAATACCATTCAGGACATAGGCATGGACAAATACTTCAAGACTAAAACACCAAAAGCAATTGCAACAAAAGCCAAAATTTACAAATTGGATTTAATTAAACTAAAGAGCTTCTGCACAGCCAAAGAAACTATCAGCATGAACAGGCAACTTACAGAATGTGAGACAATTTTTGCAATCTATCTGTCTGACAAAGGGCTAATATACAGAATCTACAAGGAACTTAAACAAATTTGCAGGAAAAAAAAACCTAACAAAAAGTGGGAGAAGAATATGAACAGACATTTCTCAAAAGAAGACATTTATGTGGCCAACAAATGGATGAAAAAAAGCTCATCATAACTAGTCATTAGAGAAATGCAAATCAAAACCATAATGAGATACCATCTCCTACCACTTGGAATGACAATCATTAAAAAGTCAGGAAACAATAGATCCTGGAGAGGATGTGGAGAAATAGAAATGTTTTTACACTGTTGGCGGGAGTGTAAATTAGTTCAACCATTGTGAAAGACAGTTTGGCGATTCCTCAAGGATCTAGAACCAGAAACACCATTGGACCCAGCAATGCCATTACTGGCTATATACCTAAAGGATTATAAATCATTCTACTATAAAGACACATGCACATGTATATTTATCGCAGCACTATTCACAATAGCAAAGACTTGGAACCAACCTAAATGCCCATCAATGATACACTGCATGAAGAAAATGTGGCACATATACACCATGGAATAATATGCAGCCATAAAAAAGAATGAGTTCATGTTTTTGCAGGGATATGGATGAAGCTGGAAACCATCATTCTCAGCAAACTAACACAGGAACAGAAAACTAAACAGCACATATTGTCCCTCATAAGTGGGAACTGAACAATGAGAACACATGGACACAGGGAGGGGAACATCACACCCCAGTGCCTGTTGGGGGGTGGGGGCAAGGGGATGGAAAGCATTAGGAAAAATACCTAATGTAGAAGATGGGTTGATGGGTGCAGCAAACCACCATGGCACATGTATACCTATGTAAGAAACCTGCACTTTCTGCACATGTATCCCAGAGCTTAAAGTATAATTTAAAAAAAAAAGAAACTTTTTTTCTTTAAAAAAAAAAATAAATCGCCTTACTGTGACTTGCACAAACCATTTATGACATGCTTGGACTTTCTGCTTTGTCCTGAACATCCTGCTTTTTAAACAACCAGTCATTTTATTCTCAGACTAAATTTATCATACAAGATTCTTTCTCATGTGAAATTATCTCCCTTTAAGCTTTCTTATTAAAAAAACTATTTTTATAACCTCTTTACATCTCTTTTATTTCCTGGTTCCTTTTACCTGGTTTTATCCATGACCTTTAAATAAGCTTTGAATTAGATGAAAATTGTTCACCTTTTTTTTTAAAAGGTGCACATGTTTTTAAGAAAAAATGTTTTCCTACAAATATATTTTTATTGGAAAATACCCAAATAATGAAATATGTACTATTAATTTAGAATAACTTTAGATTTTAAATTATGATGAGTTTGTCTACAAGTATTTATCCTATTACATTTACCTAATTATTTTATTTTTTAATCATTTACCTAGATTATCTATAAAAATTGTGATTGTCAGTATTAAGGTGTAGGACCACCATTACAAAATTATAACTGAGACAGGAAAAAAAGAATTGACCTAACTAACTCCATGTTCCTTCTAACCTCCAAGCTATCTTTGTTCATTCCTGGGCATAGGCTGAACTAACTTTGGGAGGAACTTAGTTTATAGTTTAGCTTTGAGACAAAGACAATAACAGTCCTTTCCCAAAACAAACTTTACTGCCTATGGACTTCACTGACTAAAGCCGAAAGATTAGAAGTTATGGTAACCTTACTAAATTCAAGATGCAGTTATTTTTATTAAATAAATATGAATGTCTTATTTATTAAGGGTCCCACAAGCAATGATCATTCTGTCTTGAGCTGGATTTATAGTTTTGTAACCCTTATGCCAAATTTTGATATATTGCAGTATTTGGAAGGGATAAGTATGAAATTTCTTGATTATAAATTGCAAACGAAAATGTATGCTGGCAATTCTTAAGACATTCCTAATATTACTTTACCAATAATTTTAAAGCTAACTTGTCTATTAAAGCTTTTACTTAAGTTATGTAAACTTGAATAAGCATTTGACTAGTCTTTTCTTTTTGCTGATAAAGTAATTTGGTTATTTCCTTAAGCCAATTAATTAGAGCTCTTTAATATATTTTCAGTAGTGAAACATTGTGTACACAACACATTAATATATAGAAGTATTAGGCATGCCAATAGAAGTACATCTTATAGATTTATGAAAAACCTTTTTTTCCTATCTTAGACTTTCAGATTCTTAACCTGTTTCACAACCCTAGGCAGTTTTCAGCTAAATAGCCTTAAAATTGCATATTAAAGGAAACAACTCAGGTGAAAATGAAATAGCAAAATTTACATCATAGGGTACACAGAGGAAACGTTTGGTAGTGTTTAAGGGAGATTAAAGATGGATGCCAAATCAAACATAAAATTATATAAATCTATCATAGGATTGTATAAGGAGACCAGTTTTATTTAGGTAGGGACTACCTATCTATTAAATGCACCTCTGAGCTCTGGGCAGAGCCCATATTGAATCCTGGGTCTCCAAAAAAGGAAAATTATTATGAGATTATACCATGTGATGCTTTTATGATGCACTTAAATTTCTTTTTTACAAAGACATTTCTAAATTTCTAGATCACACTCTTCCTTAAAAACCCAATAGTAACCTCTGTTGCGATAACTATTTTTGTCCAAAATAAAGGTAACACAATACAAAAGTAGGCAGTTCAACATCTGAGACAAACTTTTCTGTTTACTTTCTTGGGGTTACATACAAAAAAACAGGTTTCTCCCCTAAAGGGAGTCTGGTACCTTCTTCATTTTCTTTAAGAAACCCCAGGATATTATAAACTATTTGAGGTCCCCCATGCAGCAGAGGGTGCCAGAGAAAAGAGAGACAGCCAAAGTAAGTGAAGAAAACAGAATTCAGTCAACTGAGAAGAAAAAAACTTGTACTGAAAAAAAGACAAGTTCCTAGAAGAAAAACAAAAATAAAAACTTGAAGGCCTTTTAAATACAAACATACACATATGCACACACACACACCTCTTTTTTTAGGGGAATTTAGCCACTTCAGAGGACTTATTCCCCATAAGTTGGAATTTCCTTCAGATTTGATCAAGTCAGATAGAGTCAATCAAACTTAATGGGAAAAAGACTGGAACAACGACAAGAGCAGAAACAAACAACAACAACGACAACAAAAAGTTAAGCCAAACAAATGATTGCACAACTTATATGACTACTGAGCGCTCTAATGATAAGGAGAAATTAAGACCAGCTTGTTGTTAACTTTAGCCAAGACAAAACCTCAATTTAGCTACTTACCTAAGGATGAGTCTCAGGCTGAAGACAGCTGTCTACCATCCTAGAAGCAGAAAAAAAAAACCTCATCTTCCTTGTCAGAAGTGAGCTCAAACTCCACAAAAGAGTTACCCACCTTCCATCATCATGGAAGTAGAAAAACTTGTCTTTCTTGTTGGAATCAAGTAAAACTCCAATAAAAGAGGGAGTTGTACGGCAAAATAAACTTTAGATCTAAACAAAATTTGAGGAGATTAAGGATTCTCTGAAGGGGGTTCTCTCAGACCTCAGCAAATTGTTCTGTTGGTTTGAGTCATAAAGTTAGCTCATGCTGGTATCTGGCACTGAGAGGAGATTTCTCAAAGTTCAGCGACACCTCCACTCAGAATCCCTTCATAGTTACCAAAATGTGAACCCTGAAAATTTGAGACAGGTCTCAGTTAATTTAGAAATTTTATTTTGCCAAGGATGCACATGTGTAACACAGCTTCAGAAGGACCTGACAACATGTGCCCAAAGTGGTCAGAGCATAGCTTAATTTTATACATTTTAGGGAGACATGAGACATTAATCAACATATGTAAAATAAACATTGATTATGTCTGGAAAGGTGGGACAACTCAAAGTTGGGAGAGAACTTCCAAGTCACAGGTATATGAGACAAATGGTTGCATTCTTTTGAGTTTCTGATGAGTCTCTCCAAAGGAGGCAATCAGATATGCATTTATCTCAGTGACCAGAGGGGTGGCTTTGAATAGAATGGGAGGCAGGTTTGCTCTAAGCAGTTCCCAGCTTGACTTTTCCCTTTTGCTTAATGATTTGAGGGGCCAAAGATATTTTTCTTTATTACCATGATGGGTGCTGGAATCTTGACCATCTCAGGTTACAGAAGCATAGGGTCTCCTCAGTTAAGTAATTTACTCATCCATATTTCTTCTCATTCAATAAATAAGTCCCAAATTCTGGCTAATGCCAGATACTATGATTGATCTTGGGGATGCAAAGATGAACAGAACAGTCCAACAGCTGATGATCTCATAAGGGAGACTGGTGATATAAACAGATGTAATAATTTAATATAGAATACCATTACTGGTTATATACCCAAAGGAAATGTAATTAGTATGTTAAAGAGTTATCTGTACTCCCATGATCATTACAGCATTATTCAAAATAGCAAAGATGTGGAATCAAACTAAGTACCCATCAATGGATGATGTATAAAGAAAATGTGGTATGTTTTGTACACATATAGTACACCGTGGAATACCATATAGCCTTAAAAAGAAGGAAATGCTGTCATTTGAGACAACGTGGATTAACCTGGAGGACATGAAGTTAAGTACAATAAGCCAGGCTCAGAAAGACAAATGCTTCAGGTCCTCACTTGCAGGTGAAATGTTAAAGTTATTAGATGTAGGGGGTAGAATGGTGGCTACCAGAGGCTGCAGGTAGGGACAGCAGAGTGGGGAGATATTGGTAAGAGAAGATAAAGTTTCAGTGCAGCAGAAAAAAACAAGTCATTGACATCCATTTTACATCCTAGCAACTATTGTTAATAATTTATTGTATATTTCAGAATTGCTAAGGGAGTAAATTTCAAATGTTTTTACCACAAAAATAAGTATGTATGGTGATTGATATGTTAACTAGCTTGATTAAATCCATCCACATTTTATATCCTTTCAATGCCAAAAAGACCATTATAACATATATAATGCTATATTATATTATAACATTGCATTTTATACCATAGATACACATAATTATAAACTCAATACAATTTCTTTAAAAATAAGGTACAAAACTACCGAATTGTCATAAAAAATGCACCTTTTGCATGACTCTAGGGTTCTACTAAAATCACACCAGTCCTTGACAAGACTCCTGAGTCCCTGGATGTGAGGTAGGTGAAGAGGGAGGGTTGAGGATGGATGGATGTATCTTAGACCCTTCATATGGACTGTAAAACAATTTTCTTGCAAACCTAGAACCCTAAAGCTGTCAACCTCTGTTTGCTGCCTGGGAGATATTTGAGATGTTTCCAATGGCTGCTGAAGGTATCTGCCATTTCTTCTTTGGTCTTACTTGTGAATGACTGAGAGTCAATCTTGCATTGGTGCAATTAAAACTCACCCATCAATTTCTACAAACACTTTAGGAGACCTGCTATGTGTCTCTGTGTATTTACTTCACAGAAGGTTCACAGATAATACCATCTGACTTACTTGAGAATGGAATATGATAGTGATAATTTATTTCCTTTTTTTCAAAGAGAAGGGGAAAAATTATTAAATATAGAATAAATTAATGGGCTACTAAGGGAAATTTGGCCAAGTGTTTCACAGATCATTTGGCAAAATATCAAAATGAACTTAAGAAAAAGTTTTGGTGATTAATACCCCAAAACTAAATTTCAGCAAAATTAAAAGTACAGAAACCAAATTGTGGGGCACTGGGGAGAGAGTGTGTTAGAACACTCAAGACCTTTGTCTTTTTGGCTTTGAAAGGATATAAAAAGGGCAAAAAATTAAGGAAAGACTTTTGCTGTTGTTGCCTGATATGGTTTGGATCTGTGTCCCTGCCTAAATCTCATGTCAAAATGTAATCTCCAATGTTGGAGGTGGAGCCTGGTGGGAGGTGATCAGATCATGGGAGTGGATTTCCCCATTGGTGCTGTTCTTATGATAGTGAGTGAGACCTCATGAGATCCAGTTGTTTAAAAGTGTGTGCCACATTCCCCCTTTCTGCCTTCTTCCTGCTCTGGCCATGTGAGTGGTTTGCTTTCCCTTTGACTTTCACCATGATTCTAAGTTTCATGAGGCCTCAACAGAAGCCAAGTCAATGCCGGAATCATGCTTTCTGTACAGCCTGTGGAATAGTGAGCCAATTAAATCACTTTTCCTTATAAATTACCCAGTCTCAGGTATTTCTGTGTAGAGGTGTAAGATTGGAATAATATATTGCCTGAGACAGGAATATTTGGGAGTTGAAGAAACAAAGCAAGGAGAGAGAGAGAGAGAGCTCTGAAGGTATGATTATTGTGAAAAAAGTGGAAAAAAATTTCATTTCAGAGATGAAGAAGGAGATGTCTCCTGTAGCCTAGGTGGACACAGGAGTATTGAGACAAGTTATTTAAGTCAGAGTGAGTGGGGGCTCAAGTACACTTGCAAGCTGTGTGGGCTTTGGATAGTCTTTTGTCATTTCTGTTTCTCAAGTTTTTCAAATGTGAAATGAGAATTTTACTCCTTGGGATGTAATTTGGTCTATAAGTTGCTCAGTACATTGCCAAGTACTTAACATGCACCTAGTAAATGGCAGTTATTATTAGTGTAAATATTTTAAATTTATTTAACAAATATATGTTGCACACCTACAATGCAACAGGTAGTGTTTTAGGATCTGAGACTTGGGAGTAGAAGTGTTGTCTTCTTAGACAAAGTTCATTCTCTATAATCTCTTTATGTTGATTTTGCTTGAAATCTTAGCTGTGTGGCTGAAAAAGACAAGAACAGACTTGGATGTATAGATGTAGGAGTGAGAGAGAAGCAACAATTACATCTCCTTACTCTTTGCCCATTCCATACAGGAGATGATAGACAACTTGGACCACTATACCCCATTTATGATATATTCACCAGGACATCTCAAAAACTCCAGAAAATCCTTGATTTTCTCAGGGTCATCAACTGGTACCAAGCCTTCTGTGATGGTTAACTTTATGCATCAACTTGACTGGGCTAAGGTATGCCCAGAGAGCTGGTAAAGATTATTTCTGGGTGTGTCCATAAGCATGTTTCCAGAAGAGATCAGCTTTGGAATCAGTAGACTGAATAAAGAAGAGTCATCCTCACTGATGTAGGTGGGTATCATTCAATCCATTTAGGACAGAAATGATCAAAGAGGCAGAGGCAGAGTGAATTCTCTCTACTTGAGCTGGAACATTTCTCTTCTCCTGCCCTTGGGCATTGGAACTCCTGGTTCTCAGGCCTTTGGAGTCAGACAGAGAATTACACCATTGGCTTCTCTGGTTCTCAGGCCTTCGGACTTGGGCGGAGTTACACCACTGGCTTTTCCTCCAACTTGCAAATAGCATATTATGAAACTTCTCAGTTTCCATAATACTGTGAGCCAGTTCCTATAATCTGTGTGTGTGTGTGTGTGTGTATGTGTGTGTGTGTGTGTGTGAGAGAGAGATAGACAGAAACACAAGCACACACACAGAGATTGTGATTGGATTGCCATATAGCACATGGCAATCTACTCACAATCCACAAAAATTTGAACAAATGCTGAGACTGAGATGGAGGAGATTTTTTGTCACCCGTCTTTCCCTAGTTACCTTAAACTTGGAAATTATGTTGGGGTTTTCCAGAAAAGAGAATATATAATTCACACACACATACAAACACACACACACTGAGGAAGGTTAGGCATTAATTCAAAATCCTTCTCTGCCCCCATCCCACACACACTTTCAGCTATTTTATGGATCAAGAGTTTAATTTTAGGATATATGGAAACTTTTAAAGTTCAGCCCCTTATTTCAGATTACTGTAAGTGCTTGCCACTACCTCCTCCAACACACAGCTATTTGTTCTTTGCCTCTCTCCTTGTCTTAATACTCAACACAAAGTATGGGTATAGATGTGTGTATGTGTGTGTGTGAATTATATAATTTGTTTTCTGGAAAACCCTAATATACCTTCTAAATCCTAGGTAACTAGGAAAAGATGGATGAAAAAATCTCCTCTGTCTCAGTCTCAGCCCTTGTTCAAATTTTTGTGGATTGTGAATGGATTGCGTGTGCTCTAGACTATAAAGGCTGACATTATATGGAGGAGTTTAATGTTGAAATAAATCTGCAACAAGTGATATGACATGTATTTTAAAGTGTGTATGTTGTTAGGGCCCCTCAGAAATTATCCCAGTTGCCCATTTCCTTACTACCTCTGCTTTGCACATTGGCCAGGTGAATCCAATATCCAAATGCTCAAACAATTGAGATTATAAGCATTCCAGGAAGAATGTAAAAATGAATAGAGTCCCTGAGTTTATTGTGTCAAATAATGTCTCTTTATAACAATAGAAACCAAATGAATGAAAGAAACAAAATACGCCTTTAAGAATATTTAAAGCTGTAGAAATAGCAGCTGGTGAAAACAGCATAAGGAATGGGGGAAGGGGTACAGGTAAGTCTATTAGTAAGAAACAAACAGCTGCATTATCAATTTATTATAATAGTGTAGTGTTATTAGTTTGCATTCCTACAATATAGTGTATAGGATGATTTGGGTAGCTAGAGAAAATCTGGAGTGTGGGACACTGTGGACCATGATGGAGTGCACTTTAGATAACAAGAAGACAGGGAAAGATTTCTGAGAAAAAAAGCAGAAGAAAGGGACAGGATGGTTTTTTCAGAAATGAAAGGGAACATAACAAAGAAAAGTAAAGTATTTTGAATTTTTGACTAGTGCCAGTCCTCTCAGTTCACTGAACACCTTTCTATCTATACCTATATTCAACTTTGTCTTGAGTATTAAGACAAGGCAAGTGGCAAAGAGCAAATAGCTGTGTGTTGGAGTGGGTGGTGGCAAGCACTTACAGTAATCTGGGACAATTGGGCTGAACTTTATTATTAAACGTTTCTAGATATCCTAAAATTAAACTCTTGGTTTATAAAATAGCTGTAGGTGTGTGTGTGGGGGGGTGTGGACAGAGAAGAGTCTTGAATTAATACCTAACCTGCATTTTTTCCTCATTTTGAGACTCAGTCCAGCAGGGATTAACATCCAGGTTTTGGAATTAGACCTTGCTTTGGATTCTGGCTCTTCTGTTTTAAGTCTGAGTTAATACATCTTAGAATGGACAATAAGAGAATCTTTCTTAGAGTTACAATGATGACTAAAAGAGATAACACATACAAAGTGTTTCTCTCACAGTGCCTATAACATGGTAATGGTCAATAAATGGTACACATTATCGTTTATTGTTATTATCTGTCAGGGTTGTTAGGGGGATTGGGATCAGGTGATAAAGAGGACTTCCACTTTAAAGTTAACGCAGGTGGATATATGAGCGACCTACTTCTTATTAGATGGCAACCAAATCAACTCAGGAATTGAATCCCCCCTCCCTCGCCCCACCACAAACCAAGTTTAGAACCTATTCTGATGTATCCAGCCCAAATGATGGAAAACTGAGAGGTGAGAACAGATCTTGGGTACCTCTGTTTACTGTAAATAGCTTGCTCTGTTTAAAAGAGGTAAAACTGCATGAGGAGGGTGGATTCCTTTGGAGCGTGTTAGGAAGGAAAGAAGTCTGGGCATGGGCAGGTTTGGAATGTTATGACTATGAGTGGCCTATGAGTAACTAGTTTGAGGTATGAGTTGGAGACTACAGCTGACTTTAGATAGAGGCTCATGGAATTGAGCTATGAGAGGGAACTTTTAAGCATATATACAAGATATATGGCAGAATGAGCCAGAAGCCAAATGTTCTAACCTAATCTCTATGTCACCTAGTTATCACATGGGAAGTTTTCTTTGTCGATCAAATCTGGTCATCAAGATGTCTTTGCTGGAGGCCCCCTATGCAAGGGTGGTGAAAAGTAACTGGAAACATGATCGGAATAAATAGAGTTTGAGTTGTGTCTAGTGATGCATTCAGCACTTTTCTACAGAGCACAAAAAGATACCCTGTCTCTTGGTGTGTGATGGAACAGTCTTGAGAAGTGAGTATGGCTTACACCCATCCTAACTTCCACCTCCAGGGCTTCTCAGGGCAGGCCAAAGGGCATAAAATGAAACCTTTCACTGAGCAGGGCACTCTATTTTATGGGGATATCTGGCAGAAGAAAATGAATAAATCTTAAGGATCAGGAAATGCTTGGGTTTCCAAGTTGATCCTTGTGACTGACATCAGTGGAAATGTACCCCAATTCAGGTTGGCCCATTTGGGGACCCCCAAATTATTCTCATTCATTACAGTCAAAGAAAAGAGTATTTATCACAGGACTTCTCTCATACACACCCCTTGCTTTTGTCTGATAAATTAATGAGAAGTATTATATGCAGGTTGAAGCTTGGGAGATATTAAGACACAGCTCTGGATGTTTGAGTTGAGATGGATCTTAAAAACTATCCAGCTCTTTTAATTCTCCAGCATGCAAACAAAATGTAGTGGGACTTCTTGGCCTCCATAATCAAGTGAGTCAATTCCCATAATAAATCTTCTCTGATATATCTACTAGATACATCCTGTTGGTTCTGTTTCTTTAGAGAACACTGACTAATAAAGTGTACATCTGTCAAAATTTACAATATTAAAAAATAAAACTAATAATTCTAAACAGTATGTTTATTAGAAATAAGAATCAACTAATTAAATGTTAACATAAATTACATTTTTTGTGATAGCATAAGATATTTTATGGAAAATAACTCTATTTTCCAAAAAAAACCTAAGGGACAAGAATGGCATTGTTCCATATTTTTAAAATGTTTAACTTCATAGGAGATAGCTGTATTCTTACATCTGCTTCTACATTAATTTTGTTGTAATTTGCTATTATGAATGAAGTGTATAAAGAAAATCCAGCCTCACATAAATATGCAGATGGAAAAAGAGTATTTAATAGCTATCTGATATAATTATTTGATACTACACTAAAAGTCAAGAGGTAGCGTTATGAAGGTTAGTTGCAATATGAAATATAAAAGAATACATTTTCATGTACTGTTATGTTAAAGTCTATTGATTTGTCTTTACTGTGAATATATATTTTATTCATGTGTGCTTTCATAATATCATGCTATGGTCATTTGAAAAATATTAATCCACTGACTTCTGCAGATCTTCCAAATGTTTATACATTTTGTTATAAGATGTCAAGAAATCTCTTTTGCTAATATCACCACCAATCTGAAAAAATAAGTCTTTAATTATTGGGTAACTTTCAAGCTTTTGGTACTGCATACAAGTTTTCTAACTTTTGCTTGTGTGCTCAATTTTATCATTGTCAACAAATTTCTCAGTTTTTTTCAGTGAAATGCTGGGCTCAATGTGCTCTAGTATGAAACTGAAGGGTATATACGTATTTCTCAATTTGTCATAAAGAGTATTAAAAATACAAATACTAAGGATTTAAGATGTAATGAAATTAATCATTTTTCAGCTCATTAAGAACCTTCCTAAGTGAATTTGACTTTTTAATATTGTGACTGGGTAACAGTAAAATATATATATATATATATATGACTATCAGCACAATTTGTTGTGGCTTCCTAAAACACCAGAGTTTTACCCAGATTTATTTTGCACCATCAAAAGTAGAGTTTGGAAAATAACTCTATTTTCTTTAGCCTCCCCTCCTTATTACCCTTCTCAGCCTCTGGTAACTTCTATTTATATTCAATGTACCCATTAATTCAATTTTGATTTTTCTAATTCATGAACACTGAATATCTTTCTATTTTTGGTGTCCTCTCCAATTTCTGTCATCAGTGGTTTATGCTTTTATTATAGAGATCTCTCTCAACTCTTTGGTTAAGTTTATTCTCATGTATTTTAATTTTTGTAACTATTATAAATGGTATTGATTTCCTAATTTCTTTTTCAGGTTATTTACTTTTGGTATATAAAGTGCTATGGATTTTTGTGTTTATTTTGTATACTACAAGTTTATGGAATTTGTTTCTCAGTTCCATTTTTTTGACAGAGTCTTTAGGGTTTTCTAAATATCAGAGTATATCATTTGTAAACAAGAACAGTTTAACTTCTTTTCCAATTTTCATGTCCTTTATTTCTTTTTTTTTTTGCTTTTTTTTTTTAAAAAAAATCAACTTATTTAGTGGTACATGTGTAGGCTTGTTATATTTGTATATTGCATGACGGTGAGGTTTGGGATACAATTAATCTCATCGCCTAGGTACTGAGGGTACTGAGCATAATACCCAACAGTTGCCAATAGTTTGTTTTTCAACTTTTGCCCCCCTCTCTTCCTCTCCTCTCTAGCAGTCTGCAATATCTATTGTTGCTATTTTTTATGTTCACAAGTATTCAATGCTTAGCTACCACATATAAGCGAGAACATGAGGTATTTTGTTTTTAGTTCCTGTGTTACTTTGCTTAGGATAATGGCCTCCAGCTGCATCCATGATGTTGCAAAGGACACGATTTTATTCTTTTTTATGGCTGCCTAGTATTCTGTGATGTACATGTACCACATTTCCTTTATCTAATCCACCATTGATGGGTACTTAGGTTGATTTCATGTATTTTCCATCGTGAATAGTATCACAATGAACATATAAGTTCATGTGCTTTTTTCATAGAATGATTCATTTCCCTGTGGGCATATATCAGTAGTTCTGTTTCAAGTTATTTGAGAAATCTCCAAACTGTTTTCTATGGTGGCTGAAGTAATTTACATTCCCACAAATAGGGTGTACATGCTCCCTTTTCTATGCAGTCTTGCCACCATCAGTTGTTTTTTGACTTTTTAATAATAGTCATTCTGACTGTTGTGGAATGGTGTCTCATTGTGGTTTTGATTTGCATTTCTCTGATGATTAATGATGTCGAGCATTTATTCATATGTTTATTGGCCACTTATATATCTTCTTTTGAGAAGTGTCTGTTCATGTATTTTGCCCATTTTTTAATTGGGTTCCTTTTTGCTTGTTGAATTTATTAAGTTCCTTATAGATTCTGGGTATTAGACCCTTGTGAGATGCATAGTTTATGAATATTTTCTCCCGTATGTAGGTTGTCTGTTTACTCTGTTGATAGTTTCTTTTGCTGTGTTTATTTCTTAGTTGTCAATTTTTTTTCTGTTGCAATCTTTTTTGAGTACTTAGTTATAAATTATTCTCCAAGGTCAAAGTCCAGAATGGTGTTGCCTACATTGTCTGTTAGGATTATTATAGTTTTAGGTTTGACATTTAAGTCTTTGATTCATCTTGAGTTAATTTTTGTATACGGTGAAAGTAGGGGTCCAGTTTCATTCTTCTGCATATAGCTAGCTAGCTATCCTAGCACCATTTTTTGAATGGGGAGTCCTTGCTCCATTGCTTTTGTGGTCAATTTTGTGAAAGATCAGAGGGTGTGTGGCTTTATTTCTCGGTTCTCTATTTTGTTCCATTGGTCTATGTTTATGTGTTTGTATCAATACCATAATGTTTTGGTTACTGTAGCCTTATATTATAAAGTCAAGTAACTTGATGTCTCTGGCTTTATTCTTTTTGCTTAAGATTGTTTTAGCTATTTGTGCTCTTTTTTGATTCCATATACATTTTAGAATGATTTTTTCTAGTTATGTGAAAAATGATATTGGCAGGCTGATAGGAAGCATTAAATATGTAGAGTGCTTAGAATAGTATGGCCATTTTAATGATATTTATTCTTTCAATCTATGAGCATGGAATGTTTTTCCATTTGTTTGTATAATCTGTAATTTCTTCCAGCAGTGTTTAATAGTTATTCTTGCAGAGATCATTCACCTCTTTAGTTACATGTGTTCCTAGGTTTTATTTTGTGGCTATTGTAAATGGGATTGCATTCTTTATTTGGCTTTAGGCTTGAATGTTATTGGTATATAAAAATACTATTGATTTTTCACATTGATTTTGTATCACATGGCTTTACTGAAGGGGCTTATCTGTTCAAGGAGCCTTTTGGAAGAGACTTTTTAGGATTTCCTAGGTACAGGAATTTTATCATCAGTGAAAAGAGATAGTTTGACATCTTTTCCTATTCAGATGCCTTTTATTTCTTTCTCTTGCCTGATTGCTCTGGTCAGCACTCATAGTACTATGTTGTATAGAAGGTGAAAGTAAGCATTCTAATCTTTCTGTTTCTCAAAAGAATTGTTTCGAGTTTTTGCCCATTCACTGTGACATTTGCTGTGGGTGTTTCATAGATGGCTCTTATTATTTTGATGTATGTTCCTTTGATGCCTAGTTTGTTGAGTGTTTTTATTATGTATGAATGAAGTATTTTATCAAAAGCTTTTTCTGCAAATATTGAGATGATCATACAGCTTTGGTTTTAATTCTGTGTATGTGATGAGCCACATTTATTGATTTGTGTATGCTGAAACAAACTTGCATCCCAGGAATAAAGCCTACTTGGTGATGGTGAATTAACTTTTTGATGTGCTGCTAGATTTGGTGTGCTAATATTTTGTTGAGGACGTTTGTGTCTATGTTCATTAGAGATATTAGCTCATAATGTTATTCTTTCAATGTGTCTTTGCTTGGTTTTGCTATTAGGGTGATGCTGGCTTCACACAATGGGTTAGACAGGATTTCTTTTTCCTGTTATTTTGAAATAGTTTCAGTAGAATTGGTACCAGCTCTTCTTTGTACATCTGATACAATTCTCTTGTGAATCCATCTGGTCTAAAAATTTTTTTGGTTTGTAAGTTTTGTTTTTAATTACTGATTCAATTTTGGGCCTTGATATTGGTTTATTCAAGGTTTTAATTTCTCCCTGACTCAATCTTGGGCAATTGTCCGTTTCCAGAAATATATCAATTTCCTCTAGATTTTCTAGTTTGTATGCATAGAGGTGTTCATAATAGTCTCCAAGTGATCTTTTATATTTCTGTTGGATTGATTCTAATATCCCCTTTGTCATTTCTAATTGTGTTTATTTGGATCGCTCTCTTTTTTTCGCTTGTTAATCTAGTTAGTAGTCTATCAGTCTTGTTTATCCTTTCAAACAACCAATTTTTTTGTTTTACTGATTCTCTGTACAGATTTTTAGGTCTCAATTTTGTTAAGTTCTGTTCCAGTTTTGGTTATTTATTTTATTTTGCTAACTCTGGCATTAGTTTTGTGTGTGTTTTTCTAGTTCCTCTAGATGTTGTAGTGGGTTGTTAACTTCAGATCTTTCAAACTTTTTGAGGTAAGCATTTAGCACTATAAGCTTTCTTCTTAAGAGTTATTTTGCTGTATCCCAGATATTTAGGTATGTTGTGTCTCTGTTTTCATTTATTTCAAAGAACTTATTTCTGCCTTAGTTTTGTTGTTTACCCAAAAGTAATTCAGGAGAAGGTTGTTTAGTTTCCATGTAATCGTATGTTTTCTGGAGATATTCTTGGTATTGCTTTATATTTTTATTCCACTGTGGTTCAAGACTATGGGTGATATAATTTTGACTTTTTTTGAATTTATTGATGCTTGCTTTATGGCTGAGCATGAGATCAATCTTGGAGTATATTTTTTGTGTAAATCAGAAGAATGTGTTTTCCATGGTTGATGGGTGGTGATATGGTTTGGGTGCTCATCCCATTCAAATGTCATGTTTAAATGTTATTCCCAATGTTGGAATTTGGGCGTGGTACAAGATGATTGGATCCTGAGAACAAATTCTGGTGAAAGGAAAATAAATCTTGGGGCCCCCAAATTACTAAGCTAAGAAGAAAAGTCAAGCTGGGAACTGATTAGAGCCAACCTGCCTCCCATTCTATTCAAGGTCACCACTCTGCTCACTGAGATAAATGCATATCTGATTGCCTCCTTTGGAGAGGCTAATCAGAGACTCAAAAAAATGCAACCATTTACCTCTGATCTACCTATGACCTGGAAGCCCCCTCACCACTTCGAGTCTTCCCACATTTGCTTTGAGTTTTCCCGCCTTTCTAGACAGAATCAATGTTCATCTTGCATATGTTGATTGATGTCTCATGTCTCCCTAGAATGTATAAACCAAATTGTTCTCTGACCACCTTGGGTACATGTTGTCAGGACCTCCTGAGGCTATGTCATGGATGTGCATCCTCAACCTTGGCAAAATAAACTTCCTAATAAACTGTGACCTGTCTCTGATTTTGGGGATTCACAGTTTCTAAATCAAGCCATTTCTGCTTTAATACTTGGTGCTTCTGAAATAGCAGCAATTTGTCCTAGCTGAAATATAGTAATGAGATTTAAAACATTTTTTTAAAAGGAGCTCAGTTGTTAAAAGTCAGCTTAATTAAAGGCTAACATCCAAGATGAGTGTGTGTGTGTGTGTGTTTGTATTTAAAAGGTCTTCATGTTTTGTTTATATTTTCTCTTTTTGGACCTTGTCTTTTTCGGAGCAAAAGTTCTTTTTCTTCTCAGTTGACTTAATTCTGTTTTCTTCATTAATAACTATTGCAACAGAGGCTACTCTGGGGATTTTTAAGAAAGAGGGTACTTCAGACACTTAGAAATGTCTTTGTTTAAAAAAAATTTTTTTAAGTGCATTGTAAAAATATCACACAGTCTAATCTCAAAATAATTCTCCCATTTTGGAGATCCAGGATTCAGTGTGGGCTCTACCCAGAGCTCAGAGATCCAGTTAAAAGATAGGTAGTCTCCATCTAAATAAAATTGGTCTCCTTATACAATTATATGATAGATTTCTATAATTTTATGTTTGACTTGGCATCCATCTTTAATCTTTCTCCAGCACCACCAGACTTTTTCTCTGTGTACCTTATGATGTAAATTTTGCTATTTAATTTTCACTTGAGTTGTTTCCTTTAATATGCAAATTTAAGGCTATTTAGCTGACAACTGCCTAGGCTTCTGAAGCAGGTTATCAAGAATCTGAAAGCTTAAGATAGGAAGAAAAGTCTTTAGGAATCTATAAGGTGTACTTTCTATCAGCATACATCTATGTATTTATGTGTTGTGTACACAAAGATTCACTACTGAAAATATATAAAAGAACTCTAATTAAATGGCTTAAAGAAAAATAAAAGTGATTATATCAAATACTTTATCAAAAAACGAAAGACTATTCAAATGTACTTTCAAGTTTACATGACTTAAGTAAAATTTTTAATAAATCAGCTAGCTTTAAAATTATTGGTAAAGTAATATTATAAATGTATTAAGAATTGCTAGCATACAGTTTTGTTTGCAATTATTAAGGAATTTCATACTTATCCCTGCCAAATACTATAAGGTGTCAAAATTTGGCATAGTGGTTACAAAACTATAAACCTAGCCCAAGACAGAATAATCTTTGCTTGTATAATCTTTAATAAATAAAACATTCATATTAGTTTAATAAAAATAGAACTATAAACTAAATTCCTCCCAAAGTCCAGGAATCAACAAGGACAGGTTGGAGGTTAGAAGCAAGATGGAGTCACTTAGGTCATATTTTTTCCATTGTCTCAGTTAGAATTTTGCAGTGGTGAGCTTCAAACTTTAAATGATGACTATCACAGTTTTTATAAATAATCTAGATAAATGAATAAAATAAAATAATTAGATAAATGTAATGGAATACAGACAAATGTGTCAGAATTTAGAATCTGAAGTTATATTAAGTTAAATAATAAATATCTTATTATTTGGGTATTTTCCAATAAAAATATATTGTAGGAAAACATTCTTTTTTTAAAAATTTCCTTTTTAAAAAGGTGAACAATTTTTATCTAATTTAAAGCTTATTTAAAGGTTATGTATAAAACAAGGTAAAAGGAACCAGGAAATATGAGACATGTAAAGAAAGTTATAGAAACAAAGAGGTATCTTTGGTAAGAACACTTAAAGAGAAATAATTTTATATGAGAAAGAATCTTGTATGGTAAATTTAGACCTAGAATAAAATGACTAGTTGTTTTTCACAATAAAAGGATTCATAAAAAATAAAACAAAACAAAAACTTTTGGGGATTCAGCCCAGGTACTCGTGTGAGCTGCTGCTCCTGTGGTTCATGAGATCGCCTGGGTCTAGAGTGTGGAGCTCCTCCGTGACAGCGAGGACATCACCATGCCTAAAGCATCAAAGGGAAAAAGTGCAGGACCGGAAAAAAAAAAGTAACCCATCCATTTAGTAGAAAAGCAGCTCAAATTACGAGAGAGGCCCACAAACAAGAAAAACAGAAAATTGAAGAATGAAAAAGCCTTGTGTGAGGCTTTTTTCAACCTTATTTGTGAAAACCTGCAGTGGTTTCAAAATCATCTTGATCCCCCAAAAAAGGGATATTTAAAGAAAGATGCTTGTGAACTAATTGAAAGATATTAAAATCGATTCAGCAGTGAGCTGGAGCAGACTGAGTTACGTAACAGTATCAGGGACAGGCAGGGGAGGTGGCACTGTTCCCGGGAGACTGTCAATAAGCAGACGATGGAGCGGGAGTGAGAGCAGTATGAAGGATATGGTCTTGAGATTCCAGACATTCTAAATGCAAGTAACCTGTAAACGTTTAGGGAATGTGACTTTAATCTGAAGAAATTGCCAAACACTAACATAAGAAAAACTTGTGCTAATGATGCAATTCCCAAGAAGTGCAAGAGGAAAACTATTATAACTGTAGACCAAGATTTAGGGGAATTGGAACTTAACAATGAATCAAGTGACTCCGATGAGGAAATGACTGCAGTGGCATAATTGTCTTTGCTTGAATTAAAAATAAATAATTTAAGAGCTGCAAATTATATTCATTCATTATGGTATGTAATTGTCAAGATAAAATAATTTCATATTGACATTCATTTATATGATGAGAGTTTAATTTGTAGTTTCAAAAATGGTGTTATGATATTTATTTTAAAATGAAGGTTGCTTTTCATTAAGTTGCTAAAATAGATAGACATGATCTACAAAAGCTGTTTAATCTTTTTCGTCTGAATTTTGGGCCGGAAGGGAGCAATATAACTAAGGACAAAAAATGTTTTGTTTTTCTTGTGTATTTATGATCACCTAATTTCACATTTTGGGAAATGGACAGTAACCTGTTTCCTAAAAGATTCCTGTGGGTACTTTTTGAACTTTGATAATAGCAAAATTGTCTTTCAGTAATGTCACACTAATCCTTCTTTTAAGCATGAAATCCATTTTCCTTTTTTACAAAATAAGGGAAAATGTGATAAGAAATTTGTATACACTGGTGCATTATAGATTATTATTTATCATCTGAATGAGAGTTAAATGGTAAAAAAAAATCAGTGATGATTGTTATGTTGATCTTTCACAATTAATTTACCTTTTAACAAAGGGGATAAAGAGTTTCAGTTTACCTCCTTTTAATTGTATAATTTTTTTTGCTTTTTTATTGTGAAAAGTGATAGGTTTTATTTGTGGAGAGAGAACTAAAGATCAGAGAACCAGTGATTTTAATTATGTTACTTTTTCTTCTAAGAGATAAATTAAATTGACATATAATTCAGTATTTTCAGTATCATGAAAAGCATGAATGTTGTATAATTTTCTTCCTCAAAAAACTCGTTAAATGCAAGTATCCTTAACATGTTTTTAAAGGAGCACAATGCAGGTGTATTTGAGTATTTTCAAGAAAAGAATAAAAACATCAATACTGGATTAGGTTAACTGGGTGTCAACTAAGTCTTATTAACAGTTTACTTAAAGTATTATAACTTTTCTTTACTTCTGAAAATTACAAATAAAATTTATTTCTGCAAACAAAACCTTTTATATGATCCAGTTGTCTATAATTCAAGGGAAATAATAATGGTCTTTCTAGAGATTGGGTTTGATGTAAAGAAAAACTACTTATACACTAAAGAATTAATTAGAAAAATAAATTTCCTTAAGTTATTTATTTACTCTTAATAAATTTTAAGATATTTTAATTTTTTTACTGCAAAGTTCAACTTTTATTGCGTTTCACCAATTTTCATTTTCTTCTCCCTTCTTTTAAAAGGCACGAAATAATAGCGCTCTCCTTCAACTTATTTTCAGCTCATGTAAGATTTTTTCCCCTCAAGTTCTGTTTGTTGTGGCCTGAAGTTAACCATATTTTCTTAAAGATCTCAAGGAAATGTTTTCTTCCAACATAATATTCTGTACACGGCAAAAGGTCTTTTGTTTTGCCTTTTGGTAACTGGTCTAACAGATTTTACATTTTATCAAAATAATTCCTATGCCACTATTATTAAGTTTTGGTTTGCTTAGAAAAAAAGTGAGATTAAAATTTTTTTTAGGTTAGAGTTATTTTATTTTTGTGTGTTTCCTGTATGTGCTTTTTTTTTTTTTTTTTTTTTTTTGAGAAGGAGTCTCCCTCTGTCACCCAGGCTGGAATGCAATGGCACAATCTCAGCTCACTGCAACCTCTGCCTCCCAGTTTCAAGTGATTCTCCTGCCTCAACCTCCCAAGTAGCTGGGACTACAGGCACGGGCCACCACACCCAGCTAATTTTTGTATTTTTAGTACAGATGTAGTTTCACCATATTGGCCAGGCTGGTCTCAAACTCCTGACCTCATGGTCCACTCACCTCGGCTTCCCAAAGTGCAGGGATTACAGGCATGAGCCAACATGCCCAGCCTTCTATATGTGCTTTTAAAGTACTTGTGACATTAAGTTACAGGGCTTTGAATCCTGGGTCTAAAATTGGCACCAAGTACTGCTAACTCTTCAACACTGACAGCAATTAAAGACTCATCTTCAGGCCCCATAAAAGATGCCAATCAAAATAAACTGCATTTCTGAGACACAGGTTCAGAAATTAAAACTATTCAACTCCTCAAGTCCCAGGGACCATCATGGAAGAGGGGGGAATGTGAGATTGTAAGGGCTAATTTTGAGAGATAAAATAAGTTCAGTTTCTCCACAAATTAATCATTAATGTGAAAGAGACATGGATTCAAGATCAGCATATGGGTCCCTGTGTCACATAAATAGGGTTTTCTTGAAGCAGTAAGTGACTCATAAATAAAGGTTGTAAAGGTTATAAAGGGCTCATAGAAGTTATGTCTTATGGGCAAGATTAAAATTTTATAGATTGTTTATATAATTTTGAAAAACAAATTTAATTGGCTTTATGATGTTTTTATTAGGGCTTATTATTTGGAAAATTAAGTCTCCTCTCTAAAAGAATAAAGGTTTTCACCTTTTTTATGAAACCCTTGAGTTATCACTTTGGTCAAATGAATGACTTATTTTACAATGATCTATGATATCAAGTGTTTTAAACGTTTGATATTTGATGAACTTTCTAAAATCAGATTATAAATTGTTTTCTTCTGATTTAATTAATCCTTTGAGATATTAGGTTTCCTAAAGTCCAAAAATGAAATAATTTGGCTAATTTGCCATAAAAATTATACACGAAACATTGTCAATTATGAATTAGTGTTTGAGTTTTTAATGGTATATTTGTATAAATATGCTATTGAAATGTGTTCCAAAATCACGGGAGACACATATAATTCTGCTATGACTTAGTATACATTATCAGCAATAATTATAATTATGTTAAATTGTTGTGTGCCACAAAGATAACAGATTTCCTTGTCAATTGTGTCTTTGACTATGGCTGCCCTAAAACCTTTTGTCATCCATGGCCGATTTTTGTCTTGCTTTGATCTTCTTTAGAAGGTGATTTTATAATCAACTACAGAAATACAAAAGGTGTTCTTAAATGCAGGTTTCTGATAACTTTGAAGATTATAACATTAGAATAAAGGAAAAAACTTTCAGGACTCTCATGGAGAGCTGAAATATTCATGAATATCAAGGAGAACAGGAGTTAACTGTGTGAACTTAACTAATAGAAGACTAAAGCAACCTTTTTAAATTTGTTTTTCAGAGTCAAGAAAACTTTTAAGCTATTTGCAGCTTTTATCAATTGAGTAAAGTACACTCCTATGAATAAAATTTGGAGCATATTTGTTTCTCTCTACCTGATTTCTCTAGAATTTGGAAACTATTTGTGAGAATTCTTAACTTATGACAATACAGTTATTTGCATAAGTGCAATAAGAATTTGTTTTCTTTTGTAACAGGACACAATTAGATAAACTGGTTATTTTCCCAAGGCTTTGACTGGAATGGTATACTTTCCTTTAAGGAATCAAACTTGACTTATGGAGCCAATTGGCTCCATAAAAAAGCCCCTTGGAAAAACTGGCCTCATATCTTTTTCTATACAGCACCTGTACAGGGTTCCTGACCTGTGATGAGTAAAGAATATCATTTTCTGACAGACCCAGGAGCCCCAAGTATATCTAAGAACCTCATCTGGGGAGGATCACCCAACTCATAGGTATTTGGTGGCACAAATCCATGGCTGGGCTCAGCTTTAAAAAAGACTTATCTGAAGTTTCTTCTATGAAACAAAGTTCCATCAAAGCCAATTTAAAAGCCTATGTAAAAAATACTTATTCTTGCTGTACTGTATACAAATAATTAGGCCAAGTACAATAAAGCAAACCAGTCTTATCGTGATTTGTCTTCAGTAAATATGAGAAAGTGAAGAGAGAAAAATTATGTTTCAAAAACTATAGTACACCTGCTGTTAGATTCTGGTCTTGTCCAATATTTTTCCATTTTTATTATTTTCTACAGTTTGGACTGAATTCTAATTTTTGTTGGCTACAAGTTTTCAAAATAATGTTTTCAATTTTTTTCCCTTACTTTTTTTCCTATTTTTTCTAATTTGGAGTCACTGAAAACTAAGCTGTGATTTCATAAAGCCCTGCAAACTGAAGCTAGACAACTTAATATTCAGAAGAAAATAATAGCAACTTATTTACATAAATAAGCCACTTTCATATCTGCCTCCTGATGTATGGACTTCAGAGTAATGTGGCCTATATAGATTTTCTAGGATTGTTCTTTTGTTGTTTTTCTTTTTTCTTCCCCTATTTTCTCTTCACAGGACATGAGACTTCACAACCTTCTAAAAATGACATTTTCTAATGCCTCAAGACTTACCTGTCTAGGAGTAAACCATCCTAACCATGATGGATCAGTTGAAACCTGAAACCAGAGACTCATTTTGTTCTAAAAGAATCTCCAAAAGATTTTAAAAAAAGAAAAAAAGGAAAATGTGAAAGAAAAATAAATCTTGGGGCCCCCAAGTTACTAATCTAAAGGAAAAAGTCAAGCTGGGAACTGCTTGGGGCCAACCTGCCTCTTGTTCTATTCAAAGTCACCCCTCTGCTCACTGAGATAAATACATATTTGATTATCTCTTTTGGGGAGGCTAATCAGCAACTCAGAAGAATGCAAAAATTTGTCTCTTATTTGCCTATGACATGAAAGCACCCTCCCCACTTTGACTCTTTCTGCCTTTGCTTTGAGTTGTCCCACCTTTCCAGACTGAACCAATGTTCATCTTGCATATGTCTCATGTCTCCCTAGAACCTATAAAACCAAACTGTGCTCTGACCACCTTGGACACATGTTGTCCGGACCTCCTGTGGCTGTGTCACAGGTGTGCCTCCTCAACCTTGGCAAAATAACCTTCTTAAATTGCCCGAGACCTGTCTCAGGTTTTTGGGATTCACATTCCTCATAAATTTTTTAGTGCCAAGTCATGTGACTTAGTTAGTTCATGTGAGATCTGCTTGTTTAAAAGAGTCTGGGACCACTCCATTCTCTCTCTTGCTTCCACTCTCACCATATGATATGTCACCTTCTCTTTTCTTTCACCATAATTGTAATCTTCCCGAGGCCTTTGCCAGAAGGAGATGCTGGGGCCATGCTTGTACTGCCTGTAGAACCATGAACTAATTAAACCTCTTCTCTTTATAAGTTATCCAGCTTCGTGTTTTTTTTTTTAATAGCAATATCAGAATGTATTGACAAAGAAAATTGGTACTGAGAATAGGGTGTTGCTATAAAGACATTTGAAAATGTAAAAGCAACTTTGGAGATAGGTAACAGGCAGAAATTAGAAGAGTTTGCAGGGCTCAGAAGAGATAGGAAATGGCAGAAAAGTTTGGAACGTCTTAGAGCCCTGATAAAAGGTTGGGACCAAGATGCTCATAGGGATACGGACAGTGCAGTCCAAAATGATGAGATCTCAGATGAAAATAAGAAAGTTATTAGGAAGTAGAGTAAACGTTCCCCCATGTTATGCCCTAGCAAAATGCTTGGATGCATTGTGTCACATCCTAAGGACCTCTGGAAGTGAGAGGAGGTGCCAGCTGGGCTTTCTGGGTCGAGTAGGGGTTCAGAAAGCTATGAAACTCACTCATTTCCTGCATGAAGACTTACTTCAGTCCTGGATGAATAATATTGAAAATTTATGCTTAAAATATTCCTAACACCAGGATTTGTGCATGTGTTTTCTTCCCCAAGAAAGCTATAAACAGAGAAAATTTTGCTGTTAAGTTTCTCTGTCGTCTCTCCCTCTCCCCCTTCCCCCTCCCTCGAAACTAAAGTAAAAGAAATGTTAACTGCCTGTTTTTCTGTGACCAGGGGACCTTATCTATATTCCCAATTCCAATTCCTTGTAAACATACTTTGTAAAGTCCTGTAAGATCCTGTCTCCTTTGCCAGGCTGCTGCAAGGTCATAAGATAAGATAAAAGGTCAACTTAGATAAAACCTAAGTTGCAATTCCAGTTTTCCTCAAAATCTAAGACATGGCACAAAATAATTTACTGCCTTTGTTTCTTGCTCTGGTAACATCTTCCCGCCACTCGTATTTCCCGCCTAAAAGAGTTTAAAAGGCAATCACCCAAAACCACCAGTGGCTACCCATTCGGGACCCCTTCCATGCTGTGGAAGCTTTGTACTCTTGCTCTGCTCAATAAAACCTACTGCTCACTCTCTCTCAGTCTGAGTCTCTATCACTCACTGTGGTCAGCCACAACCCCAATTCTTTGGCATGGCTAGGCAAGAACCTTAGGTGTTACAGAAGGTTGAAGTTAAGAGTGATGACCTATGGTATCTAGTAGAAGAAATTTTAAAGCAGCAAAACATTGAAGAATTGGTGTGGCTACTTTTAATTGCCTATGATCAGATGCAGAAGCAAAGGAATGACTTAAAATTTGAACATATATTTACATATATACATATTTTTTTGAGGTGGAGTTTCACTCTTGTTGCCCAAGCTGGAGTGCAATGGTGTGATCATGGCTCACTGCAATGTCCGCCTCCTGGGTTCAAGTGATTCTCCTGCCTCAGCCTCCCAAGTAGCTGGGATTACAGGTGCCTGCCACCATGCCTGGCTAATTTTTGTATTTTTAGTAGAGACAGGCTTTCACCATGTTGGCCAGGATTGACCTCGTGATCTGCCTGCCTCGGCCTCCCAAAGTGCTGGGATTACAGGTGTGAGCCATAGTGCCCAGCTGAAACTTTTATTTTAAAAGGAAGCAGAGCATTAAAGTTTGGAAAATTTGTAGCTTGGTTCTTTGGCAGAGAAAGAATCCAAGCAGTGGGCAGAACAACCTGTTACTAGAGAGATTAGTATTACAAAAGGGAGCCAGGGGCTAACATCCAAGACAATGGCAAAAAGGCCTTTAAGACATTTCAGAAATCTCCAAGGCAGCCCCCCTTATCACAGGCCGAGAGGACTAGGAGGAAAGAATCATTTCAATGGCCAGGCCTGGGGTGCAGCTGCCCTGTGTTGCCTTGGGACAGTTCTCTCTAAATCCTGGCTACTCCAGCCACAGTCAAGGCTCAAAGGGTCCTAGATACAGCTCAGGCTGCTGCTCTGGAGAGCACAATTCATAGGCAGTGGCGGCTTCCACATGGTGTTAAGCCTGCAGGTGCACAAAATGCAAAAATGAAAAAGGCTTGATAGCTCCCACATAGTTTCCAGAGGATGTATGGGAAAGCCTGGGTATTCAGACAGAATTCTGCCACAGGGGCAGAGCCTTCACAGAGAAACTCTTCTAGGGCAGTACCAAGGGGATATGTGGGACTGGAGACTCCACGCAGAGTCCCCATCAGGGTACTGCCTAGAGTAGCTGTGGGAAGGGGGCTGCTACCCTCCAGACTCAAAGATGGTGAACTCACTATCGGCTCACAAACACAGAAGGCTTCAGGCTTGCAGCCCAAACTTTTGACTCCAGCCCATGAGAGCAGCCATGGAGGCTACACCCTTCAAAGTCACAAGGGTGGAGCTTCCCAAGGCCTTGGGAGCCCATCCCTCATACTACTGTGCTCTGGATGTGGGACCTAAAATCATTGTATCTTCCTTCCGTCCCCAACCCAGGGGTTATGACTGTGGAGAATGCTGGATAGGAGGATCTTTTCACTTTGCTTCTATAGCCACAGGTTTTGTATTGGGCTGTGCAATTTGACAGGCAAGCCAGTAGATGGCGCTTATGGATAAGAGCCAGCTGAGGGGAAATTGGCTGGGTGTACATTATACTTGGTCCTTGTCTGCTGGGAGTTCTCTATTACCTCAGGCAATAGGCTGATTCATGGAGTGCACAGGGTCTGAGCTTAGTTCCTTGCTCAGCCCTGTGTGGGGGAGGGGCCAAGGTGAGTAGGGCCTGACCATCTTGGTCTACCTACAGGTCCTCCAATTGCAGACAAGAGTACCAGCATCAAGAGAGACTTCAGTGGGCAGCCACTAAGCACCCAAAAGTTGTGCCTGGATGTGGAGCTAGGAAACACTTTCAACCCCAGTTCTCCACACAAGGAGGGTAGGGAAATTCCAGCTGCTAGTCCATGCAAGTGGGTGCTCCAAATGCCTGAAGATCTGCCTGGGCAAGGAGTGGAGAGGGCCTCCCTGCACCAGGCTCTCTGCACAGGAGGGGTAGGCTGACTCAGACTTCTGTTATGGGTGAGCAGGTGCTCCAAATGTCTGGAGATCTCCCTGAGCATGGCATAGAGAGGGCCCTCCTGCACCCAGATCTCTTCACAGAAAGGTGATGACTCAGGCTCCATGTCAGTGGGTGATCCAAATGCCTAAAGATCTGTTTACATGTACAGGAAAGAGGGACCCACTGTACCATGATCTATGCACAGAAAGAGTTGGCTGACTCAGGCTGCTGATTCAGGCAAGGAGGTGTTTTGAATTCCTGGAGATCTGCCTGAGTGTGGAGCAGAAATAACCCCACTGACCCACGATCTATATTCATGAAGAGTGTGGTGGCTCAGGCTGTGGGTCCATGCAATCAGGTTGTATTTGGGTTCTCTATATAGATAGAACTAATTGGAGATATATATATCCAATTATATATATAGTATTTTATATATAATAAACTCTATACTATATATATTGACTATATAATTAATAACCTGTTCTTTATATTTATAATGAGGAGTTTATTAAGTATTAATTACATTATCACAAGGTCCCACAATAGGCCATCTGCAAGCTGAGGAGCAAGAAAAAGCCAGTCGGAGTCCCAAAACTGAAGAACCTGGAGTCCATTGTTTGAGGACTGGAAGGGTCCAGCACAGGAGAAAGATGTAGGCTGGGAGGCTAGGCCAGGCTAACCTCTTCACTTTTCTCTGGCTGCTTTACCCTGGCCATGCTGGCAGCTGGTTAGAAGGTGCCCACCCACATTAAGGGTGGGTCTGCCTTTCTTACATTTCCCAGCCCACTGACTCAAATGTTAATCTCCTTTGGCAACACCCTCACAGACACACCCAGGATCAATACTTTCTATCCTCTGATCCAATCAAATTGACACTCAGTATTGACCACAACACAGGGGCTCTGAATGCCTAGATTTCTGCCTGGGGATGGAGTGGCGAGGACCTCACTGCACCATGATCTCAGGGCAGTAGACTGGGACACCAAGGAATGACAAATGCTGACCAGCACCAGGTCACCAAGCTGGCCCTGGCTGCAAATCTCATCACCCAAGAAAAACTGCAGATGAGACAGCTCTCCTGCGAAGCCAGGCCTGCAATGGGGAAGAACACAACTCCAGGGCCTACTGCTAAGGCACTTTTCACAGTTCTGGCTGTAGAGGCCTCTAACCCACTCCAGAGCAGGCTCTTAAATCTCTGGACAGAAATGAAAATGCCTGTGTGGCTATACTGCTGAGTCACCAAAGAATGGCTGACTTTATAAGCGCCCATGTTAAAAATGGCATCCTGCTCTTTGTCCTGGGTCTGAGAAAAATACTGTAGCTTTTCTTGGTGTCTCACTCTGTGTCTAAGCTTCTCCCCAAGTTATCTCCAGGGCTTGGGAGAAATAAAGTGCTCTCCCTCAGCCTGCGTTGCTTGGTCCCAGTAGAGTAGTGAGTCACAGAGGGAAGCTCTCTACCTCTCTCATGTCCTAAAGCTTTACTCACTTTTCTCAGCTGGACACCACAACAAGGGCTGTTCACCCACATTCTTCTCTCCAGGATCTGGGGTGTTCTTCATAATTCTGGTGGAGTCCCACATTCCTTCTTGAATTAAAGCTCACAGAGTTTATCTTTATTCACTATCTTGTTATTACCAAGTGGCTGAGGCATGCTAGAAACTTCTAATTCACCATCTTGGGGGAAAAAACAACAACAACAACAAACCACCTCTTTTATTTCTTTTTCTTGCCTAATTGCTCTGGCTGGGACTTCCTATACTATGCTAAATAAAAAGTGGTAAAAGTAGCATTCTTGTCTGGTTCCTGATATTAGAGAAAAGGTTTTCAATCTTTTTCTATTCAGGATTATGCTAGCTCTGCACTTGTCATACTTTGCCTCCACTGTTCCTTCTACTGGAGGGCTTCAAAAAAGTTCACAGAAAATGCATGTTATATATACAAAAAAAAAAAAAAAAAAAAAAAAAACTATGACAGGGCCAGGTATGGTGGCCCACTTTGGGAAGCTGAGGCTGGAGGATTGCTTGAGCCCAGGAGTTCAAGACCAGCCTAGGTAACATGGCCAAACCCCATCTGAACTAAAAATACGAAAATTAGCTGAGCATGGTTGTGCGCACCTGTAGCCCCAGTTGCTTGGGAGGCTGAAGTGGGAGGATTGCTTAAGCCCAGGAGGTTGAGGCTGCAGTAAACTGTGATCACGCCACTGCCCTCCAGCCTGGGTGACAGAGAGAGACCTTGTCTCAAAAACAAAACATAACATAACAAAAAGTAAGCACGGAACTTACATTTTCTTGGCACTAAAATCAACTTACACTAACTTGTTATAACATGTATGAAAAGGATCTACTTTGACGCACTAAGTAGGATGAAACATCAGTTTGGAAACAGCCCCTATCAGAGCAACATGCACTTTGGTAAATTTGAAGCAAAAACAAAAACCAAATTTAAAATGATGCTTGAGTGGAAGAATGATTAAATCATTCATGCTTTATGAAAAGTTTATAGAATAATGACGTCCCAAAATTAGCAGCTTATAAATGGGTAACTTGTTTTAAGAAGGTATTAGATGATGTAAAAGATGAAGCCCACACTGGCAGACCATCCACATAAATTTGTGAGGAAAAAGTAATCTTGTTCATGCCTGAACTAAAAAGGACCAACAATTCACAGCAGAAACAGTAGCCAACACCGTAGACATCTCAATTGATTCAACTTTCATGATTCTGACTGAAAAATTAAAGTTGAGTAAATTTTTCTCTTCAAGGATGCCAAAATTATTGCTCCCAGTTCAGCTGCAGACAACAGCAGAGCTTCCAATGGAAATTTTAAACAAGTGGGATCAACATCCTGAGGCATTTCTTCAAAGAACTGTAATAGAAGATGAAACATGGCTTTACAAGTACAATCCCAAAGACAAAGTACAATCCCAAAGACAAAGTACAATCAAGCAATGGCTACCAGCAGGGGGAAGTAGTCCAGTCAAAGCAAAAGTAGATTGGTCAAGGGTAAATGTTATGGCAATTGTTTGGGGGATGCTTAAGGGATTTTGCTTGTTCTATTTCTGGAGGGCCAAAGAATCATAACATCTGCCTGTTATGAGAGTGTTTTAAGAAATTTAGCCAAACCTTTAGCATAAAACAAATGCCCAGGAAAGAGAGTCCTTCTACAACACAACAATATTGCTACTCATGCTTCTTTTTAACAAAGACGATTTTCTGAGAGTTTTGATGAAATATTATTAGGCATCCACCTTACAATCCTGATTTGGCTTCTTCTGACTTCTTTTTGTTTCCTAATCTTAAATCTTAAAGGACACCCATTTTTCTTCAGTCAATGATGTAAAAAAGGACTGCATTGACATGGTTAAATTCTCAGTCTTTTATGGTGAACAAAATGGCTGGCATCATCACTTATAAAAGTGTCTTGAACTTGATAGAACCTTTGAGAAATGATATTTATACTTTTATTTTTATCTTTTAATTTCATTATTTCTAGGACTGTTTTGAAGTCCCTTTTTATACCTATTGTGTTGAGTTTTTATCATGAAGAAATGTTGAACTTGATTTATTTTTTGGCGTCTATTGAAATGATCATGTGGCTTATGTTCTTGATTCTATTAATGTAATGTATCACTTTTAGTGATTTCTATATGTCAAATCATCCTTGCACCCCTGGGATAAATCCTTCTTGATCATGGTGAATAATCTTGTCGATGTATCAGTGAATTCAGTTAGCTAGTATTTTGTTGAAGATTTTTGAATATATATTAATGAGGATATTGGCCTGTAGTTTTCTTTTTTGTGTGTTTCTTCACGTGGTTTTTGTATCAGGTTAATGCTGGCCTCATAGAATGAGTTTAGAAGTATTTCTTTCCCATCAATTTTTTAGAATAGTTTGAGTAGTATTACTAATTTTAAAAATTAGTATTTTAAAATTTTTTGGTAGAACTTAGTAGTGAATCCATAAGGTCCTGGTCTTTTCTTTGATGAGAAACTTTTTATTACTGCTTCTATCTTGTTATTTGTTGCCTGTATGTTCCAGGTATCCTATATCTTAATGGTTTAATCTTGGTAGCTTGTATACATCCAGAAATTCATCTATTTACTCCAGGTTTTCCAACTTACTGGCATATAGTAGTCTTTAAAATCCTTTGTAACTCTGTGGTGCCAGTTGTTACGCTTCCTTTTAAATTTATGATTGTATTTATTTGGTTTTTTCTCTGTTTTTCAAATTAATCCAGCTAAAAGTTTTAAAATTTTGTTTATCCTTTCAAAAAACACAAATTTTTGTTTTGGTGATTCTTTGTATTGTTCTTAAACTGATTTAAAAAAAAATTCTGCTCATTATTGGGTTTGCTTTGTTCTTGCTTTTCTAATTCTTTAAGGTGCATTATCATGTTCTTTATTTGAAATCTTTCTGCTTTTTGTATCTAATTGTTTGTTGCTGTAAATTTTCCTCTTAGCACTACTTCTGCTGTATTCCTAGGTTTTGGTATGTTATGATTCCATTTGCATTCATTTCAACAAATGTTTTTGTTTTTATCTTAATTTCTTCATTGACCCAAATGACATTCAGGAGCATGTTGTTTAATTTTCATGTCTTTGTATACTTTTCAAAGTCCCTATTTTTATGAATTTCTAGTTTTATTCCATTTTGTTCCTCTGTTTCTATTTTTAAAAATTTGCTGATGCTTGTTTTGCAGGCTAATATATAGTCTATCCTGGAGGATGTTCCATGTGCTAATGAGCAGAATGTATATTCTGCAGTGTTAAATAAAATAATCTACAAATAACCATTAGGTCCACTTGGTCTATATTGCAGGTTAAATCAAATGTGTCTGTTGATTTTCTGTCTGGATGATCAATTCAATTCTGAAGTTTGGGTAACTAAAGTCCACAAACACTTTTTTTGTATTGAGGTCCATCTCTTTCTTTGACTCTAGTAACATTTGCCTTATATGTCTGGGTACTTCACGTGAAAAGTGTCATTGGTAGTTTGATATAAATAGCATTGAATCTGCAAATTGCTTTGGGCAGTATGGCCATTGCAACAATGTTAATTCTTTCTATCCATGATCATGGAATGTTTTTGCAGTTCTTTTTGTCATCTCTGATTTCTTTCAGCAGTGTTCTGTAATTGTCATTGTAGAGATATTTCACCTCTCTAGTTATCTGTATTACTAGGTATTTTGTTCTCTTGCGGCTATTATGAATGGAATTGCATTCTCGATTTGGCTGTCAGCTTGGACATTTTTGGTGTTTTCAAAAATGCTACTTATTTTTTTACATTGATTTTTTATCCTAAAACTTTGCTGAAGTTGTTTATCAGTTCTAGGAAGTTTTGTGCAGGGACTATGGGGTTTTCTAGGTATAAAATCATATCATATTTAAAGAGACATATTTTGACTTCCTCTTTTCCTATTGGGACCCCTTTTATTTCTTGTAATTTTTAATTTTTTTTGAGATGGAGTCTCACTCTGTTCTCCAGGCTGGAATGCAGTGGCATATTCTCAGCTCACTGCAAGCTCCACCTCCGGGGTTCAAGTAATTCTTATGCCTCAGACTCCTGAGTAGCTAGGACTACAGATGTACACTATGTCCAGATAATTTTTTTATTTTTTCAGGAGAGATGGTCTTTCACCATGTTGACCAGGCTGGTCTCAAACTCCTGACCTCAAGTGATCCTCCCACTTCAGCCTCCCAAAGTGCTGGGATTGCAAGTATAAGCCACTGCACCCATCCTCCTTCTATTTCTTTCTATATGGCCTGATTTCTCTGGCTAGGAATTCCAGTACAATGTTGAATAGGATTAGTGAGAGTGGGCATCCTTGTCTAGTTCTGGTTCTCAAGGGGATTGTGCCTAGCGTTTGCCCATTTAGTATGATCTCAGCTGTCAGTTGGTCATAAATAGCTCCTATTATTTAGAAGTATGTTCCTTCAATGCCTTGTTTGTTGAGGGTATTTAACATGAAGGATGTTAAATTTTATTGACAGTCTTTTGTGTCTATTGTGTCTATTGAGATAGTCATGTGGTTTTTGTTTTTAGGTCTGTTTATGTGATAAATTATGTCTTTTGATCTGCATATGTTGAACCAACTTTGAGTCACAGGGATAAAGCATACTTGATTGTGATGGATTGTATTTTGATGTGCTGCTGGATTCAGTTTGCTAGTATTTTGTTGAGAATTTTTGCATCTATGTTCATCAGGGATATTAGCCTTTAGTTTTCTTTTTTGTCATGTCTCTGCCAGATTTTGTTACAGAATGATGCTGGCCTCATAGAATGACTTAGGGAGCAGTCCCTCCTACTAAATTTTCAGTAATAATTTCAATTAAGTTGTTATAGCTCTTCTTCATATCTCTGGTAAAATTTGGCTATTAATCCATCTGAATCAGGGCTTTTTCTGAATGATAGTTGATATGGTTTTGCTGTGTCCCTACCAAAATTTTATCTTGAATTGTAGCTCCCATAATTTCCATGTGTCATGGGAGGGACCAAGTAGGAGGTAATTGAATCATGGGGGTGGGTTTTTCCTGTGCTGTTCTCATGAGAGTGAATAAGTGTCATGACACCTGATTGATTTCTAAAAGGCAGTTTTCCTGCACATGCTCTCTTGCCTGCCACCATGTAAGATGTGCCTTTGCTCCTTCACCTTCTGCTATAATTGTGAGGCCTGTGAGGCCTCCCCAGCCATGTAAAATTGTAAGTCAATGAAACCTCTTTTTCTTTATAAGTTTCCAAGTCTTGGGTATGTCCTTATAAGCAGCATGAAAACAGAATAATACAATAAATTGGTAGCAGTAGAGTGTAGTGCTGCTGTAAAGATACCTGAAAATGTGGAAGTGACTTTGAAACTGGGTAAGAGGCAGAGGATGAAACAATTTAGAGGATGTGGAAGAATATAAAAAAAAAGTGATAAAGTTTGGAACTTCCTAGAGGCTTGTTGAATGGCTTTGACAAAAATGCTGAAGTGATATGGATAATAAAGTTCAGGCTGAGGTGGTATCAGATGGAGATGAGAAACTTGTTGGGAACTGGAGTAAATGTCACTCTTGCTATGCAAAGAAACTGGTAGCATTTTCCCCTGCCCTAGAGATAAGTGAAACTTTAAACTTGAGAGAGTTAATTTAGGGTATCTGGCAGAAGAAATTTCTAAGTGGTAAAGTGTTCAAAATGAAGCAGATCACACAAGTTTGAAAAATGTGCAATCTGATGATGCGGTAGAAAAGAAGAACCCATTTTCTGGGAAGAATTCAAGTCCACAGCAGAAATTTGCATAAGTAATGAGGAGCCAAATGTTAATCACCAAGACAATGGGGAAAATGTCTCCAGCGCATGTCAGAGAACTTCATGGCAGCCCCTCCCACAACAGGCCTGGAGGCCTAGGAGGGAAAATGGTTTCTGGGCCAAGTCCATGGCTCCCCTGCTGTGTGCAGCCTTGGAACTTGGTGCCCTGCATCCCAGCCACTCCAGCTGTGACTAAAAGGGGCCAATGTACAACTCGGGCCATGACTTCAGAGGGTGCAAGTCCCAAGCCTTAACAGCTTTCATGTGTTGTTGGTCCTGTGGGTGCACAGAAGACAAGGATGGAGGTTTAGGAACCTCTGCCTAGATTTCATGGAAATGCCTGCATGTCCAGGCAGAGGTGTGCTGCAGGGGTAGAGCCCTCATAGAGAACCTTAGCTAGGGCAGAGGAGATGTGAGATTGGAGCCCCCACACAGAGTTCCCACTGGGGCACTGCCTAGTGGAGCTGTGAGAAGAGGGCCACTGTCCTCCAGACTCCAAAATGGTAGGTCCACTGACAGCTTTCACCCACACCTGGAAAAGCTGCAGACACTCAACTCCAGCCTGTAAAAGGAGGCAGATAGGGAGCTGTACCCTGCAAAGCCACAGGGTCAGAGCTGCCCAAGGCCATGGGAGCCTACCTCTTGCATCAGCATGACCTGGATGTGAGACATGGTGTCAAAGGAGATCATTTTGGAACTTGAAGGTTTAATGAGTACCCTATTGGATTTTGAACTTGCATGAGGCCTGAGGCCCTTTGTTTTGGCCAATTTCTCCCATTTTGAATGGGTGTATTTAACCAATGCCTGTAGTCCCCATTGTATGTAGAAAGAAAATAACTTGCTTGCAATTTTATAGGCTCATAGGCAGAAAGTTCTTGCCTTGTCTCAGATAAGACTTTGGATTGCAGACTTTGAGTTAATGCTGAAATGAGTTAAGACTTTGGGGGACTGTTGGGAAGGCATGATTGGTTTTGAAATGTGAGGACATGAGATTTGAGAGGGGCCAGGGGCAGAATAATATGGTTTGGCTGTGTACCCACCCAAATCTCATCTTGATTTGTAGCTCCCATAATCCTGATTTGTCCTGGGAGGGACCTGGTAGGAGGTAATTGAATCATGGCAGTGGGTTTCTTATGTATGTTCTCATGATAGTGAATAAGTCTCATGATATGGGATGGTTTTATACAGGACAGTTCTTCTGCACATGCACTCATGTCTGCCACCATGTAAGACGTGTTTTTTTCTCCTCCTTCACTTTCTGCCATGATTGTGAGGCCTCTCAGCCATGTGAAACTGTGAGTCCATTGAAATTTCTTTATAAATTACACAGTTTTGGGTATGTCTTTATTAGCAGCATGAGAACAGACTAATGCAGTAGATTTTTTATTACTGATTCAGTTTTGGAACTTGTTAATGGTTGGTTAAGGGTTTCAACTTCTTTCTAATACAATCTTGGGAGATTGTATGTTTCCAGGAGTTTATCTTTTTTTTTCTTTATGTTTTCTAGTCTGTATGCATAGAAGTGTTCATAATAGTCTATGAGGGTTTTTGTGTTTCTATGGGAGCAGTGCTAATGTCCTCCTTCATCATTTCTGCTTGCATTTATTTGGATCTTATCTCTTTTTTTATTACCCTAGATAGTGGTGTATCAATCTTATTATTCTTTCAATGAACCAACTTTTGGTTTTACTGATCTTTTTGTATGTTTTGTTCACATCTCCATTTTGTTCAGTTCAGCTTGGATTTTGTTCATTTCTTTTCTTCTGCTAGCTTCTGGTTTGGTTTGCCCTTGTTTTTCTAGTTCCTCTGGGTGTGATGTCAAGCTGTTATTTTGAGACATTTCTGACTTTTTGATGTGGATAATTAGTGCTATGAACATTTCTCTTACCACTGCTTTGTCTATATCTCAGAGATTCTGATATGTTGTATCTTTGTTTTCATTAGTTTCAAAAAAATTGCTTTATGCCTAAATTTTATTGTTTACCCAAAAGTCATTCAGGAGCAGGTTATTTAATTTGCATTTAAATATATGGTTTTGAGATATCTCATTGGTATTGACTTCTATTTTTATTGTGCTGTGATCTGATACTGTGGTTGGTATGATTTGGTTATTTTTGAATTTGTTGAGAATTGCTTTATGGCTGAGAATGTGGTTGATTTTAGAGTATGTGCCATGTGCAGAGTAGGAGAATGTATATTCTCTTGTTTGGAGTGGTAAGTGGTATGTTCTGTAGATGTCTGTGAAGTCTATTTGGTCAACCATTGAATTTAGATTCTGAATATTCTTGTTAGTTTTCTGCCTCAATTATTTGTCTAATACTGTCAGTGGGGTGTTGAAATCTCCCACTATTATTTTGTGGTTATCTAAGTTTCTTCACAGGTCTCTAAGAACTTGTTTCATAAATCTGGGTGCTCCGGTGTTAGATATATATATATATATATATATATGTATAGAGAATAGATATACATCTATATATAATATTTAGTATATAATATTAAATATATTTAAATAATAAATAATATGTAATATGTATACTATTTAAGTCTTCTTGTTGAATTGAACCCTTTATCATGATGTAATGTCCTTCTTTATCCTTTTGATCATGGTTTGTTTAAAATGTACTTTGAGATAAGAATAGTAACCCTTTTTTTGTTTTCTGTTTGCTTGATAGATCTTCTTCCATCCCTTTACTTTGAGCCTATGATTGTCATTATATGTGACATGGATCTCCTGAAGAGAGCATATAGTTGGGTCTTACTTCTTTATCTAATTTGCCACTCTGCACCCTTTAAGTGGAATCATTTAACTTGTTTATATTCAAAGTTAATACTGATATGTGTGGATGTGATTCTGTTATTGTGTTGTTAACTAGTTGTTATGTAGGCTTGATTGTGTAGTTCCTTTATAGTGTCAATGGGCTGTGTACTTCACTGCGTTTTTGCAGTGGCCAGTAATGGTCTTTTGATTCCATGTGTAGTGCTCCCTTAAGGACTCCTTTTAAGTCAGGTCTGGTAATAAATTCCCTTAACATTTGCTTGTCTGAAAAGCATTTTATTTCTCTTTTGCTCATGAATTTTAGTATAGCTGTATAGGAACTTCTTGATTGGAATTTCTTTTCTTCAAGAATGCTGAATATAGGCCCCCAATCTCTTCTGCCTTTTAGAGTTTCTGCTGAAAAGTTTTCTGCTGGCATGATGATGTTCCCCTTGTGGGTAGGTGACATGCCCCTTCTCTTTAGCTGCCTTTAATATTTTTTCTTTTGCATTGACCTTGGAGAATCCGATGACTATATGTCTCAAGGATGATCATCTTGTATAGTATCTTGCAGGGGTTCTGTGAATTTCCTAAATTTCTTTGTCAACCCGTTTAACTAGGTTGAGGAGATTTTGATGGACAATGTTTTGCAACTTGCTTACTCTCTTTTTTAGGGATGCCAATGAGTCATAGGTTTGGTCTCTTTATATAATCCCATATATCTCAAGGTTTTGTTCATTCTTTTTTATTTTTGTCTGACGAAGTTAAATCAAAGAACCAATCTTTGTTGTGAGACAATCAAAGACCAAAGAGATCGATAAATGTTCAGGAGAGTCCATTAAGGTGATCACCAGCCCAGACGGACATGTGTCCAGAAAGCCTGAGCCCCGAAGAAAGAGCTTCTACTACTTTTAAATATCTTAAGGCAGGAACTACGTGAAGCAGGAAGCAAGTTACAGAAGCAAGAAACAACGGCGGCATTGCAACATTTCTTACATTTTGAGAAAGACATGACTTGCAACCTAAACTTATCGGTCTTGTGACCCTGCAGTCGTGCAGGAACTCGCTGGGCCTGTAATAAACTTTGAAGAATGTGGAGTTGGGGAGCATAGATAAGGTCCACTGTCCACAGAGAGAAGACAGGCTGTTAATATTCCCTTGTAACTTGAGTGTAAGGGGAGGTCACACTTTGCAGCAACTTTAAGAGGATTTTAAAACTTCTATTACTACTACTATTAGGTTATAGTTGATTTCATTAATTCCTTCTTCATTCCCCCCTTTTGGTGCATGACACAAATGTAGATTAGTAAAGAGAACCACAGTTAGCTATTTTTTCTTGAGTGGGTACATACTCATCTTGGGATACTGGTTGGTACTTTTGCAGAGCCACTATTCATGTGGTGGTATGTCTGGCTACTATTGCTTCTATGGTGGATTGGATGCTTCTGATGAGAAGTGGCAGGAGACAAGAAAGCAGGAGGCATACACCTATTATGGCCACAAAGCCTATTATTAAAGTTTTAAAGCCTCCAAACCATGAAAACCATCCTCCAAAGGGTGAACTCGGGTTCCAACCAGACCACATCTGGGCCAGAACATGAGCTAACTTTAGCATCCTGGCAGTGATTTTCATGACAGCTTTTCCATTGTCATCAATTTGTAAAAAGCAATTCATTAAATTAAGTTTTCCACAAACTCCTCCTTCTGAAGCTAAAAGATAATCCAGGGCTAACCTGTTCTGATAAATGGCATCTCTCATCTGGGTCGCCTGTATGGCTAGCAAGTCTAAGGCTCAGGCTGTTTCAATGACTATAATTTCCAGAACTGCTTGCAACCTTGTGATGCAACTTAACATATAAATAGGAGTATGGTATCTCCATGACCCATTTTGTGCCCAGGTGGCTGGTACATAGTATTTGTTAATTCTTTCAAGGGGCCATTCATTCTCTTTCCAGCTCCCTATTTCAATGTCCTTTTAATGGTAGTATTTATTTTTTCCAAGTACTTATTTTTGTAAACACATTTCTTCAGACTCTTTTTCTGCCTTCATCATAGACCAGATACCTTAGATTTTTCCCTTGCTGCAGTGGGAGTAGGAAAAAGGATAGCCTTATTGTTCCTAATACACTCGCCCCTATCCATTTATCAGACAGCAATTGATAAGCTTTTGTTCCACAGATCCAATATAATCCTGCAGGTGTTCCTCAAATTCAGGCAAGGTAAAACTGTCCTGTGGCATCAGTTCTCTGGCTTCCAGGGCCATTGATCTTCTATATTAGTACCTCCACATACATCAGCTTGGCAGGCATCAAAATATATGGAGACAGGCCCTTTATGCAAGTAAGGGAATACTTCTGTTTTGTTTACAAGTTTATTGACCCCGGTTTCTGTGGGGTTTGTATATGATGGCATTAGGGATTTGCCAATTTGGACTTCAAATGAGAAATCACAGGGCAAGAACTCTGGGTCATAACATACTTAGGGTTGCCTGTTTCCAGGATCACAGACTGAGTAACAAGTCTGGTTATAGACACAAGTTCCTGTATGAGTCCCTGTACACTCATAGTAGGTCTGATATAACAGAGTTTTAGTCACACCTTTTCCGGACCAGGCTTCTATCATACAGTGATGACAGTCATCTTGGTCCCCATTTATAACCATAGGTGAAAGTGTCAGTGGCTTTAGTATTACTAGTATGATTAAACTTATACTATGCATGGGCACCCCTCTGGGCAACAAGCTTGGCAGCATTTGCAAAGATAACATGACAGCAAAATAGTCAGTACAAGTAAGAGTATAACTATGTTTGTAAATTCAACCCACATTTACTTATCTATCATTGACTTTCTCAGGCTTCAGCCATGCGTAGACTAGTCAGCTTCCAGTTGTGACTAGAACAGGGCTCGATGTTTCCTTAAGCTTCAGCCATGCGTGGACTGACCCAGCCTCTGGTGTGGTTGGAGCAGGGCAGTTGTTCAGTTGTTCTTGTCAGCAGTGGCTTGATTTCACTGTAGGATCAGCCGTGTTGGGTGGTCTGGGTATTGTTGACTGGTCCACTGGTCCTGGGCAGTGGCTGCTGTTGGTTTCAGCTGGCTATGAAGAACCCAAGGTATGATACCTGCAACTTTAACAGCAGCGGGGGTAGGCAAGATCACAATATGGGGACCATCCCATAAAGGCCCAAAAGTGGTTGGGTTCCATCGTTTGATCCAGACAGAGTCTCCAGGTTGGAAGGGATGGACTGCATCTGTGAGGCTAACAGGTATTCTTTCTCTAACCCACCCTTGTATTTCCTGCATGGCCTCACCTAAGGCTTGCATTTGCCTTCTTAAGGTTAATTCCCCAATTTTTTAAAATCCCCTTTTATCAGAGTTATGATTGGGGTCAGCTGAACACTATTTCATAGGGTGAATACCCAGTTAATTTAATAGGGGTGCACCTGACTCAGAGCAGGACCATAGGCAGCACCTGAACCCACTTTAGATGAGTTTCTTTGCAAAACTTCTTTAACAGCTGTTTCAGTGTCCAGTTCATTCTTTCAACTTTTCCATAACTCTGTTGGCAATAAGCTGTATGCAGTTTCCATTTGATTTTTAACATCTGCGTTAGCTGTTGTACTATTTCTGCCACAAATGCTGAGCCATTGTCTGATAAGAAAGTGCAGACAAATACTAGCATGTACCGGTAGCCTCTGGCTTGAGACAGCTTGGTAAAATCCACAAGCAGGTTTTCACAGGGTGTAGCTCCAGTTTCTTGAATCCTTGGGGGCCGTGTTGGCCCCTGCCATGGATTGTTTTGGGCACCAGCCAAGAATTGCTCAGAAACAGCTCCAGTGATGGCAGTTAGGTGTGGCACGTAGAAATGCCATCCTACAAGAGTTTCTAATGCAATTTTTCCCATATGTGTTCCTTGATAAAACTGCTTTATGAACCAGAGGGCTATTGCTTCTGGGATGGCAAGCCTCCCATCTGAGAACTTCCACCAACCTCCTTTCTGGTAACTTCCACTCTCCTCTCAAACTAAGCCTTTTCATTAGAGGAGTAGTTAGGGGGTTCTGTAAGTGGAAGCTCCAGTAAGGGCATGGTAAGTGTTTTCTCTTCCTTCTTAGTTACCTCTGCCATTGCAGTTCTTTTGGCTTCTCTATCTGCCTTTCCATTTCCTCTAGTCTCGTCACCTCCTACTGTTTTATGCATTTTGCAATGGATGACTGCTACTTCTTTTGGAGCCCATATAGCTTCTAAGAACTGCTCTATTTTCTTTTTATTTTTGATTTCCTTTCCTTCAGTAGTTAATAATGCTCTTTCCTTATATGGCTCCATGAACAGGCAAAGTGGCAAAAGCATACCTTGAGACAGTATAGATGTTTACTGACTTTCCTTTGGCCAAGAGCAGTGCTCTAGTGAGAGCTATTAGCTCAGCTCTTTGGGCCAAAGTTCTGACTGGCAGAGGGAGGCCTGCAGCTACTGAATTCAGTGTTACCACTGCATATCCAGCCCATCTGATACCTTCAGATATGAAACTGCTTTCATCAGTAAAGTATTCAACATCTGGGTCTCTTAAGGGCCGGTCCTTTAAGTCTTCTCGGCTTGAGAAAACCTCATCCACTGTTTCCACACAACAGTGATACCCTGGGCCTCACAATGGGGGCTTTCCATGCTCCACCCATTCTACTGGCAGCAGTATGGCTGGATTTAGAGTGTTCACAGTCTCCAGGGTTCTGTAGGGGTTTTCACACAATAGCCCTTGATATTTTTAAATCCTAGGGTTAGAAAACCAGCGATGCCCCCTCTGCTCCATCAGGGTGATGGCCGTGTGAGGCACCCAAATTATTAACCTTTGTCCAAATGTGAGCTTGTTAGCATCTTCTGCTAACATGTGGTAGTGGCTGCCAATGCCTTGAAACAGGTGGCCATCCCATAGCCACCAAGTCTTGTCGCTTGGACAAATATGCCACGGGCAGATACCATGATCCTAGTGTTTGTACCAAAAGTCACCTGTAGCTATTCCTTTTCTTGCATGGACGTACAGTAAAAAGGCTTTGTGTGTCTGGCAGTCCTAATGCCAGGGCCTGGATCAAAGCCTTCTTGATTTCTTTGAAGGCCATGACCTGCTCTTTTCCCCACAGGAGGGGTTCCTTTCCCCCCACTTTGTGGCTTCATATAATGGCTTAGCCATGAGCAAGAAACTTAGGGTCCAAATGTGGCAGAACCCTGCTGTCTCTAGGAACTTTCTTATCTGGTGCTGGGTGGTTGGAGTAGGAAGTGCACAAACAGCCTGCTTTCATTCTCCACCAAGCCATCTTTTCCCTTGGCTTACATAGAAGCCTAAATACTGGAAACTTTTAAAGCAGATTTGAGCCTTTTTCCTGACACTTTGTAGCTTGCCTTCCACAGCAGGTGCAGAAGGTTTTCGGTTTTTCCCAGGTGCAGTAGCCCTTGGCCAGTGGCTTTCTTATACGATGATTCTGACCATTTTCCTTAGTCTCTTGACATTCATCCTCTCAGTGTCCTTTCCTTTTGCACCATACACATTAATCTTTTTCTAGCCTCAGCCAGCTCTTAAATCCCTGTCCATACTGGCCTCTTTCACCACCCCACCCATGCCTCTTTGAAAAGTCAGCTTCCCTTCCCATTAGGGCTGCTGCTAGCAAATCTGCCTTTCCTTAAGCTTCTGATTAGCTTCCTTCTTTGTCTCCTGATCTTGGTTAATATACACCTTGGTAGCCACTTCAATAAGCTGAGTAGCACTCACACCTGCAGAGCTTCTAACTTCTGCAATTTATGTCTGATATTTCCCTGGGCCTGACCTACAAATGCCCTATTTACCAGGCACTGTTTTTCAGCAGCCTCAGGGTCAAATGGCATATAAAGCTGGTAAGCCTTGCAGAGCCTCTCACAAAATTCACTGGGACTTTCATCTGACTTCTGGCAGACCTCTTGAGACATTTCTGATATTGGTGGCCTTTTTCCCTCCAGCCTTTATTCCATGTAGGAGTACCTCTCAATACTGCTGCAAACTTTGTAGCCCTTGAGCTTGGTTAAGGTCCCAGCCTGGGTTAGCCTCTATTGGGAGTGCTTGTTGTGCATAGTGCCTGATATCTCCTGTGCCTGCAGGCTCATTGTCCTCCAGCCACTGGAGAGCAGCTTGTATAACTCTATGGTGCTCTTCTGTATTAAACAATGACAGAAGAAGTTCTTTGCAATCAGCCCAGGTAGGATTGTGAGTTAGGAAAATGGACTGCATTAGATCTATAAGAGCCTGAGGCTTCTCTGCATAGGAAGGAGTATGTTGCCTCCAATTTAAGAGATCAGTAGTAGAGAAGGGCTGATAAAAGAAGAGCCATTCTCCCCCTTCGACTTCATTCTGTGCATTCAAATAAATTTGTCCCCATGTTTCTTGGAGGGGCGTCTGCATTGCTCAGGCATGGCCTGAGCTAAGGTGGCTGACCTCATCCCCCTGGAATTCCTCCCTTGGCTTTTTGGCTCTGGGTCCTCTCTGCATGGTATTGCCTGAGGAGTGCTTTCTTCTGAGTCTGAGCCTCCGGAGGCAGCCAGAGCAGCCTCCTGTCTAAGCCTTGCCAGGGATGAATAAATTGGTGCATAAGGGGGTGGACTTTCTAACTCTTCAGGTGGGGCCACCCTACATTAAAAGATGGCCAGTCTATCTCACAAAGGGTTCTCAGTTTTTGTGGAGTTAGCTTAACCCCATAATCACCATTAAAACCTTTTTAAAAGTTTTTCAGCATGCACTCCAGTGGAGTAGGCTTTGATGCTTTTCCTCCCGTTTCCTCCCTCATGGCACGCTTTCACTCTCACTTTCACTCTTGCATCCACCAGACTGGGTCCTGTTGCGAGAGGTTCAGACACTGCTTAGCCAGGAGTGTGCCTTAATTCCTGTCACAGTTAGCTGCAGCCCTGGAGTTGGTCTTATGGGCTTTATGCAGTATCCTAGGTCTGGTTTTTCCCACAATTGCTTTGGAGCACACAGTCCGCACTAAGAGATCTGTCCCTCCCCACATCATGCCCTGCATTGGTCTCTCCCAAGACCATCTCTTTCACACACTTTCACATACCTCCCCCGTCCCAAACCAGTTTTCCTTTTTGACTGACTCACGAGCCCCACCCACATCTGGTGTCAGTTAGGGTGTGAGATTCGTCTGAGTCAACAGGCCTCTCCTGTTGTTCCCAACCCTCGTGGGTCAGACTAGTCATCACGCCCTGGGAGGTGATCAGGCTCCCCTTTCATCCTTTTGGGATAGGTCTTGCCTTAGGGCCCAAACCTTACCATGGTTCAGATGTCTGTGCACTGCTCCTGTGACTGTCCTGCAACCCTTTCCACTGGTTCCTTTGGTGCTGTCAGGGGAAGGCTCTGGAATGCGGGAGGGCCATTCTCCTTCCAGGCTGAAACTCTCCCAGCGGTGCCAAGGACCCCAGATCTCCCACATCCTGGGGCTCTAGCCCACAGGCAAAGAAGACAGAAAATCTGCCATCTCCAATCCCGGATAAGCCCCCAGAAATGTTACAGGACAATCAAAGACTGGAGAGACCAAAAAAGGTTCAGGAGAGTCTATTAAGGTCATCACTGGCCCAGCTGGACATATGTCCAGAAAGTCTGAGCCCCAAACAAAGGGCTTTTCCTACTTTTAAACATTTTAAGGCAGGAATTATGTGAGGTAAGAAGCGAGTTACAGAAGCAAGAAACAAAAGTGGCGTTGCACTGTTTCTTACATTTTGAGAAAGACATGACTTGCAACCTAAACTTATCAGTCTTGTGACCCTGCAATCATGCAGGAACTCACTGGGCCTGTAATAAACTTTGAGGAATGTGGAGTTGGGGAGCATAGATAAGGTCCACTATCCACAGAGAGAAGACAGGCTTTTAATAATCCCTTTTAACTTGAGTGTAAGGTGGGGGGTCACACTTTGCAGCAACTTTCAGAGGATTTTAAAATTTCTATTACTACTACTATTAGGTTATAATTGATTTCATTAGTTCTTTCTTCACTTTGAGCTCTGAGATTCTTTCCTCAGCTTGGTCAATTCTGCTATTAATACTTCCAATTATATTATGAAATTCTTGTAGTGTTTTTCAGCTCTATCAGATCAATTGTTTTTCTCTTAAAATGCCTATTTTATTTTTTATTTCTTGAATTCTTTTACTGGATTCCTTAGATTCCTTGGATCAGGTTTCAACTTTCTCCTGAATCTCAATGATCTTCATTGCCATGTAGATTGTAAATTCTATGTGTGTGATTTTAGCCATTTCTTTCTTTCATTTTTTTTGAGACAGAGTGTATTAGTCCATTTTCATACTGCTATAAAGAACTGCCTGAGAATTGGTAATTTATAAAAGAAAGAGGTTTAATTGACTCACAGTTCAGCATCACTTGGGAGGTGTCAGGAAACTTGCAATCATGGTGGGAGGTGAAGGGGAAGCAAGGCACCTTCTTCACAAGGTAGCAGGAAGGAAAAATGCTGAGTGAAGGGGCAGGAGTCCTTTATAAAACCATCAGAACTAATGAGAACTCACTTACTATCACGAGAACAGTGTGGGGGAAACCACCCCCATGAATCAATTACCTCCACCTTGTCCCTCCCTTGACACGTGGGGATTACTGGGATTATGGAGATTACAATTCAAGATAAGATTTGGGTGGGGACAGAAAGCCTAACCATTTCAGAGTCTTGCTCTGTCAGGTGCAATGGTGCAATCTCAACTCACTGCAACCTTTGCCTCCTGGGTTCAAGCAATTCTTGTGCCTCAGCCTCCCAAAAAGCTGGGATTACAGGCATATGACAACATACCTGGCTAATTTTTGTATTTTTTGTAGAGAGGAGTTTTGTCATATTGGCCAGGCTGGTCTTGAACTCCTAGTCTTAAGCAATCTATCCACTTCAGCCTCCCAAAATGCTGGGATTACAGTCATGAGCCACCGTGCCTGGAGTCAGCCATTTATTTTATTCTGCTTAAGAATCATTGATGGGGATCTAGTGTCATCATTTAAAAGTAAAAAGGAACTCTGGCTTTTAGAGTTGCCAGAGTTCTTGCACTGATTTTTTTCTCATTTTTGTGGGCTAAAGTTCCTTTACCTGTGGCATAATTTGAGTGTAATCAGTTGGTTTCAATTTTGAATGTTTTCAGCAGGCTAAGGCTTTGTGCAGGGTCTTATTTGAGGCTGAATTCTTGACCTTGGTTTCACAGAGGGGTATATTAGCAAAGTATATTTGGTATTCTAGTTTGGGCTGTAATCTAGCAGATGGTGCTTAAGTGTAATGGCTGGTAGATAGGCTGTTAGCCTGGTGTCTCCTCTGTACTTCCTCATGCTTGCAGCCATGCTCCCACTTAGTGCTCTGAAGGTATGGACTCCTCTTCCACTTGAATGCTGTCCGTAGATCCTGGCTTGGAACTCCTAGGCTGCACACCCTCTTTTTGTTTATTTCTGCCTGGAGTTCATTGAGTTTATTCTAAAGGTTTAGAATCCTCAATTTTTTAGTCTCTCTAAATAGATACTTAACCAATGTTTAAGAAAAGAGTTGCAGTTCTAAACATCAAATCTTAACAATAGCTGATTTTTGCTTCTGCTGCAGGTACCTATAAAAGCAGAGGGAAGAAAATTGATATTGCCTTAGAGACCCATCCACAGCCCAGCTCTTGACCTGTTGGTTTCACAGCTCAGAGTTTCTGATTAAAGTTAGGACCTTTGGAAGTAGAAAGCAGTTCAGCCTTCCGGACAAAGAGCCTCAAAACGCACCTTGCCAAGCTGTTGATGTTACAGAGCCATCTCCCAGAATGTGGGACACAGAGGGAGGTGCTTAATCTCACATTCAGCTGCCAGAAGTTTTCTGAGCTTGGTGTATGTGTTCTCTTAAAAACATGAGCTCAGTAGTCTCTGCAGAAAACAAATCAAAGCAAATACTTTAAGACCACTATACTCAGAGTGTACATTTCATCTTCTGGAATAGTCTGCTGACCCTTTTCTTTCCTTTGACCTCTGCAGAGGGTGCATGAGAAGAGAGCTTGATAGGTGAGAAAAAAGGAGACTTATTGCTCTGGGACTCCTCATCTCCTTTTGCTCTCCCACTGAAGTAGAATAAATCAAAGTACTCCTGTTGGATGTAAATAAAAATTCCTTTTAAAAAACTTTTATTTTAGGTTTGGGTGTACATGTGCAGGTTTGCTATATAGGTAAACTTGTGTCATGGGTGTTTGTTGTACAGATTATTTCATACGCAGGTAATTACCCTGGTACTCAATAACCATTTTTTTCTGTTTCTCTCCCTCTTCCCACCCTCCATCCTCAAGTAGGCCCCAGCATCTGTTGTTCCCTTCTTTGCATTCATGAATTCTCATCAGTAAATAAGAATTTATTAAAGAATTCCCGTTTAGGCTGAGAATTATACTGGGAGAAAAGGAAGCTTTTGAAAAACCTGTATCAGACACCTACTGTATACAGGGAAGTATGCTAGACCTGTGAGAAATTTTTGACTGAATACAGCCCGGTTTTGCTTTGAATTGATAAATAAATGTGAAGAGACTTGGGAGCTTGCCATTGGTAGGTGGGTGACTGCCCTTGGAAAGGAGTATACTGGTTTAGGTGACATTTGCTCAATTCAAGATGTAC